>NC_000023.11:85795875-86098905 GCF_000001405.40 Homo sapiens | reverse complement strand
ATGCTTATGTTGGGGTGAAGGAATGCAGGCACAACATCCTTATTTCAAGACTAATGATTATTTCAATGGCTTCATATGTACTCAGCATGTGATCAAAGTAGAACCTTGCTAGTTGGCAGCCCCTTTTAGATTTAATTCTTACCAGTAATACCTGTGCATGTATCCAGACTCTCAGTACAGCAGAAGCAGTAATCCACTTGCAAGAAAGGTCTATCTACAGTTCCCTTTTGGGATCATCAAAAGCCATTCAAGCAGACAATATTTGAAAAAATAGATCTTTGTACAAAGTTATTTGTCTCAAATGAGTATCTACATAGAATATTAAAGGATTACTTTATTTACATAGGGTTTTACATGTCATTTTCTTTCCCATCAGACACTTTGAGTATACTCTCATTACATAACCCTTCTTGGATTTTAATTATTTGTTTTATAGCTAGAAGCATAATGCTCCCAATAATGGCATGGAAAAGCACTGACTGGTGAAATTTCCAAATTATGCTTTGTACCTGGCATACATAGGGTTTGGCTTATTGTTTAGAAAAAAATTAAGACTGACGAAAATATATATATTTGGATTGATTTATTTATGTAATTATAATGTATTTAATTATATATTATTGATTACTCATATAATATATATGAATCTATCCAAAACAGAAAATTTGGTAATGCTTTCTTTCTAATAATGCCCCCCTTTTTTGTCACTTGGGAAACATGACAATTTACCTATAGATATTAGGTAATATTGTTAGAAAGATTTAAGATCTAATAAAGCATTTTCAATCTATGAAAAATGCTAATAGTGTCAAGCATAAAACCACAAAGAAATCCTGTTGGTCCTCAAGCACTATTTACAGATCTAGATCTTTTTGGGGGCACCTAACTGGCATATTACATACTGGTACGAGTTATATTACATTGCATTTATCTGGAGAGAGACATTGGATTTGCAAATTAGAATTCCAGGCAAAAAAGTACTGTGTTGCCTTCTATTAAGGAACACATACTATGGACTTTTTTGCTTTCCACAATGATTTCAAGTTTTTAACATTCTTGGCAAAAAAATTTAATTGCATACATTTAAAAAATACATTTTTATAATAGTGCTAACATGTAAACATCAATTTCCAAAATGTTTGTGAAGGGATTTGTGATTCTATAAATAGTTCAGCTCTGTAATATCCTATCAAGCTTAGAGCTCTACCCATAATTGAAAGTGATCCTTTAAATTCTTCTGGAGATGTAATATTACTAGCACTGATAACTGTACCCTTGCTACCTGATTGTCAAGTGAAGAGAGGGCTGTTGTTTGCTTGATATGTCTACTCAGCTCCTACTAATGTGAATAGGCAATCCCCAGGGATAAATATATATATATATAGATAGATAGATAGATAGATAGATAGATAGATAGATAGATAGATAGATCTGGCATGTGAAACACCAACTCAATAAGTTTAATTCTGCAAAGAGATGTGAAATTCCTCCTGACATTACGAGAACAGCAATTTAACAGGCTTTGGTAAACTAAATAGAGGGTGAAATTATTGAAGATTGGAGGAAACAAACTCTCAAATTCTGGCAATAAAAGTCACCAAGATTTTGGTAATCTGGCTTGAAAGGTTTTGATAGTATTAATGAACCACAATACTAAAGGACAATAAAATATGTTGCCAATTAAATTTAAAATTATGATAAATACTAGGTGCTACTTGAATCATATGGAGGAACATTCATAGAATGGGAAATCATTTTAAACTCTATCTTTTCCCTATTGATCTCAATTGTTAAAATAAACAAAGCCTTCAGGTGATATTTGGAATTCATTTTTCAAAACTCTAGAAATTGAATTTCCAAAATAGTCTTTAGAAAGAATTCAGCTAGATGAATAAAATTGCTGGGGAAGTCTATCGCTACTCACATGGTGAGATTGAGTAAGTCAACCTTTCCATGGCCCTGAATGCAGGATACTGTCATCAGTGTATGGAGGAGCTGAGGTAGAATGTATTCCACCACAAGCCCTGACTTGACCTTGGAGAAGATACAGCTATAGATCTTTCTAACACCTCTAAAAGAGAGAAGAGTATAGATTATTTTACCTCATGTGTCAACTCCTTTCTTTTTCCACTACTCCTGTGCTCTTTTTTTCACAAAAGGAGGAAAAATAGGCACTACTAATGCTCTTAGATGCCTATAATATAGACACTTGCATAATCTTGCTAAAAAAAAAACAGACGACATGAATCCTTGAGGTTCTTTCTCTTTTCACTGTCTTTCTTTCATTATGCAATATTTACATATATCAAATCATCACATTGTACATCAAGCTTGTCCAACCCATGGCCCTTGGGCCGCATGCGGCCCGGGATGGCTTTGAATGCAGCCCAATACAAATTCATAGACTTTCTTAAAACATTATGCGATTTTTTTTGTGATTTTTTTTAGCTCATCAGCTATGGTTAGTGTATTTTATATGTGGCCCAAGAGAACTCTTCTTCTTCCAGTGTGGCCCACAGAGGCCAAAAGATTGGATACCCCGTCACACACTTTGAATATATATAATCCTTATTTGTCAATTAAATATTTTTAAATTAAAAAAGAAAGAAGACAAGACAACAAGAAACAATTACATGAGTAAAATTTCTTAGAAAAGCATAGTGAAAACTCAGTTTGCAGCTAAATTTAGCTGAGATCTCAGTTGAGAACTTGTATATTTTCTAGAAACCATGCACGTCTGGAGGGATGATGGAGGTGGATTGGCTCTGCATCTATTATATTTAAGTCCTGCGGGGAGGGGAAAATTTAAACCGAAAGAAGAGGGAATCAAAACACACAAGGGCAGTACTAGGGCATGGATAAAATGGCATAATTCTGAATAGAGCCTGTAACTTGCCATTCAACTTGGTCCCCCGACTCAACTCCTGTGGACCCATGGTTGAAGTTTCATACATGAAGAATGCAATAAAATAATAAAAAGTAAAAGAACTGCTTCAATAAACTTTTTGTAGATCCTTAAGAGTAACACTACTCAGGCCGGGTGCGGAGGCTCATGCCTGTAATCCCAGAACTTTGGGAGGCTGAGGCCGGTGGATCACTTGAGGCCAGGAGTATGAGACTAGCCTGGCCAACATGGTGAAACCCCATCTCTACTAAAAATACTGAAAAATAAGCAAGCGTGATGGCGGGCGCCTGTAATCCCAGCTATTCGGGATGCTGAGGCAGGAGAATCGCTTGAACCCGGGAGACGGAGGTTGCACTGAGCCGAGATCTTGCCACTGCACTCCAGCCTGGGCAGCTGAGAATCCACGTTAAAAAAAAAAGAAAAAGTAGCACTACTTAGCACCCCACTTAGTAAGGCGTCACACCAGTGGAAGTAAAGAGAAATTTTCTCCATTGCAGTTAACTACTGAACCACAGGATGGGTGACAAAATATTGGTGCTTCGATGGGTTCATGAGTGCAGGAGCCTGTGGCAGACATCAGGGCAACCTTACGTGTCGGAGATGTGCATATAAAATACTTAATACTGTTTCTGAAACAAAACTAATACTGTTTCTAACACTGTTTTTGAGCATAAAATATGTGCTCAAAAATGGTTGCTTACTAATATGGTTATTACTAAGAGCAGCACCCTTAGGAGTTATGAGCTGGATTATGTCTTCCCCAAAATTTATATGTCGAACTCCTAACTCCTAGTATCTCAGAATGTGACTGTATTTGAAGATAGACTCTTTAAAGAGGTAATCAAGTAAAATTGGGTTCACTAGGGTGGGCCCCAATCCAATATAGCTGATGTCACTGCAAGAAGAGGAAATTTGGACATAGACATGTCCAAAGGGAAGATGATGACACAGGGAGAAGACAGACTTCTACAAAACAAGGAAAGAGGTCTGAAACAGATTCTTTCTACACCATCTTCAGAAGGAACCAATCCTGCCAACACCTTCATCTCAGACTTCTAGTTTCCAGAGCAGTGAGAAAATAAATTTCTATTTATTTTTTAAAAACAACCAGTCTGTTGTACTTTGTTATGCAGCCCTATCAAACTAACACAGTGATCATTAGCTGCAACAGAGTATATTATCCTACCAATCTAGAGGAAAAGACAAAAATGGTCACAGCTGATATGACTAGTTCCTAAGCATTCATTCACTTATATATGTTAATTCAATAAATATTGGTTGGTCATTACTATGTACCAGACATTGCGCTAAATGCTAGAAATTCAAAGCCCAGTAAAGCAGTCTTTGTTCATGAGGAACTCATGGTCTTGTGTACGGGTGTGAGATTAGGAATGAGAAAAAAGGAAGAGAGGAGGAAATAGAGGAGCGAAATGATAGAAAGATCATAAGACAGCTAATGAGTAACCCAATGGTTATAATTCCATAATCAGTACTGTGAAAAGCAGGAAACAGGCATAGGGTTTTATGAATGTGTAGAGATGGGCTACCTAAATAGAATGTGGGTTAAGAAAGGCTTTCCAAAGAAACCGTCTCTTGAGCTAGGCATTGATACATGAATAGGAGTTAGCTAGACAAAAATAGAAATAAAAGACATTTCTATTTAAAAGACACCACCTCTTTCCTTTCTTTCTGAACTTCTTGAATTAAATAGAGAGGTCCTGTAATAGCGATACAAGAAGTGTCAGAAAAATTTAGTTTTGTTGCTCTTCTGTTGATATAACTTTTTCCTCAGGCTGAATGACCTAAAAAATGTAGAGTTTTTATACATGTGCAACAAAGTTCAGTTTTGTATTCAAACTAAAAATTAAAAGCTACACATACACACACATTTGTGAACACTAAGAAGCCCCAGTTCATGAAGTGTCATCCTTGCTTTATAGTTAGCATATCAAACCTTGAGAATAAGAGACTAAAAATACATTTCTACTCATATTCCAGTAATGTAAATTATTATGGTGCTTTTGCAAATCTCTATCTAATATTTCATTTATTGTCCTCTTATTTTCAGCAACTGATTTGTATCTAGCTTGAACGACTATTCAAGATACTCTTTCATTAGTTTAGTGATGAAGTCTGAAGTTACACAGAACAGTACATGCATTAACATTTCCTGATATTTCATTTTGTGTACAAGTAGCACTCCTATGTGCTATGGAATGAACTAATACCTCTGTATATCAGTTCTCTGTTTATAGGAAAGTTGATAATCTTTTCTCCCATTAAAAATGGTGAAATATATTTCAGCACAAATAGCTGTTCTAGTGTTATATTATATTTGAACAGTAAATAATGTAGGCCTATGAACTGAAAAGAATGATAATAGCATATTTGAATGGTTCAGAGGCTAAAGAAAGCAAATTTTAAAAAGGAAAGCATGACAATAAAGAACTAAGATGACATGTAAAATATACTAACATTCTCTTCCAAATAAGTCATTTAGGCTTACAAAGATCATGGTGATGATGATGACGATAATTACATTCAGTGAAAATATCAAGTACAGTCACATTTTAATTTACCCATTTTCTTTTACAAGTAAAAAATAGTATTTCTTTCTCTTCCTAAAAGAAATGTGTCCATTTAAAAATAGGTCTTCTTGCCAGCCTCCTTTTTTATTTTTATTTATTTATTTTTTTGAGACAGGGTCTCATTCTGTCACCCAGGTTGGAGTGCGGTGGCGTGATCATGGCTCACTACAGTCTTGAACTGCTGGGCTCAGTTGATCCTTCCACCTCAGCTTCCCAATTGGCTGGGACTACAGGTGTATACCACTGTGCCTGGCTAATTTTGTATGCTTTGTAGAGACAGCGTTTTTCCATGTTGCCTAGACTGGTCTTGAACTCCTGGGCTCAAGCAATTCACCCACCTCGGCCTCCCAAAGTGCTGGGATTACAGGTGTAAGCCACCATGCCCAGCAAATCTCCTTCTTATAACCTGCTTCAGAATGAAGAATTCAATAGACATTCTTTCAGTGTCAGAATTTTCACTGGATGCTTTGACTTCTATGGAAGACTGGGAATACAGGCTGCATGACGTGCTGTCCTTGCAACCACTGGAATTAGGCTTGTGGTTCATTTGAATACATATTCTAGATATAACCTTGCAAGATTTTTTCCTAATACTATTAAGATTCTAACCTGTCATAATAACTTGGCCTTTTTTGGGGGGCAGATGCTGCTCATTATGACAGGATAGAGTATGAAAACTGCTGAACTCAAAAGGCTTTCAGACAAAACTTTGGCAGCTTGGGGACTTCTAGACTCTGCCAAAAACCTAACAACAAAATAAAGGCTGCTCCCAAATCTGATTATGGAGACCAGATTTAGCATCTCAAACAAAAATATATATTAAAAAAAGAACTATAGTAAAACGTTAAATCATGTAAGGTTAAAAAAAAGACTACTTATGAAAATATCTCCCTTACCAACTCATGTGATGAGAGGCTAGACTTTGTGATATCCAAAGAAGTGCAAACAAAATTCAAATCAAAGAATATAAAATGAATTTTGAGGAAAAAATCCTGTGTGCTCTTAAAGAGTTAACTTTTAAAGTGCACTTCTCCAAACCATGAAATAAAAATCTTGTTTTCATAGCTAAATTGGAAATATTGGGAGAGAGTCCAAAATGGTGAGCTTTGTCTTACTGTTTGTTATAAAAAGCAAACACACAAATGCCTGGAATGAAAGAAAAACTTGTTTCTGTCAAATACATTCTGTTCAGGAAGAGTGCATCCGTGTGAAAATATGACCCCTATAATGGTGCCAAGTTTAGCAAAATCTAAGGTGATCTGTTGAGGAAGTGCTAAAAGCAGCTTTAACTTACACACCCAGTGTTTAAAAGCTTTCAAAAACAATCTAAAGGAGAACACTGATAACATGCTTTTTTCATAATTCACCTCTCCTTTTTACTTCCTTTTCTCAATTTAGAAACTAGATAAATATATTGTTCCTGAAAGAACTGGAAACATGATGTTTAATATGGAACCTACGTTTATCATCATTCTGGTTTTCATGTCCTGGGTACTAAAGTTTTATATTTATTTATATCCCTTATGAGTTTAAAGTAAGTATCGTCTTCAACAATCCACATTTGTAAGAGCTGAGTTCATATGATGTCTTTATGGCTTTTTAAAAGTTGTTTCTCTTTAAAAAGTCCAAGTTAAAATATTGCATTTGGGAGACATTAATGCTTTAGCTTTATGAAACATTGTGATAAAATGTATGGTAAAATTCCTAAAGGAGTTTTGCTAATTTTAGAAGTTTGGAAATTATCAATTCTTTTTGTTAATTTTAGTTTTAATTTTCAAGATTATAGAAAGGTTGTATTATTAAACAAATTCCCCCTAATTTTTTCATGTCTTAGAAAACAGAGCCAACACCACTGCTGCTGATATGCACAAGCAAGGATGAAACTCTCTGCCATTACCCCATCAGAGTGTTCTTGCCAGTGGACCAGGAACACCTAGGCCCTTCCAGCACAGCAGGTTCCTAATCTTTAGGGGCCAGAGAACAAAGCCAGGGGCCCAGTTGTAACCTGCCCAGGGTTACAACATGAAGGCCAGGACTGCTGAGCTGGGCCTTGGGCCCCTGAAATCTTCAAAAAAAAAATAAAGCCAGTTGACTGAATCCACCTTATACCACAATCAAACCCTCAAGGGCAGCAAAGAAGATAAAACCAAAAAACACCATCCAAAGGAGAGCACCTTCAAAGATTAAAGGAACATCACCCCACACAGATGACAATGATCCAGCACAAGACCTCTGGCAACTCAAAAATCCAGAGTGTCTTCTTACCTCCAAATGACCACACTGGTCCCCAACAATAGTTCTTAACCAGGCCGAAATGGCTGACATGAAAGACATAGAACTTACAATCTGCATAGGAACAAAGATCATCGAGAGTTAGGAGAAAGTCAAAACCCAATACAAGAATTCTAAGGAATCCAATAAAATGATACAGAAGCTGAAAGATGAAATAGCCATTTTGAGAATGAGCCAAACTGATCTGACAGAGCTGAAAAACTCACTACAATAACTTCAAAATGCAATCACAAGTTTATTGAATGATTTATTATTATTATTAGTAGTAGTAGTAGTAGTATTAGTATTAGTATTATTTGAGACAGAGTTTCACTCTTGTCACCCAGGCTGGAGTGCAATGGTGCAATATCAGCTCACTGCAACCTCCGCCTCCTGGGTTCAAGTGATTCTTCTGCCTCAGCCTCCCAAGTAGCTGGGATTACAGGCGCCCACCACCATGCCCAGCTAATTTTTGTACTTTTGGTAGACACAGGGTTTCACCATGTTGGCCAGGCTAGTCTCAAACTCCTGACTTCAGGTGATCTGCCCACCTCAGCCTCCCAAAGTGCTGGGATTACAGGCATGAGCCACCATGCCCGGCCTATTTAATTTTTAAAAAATATTATTTCTATCATTTTTGAAGAATAGGCGGTGTTTGGTTACATAGATAATTCTTTAGTGGTGATTTCTGAGACTTTGGTGTACCCATCACCCAAGCAGTGTACACTGTACCCAATGTGTAGCATTTTATCCCTCGGCCCCCTTGATTGTCTTGGGTCTGTGTCCCCACCCAAATCTCATTTCAAATTGTAATCCCCAGATGTTGAGCAAGGGACATGTAATCCCCATGTGTCCAGGGAGGGGGTTGATTGAATCATAAGGGCAGTTTCCCCAATGCTGTTCTCATGATCGCAAGTAAGTTCTCAGGAGATCTGATGGTTTATAAGGCAGTTTTCCCTGCTCTCTCTCACATACTCTCTCTCTCTCTCTTGCCTGCTGCCACATAAGATGTGCCTGCTTCCCCTTCCACCCTGATTGTAAGTTTCCTGAGGCCTCCCCAGTCATGTGGAACTGAGAGTCAATTAAACTTCTTTTCTTTATAAATTACCCAGTCTCAGGCAGTTCTTTATAGCAGTGTGAGAACAGACTAATACACCCCTTCCACACTTTCCCCCAAGTCCCCAACATCTATTGCATTATTCTTATGCCTTTGCGTCCTCATAGCTTAGCTCCCATCTATAAGTGAGAACATACAATATTTGGTTTTCCAATCTGAGTTACTTCACTTAGAATAATGGTCTCCAACCCCATCCAGGTTGCTGTGAATGCTATTATTTCTTTCCTCTTTATGGCTGAGTAGTATTCCATGGTGTCTGTGTGTGTGTGTGTGTGTGTGTGTATATATATATGGTATGGTGTATATATATGTATATGGTATGGTGTGTGTGTGTGTGTGTGTATATATATATATAGTATGGTGTGTGTATATACATATATATATATAGTATTGTATATATATATATATCACAATTTCTTTATCCACTCATTGAATGACGGGAATTTGGGCTGGTTCCGAATTTTTGCAATTGCAAATTGTGCTACTATAAACATGCACGTGCAAGTGGCTTTTTCATATAATGGCTTCTTTTTCTCTGGGTAGATACCCAGTAGTGGGATTGCTGGATCAAACTGTAGATCTACTTTTAGTTCTTTAAGGAATGTTGATACTGTTTTCCATAGTGGTTGCACTAGTTTACATTCCCATCAGCAGTGTAAAAGTGTTCCCTTTTCACCACATCCATACCAACATCTATTTTTTTTTATTTTTCAATTATGGCCATTCTTACAGGAGTAAGGTGGTATCACATTGTGGTTCTGATGTGCATTTTCCTGATCATTAGTAATGTTAAGCATTTTTTATATCTTTGTTGGCCATTTGTATATCCTCTTTTGAGAATTGTCTATTCATGTCCTCAGCCCACTTTTTGATGTGATTATTATTTTTCTTGCTCATTTGACTTCCTTGTAGATTCTGGATATTATTAGTCCTTTGTCAGATGCATACTTTGTGAATAATTTCTCCCACTCTGTGGGTTGTCTGTTTACTCTGTTGATTATTTCTTTTGCTGTGAAGAAGCTTTTTAATTTAATAAGGTCTTATCTATTTATCTTTGTTTTGGTTGCATTTGCTTTTGGGTTCTTGGTCATGAACTCTCTGCCTAAACGAATGTCTAGAAGAGTTTTTTCTATGTTATATTCTAGAATTTAGATGGTTTGAGGTCGCAGATTTGAGTCTTTAATACATCTTGAGTTGTTGTTTTTAATAAGGTGAGAGATGACCCTGCAGTTTCATTCTCCTACATGTGGCTTGCCAATTATCCCAGCATCATTTGTTGGAAGGGTAGTCCTTTTCCCACTTTATGCTTTGGTTTGCTTTGTCAAAGATCAGTTGTCTGTAAGTATTTGGCTTTATTTCTGGATTCTCTGTTCTGTTCCATTGGTCTATGTGCCTATTTTTATACCAATACCATGTTTTTTGGTGACTAGAGCTTTGTAGCATAGTTTGAAGTCAGGTAATGTGATGCCTCCAGATTTGTTCTCAGTGCTTAGCCTTGCTTTGGCTATGCAGGCTCTTTTTTTGGTTCCATACGTATTTTAGGATTTTTTTCTAGTTCTGTGAAGAATGATGATGGTATTTTGATGGAAATTGCATTAAGTTTATAGATTGCTTTTGGCAGTATAGTTATTTTCACAGCATTGATTCTGCCCATTCATGAGCATGGGATGTGTTTCCATTTGTTTATGTCATCTATGATTTCTTTCAGCAGTGTTTTGCAGTTTTCCTTGCAGAAATCTTTCACCTCCTTGGCTAGGTGTATTCCTAAGTATTTTATATATTTTTTGCAGCTATTGTAAAAGGGAGTTAGTTCTTGATTTGATTCTCGGCTTGGTCGCTATTGGTGTATAGCAGTGCTAGTAATTTGTGTACATTGATTTTGTATCCTGAAACTTTATTGAATTCATTTATCACACCTAGAAGCTTTTTGGATGAGTCTTTAGGGTTTTTCAGGTATATGATCATATCATCAGCAAACAGTGACAGTTTATCTCTTTACCATTTTGGATGCCCTTTATTTCTTTCTTTTGTCTGAGGAATCCCAGTACTATGTTAAATATAAGTGGTGAAAGTGGGCATTCTTGTCTTGTTCCAGTTCTCACAGGGGATGCTTTCAACTTTTCCCCATTCAGTATAATGTTGGCTGTGGGTTTACCAAAGGTGGCTTTACCACAGGTGGCTTTTATTACTTTAAGGTATGTCCCTTCTATGCCAATTTTGCTGAGGGTTTTAAGCATAAAGCGATGCTGGATTTTGTCAGATGCATTTTCTGCATATGTTGAGATGATTATATGATATTTGTTTTAACTCTGTCTATGTGGTTTATCACATTTACTGGCTTTTGTATTTTAAACCATTCCTGCATCCCTAGTGTAAAACCCACTTGATTATGGTGGAATATATTTTGGATACGCTGTTGGAATCAGTTAGCTAGTATTTTGTTGAGGATTTCTGCATCTATGTTTATCAGAGATATTGGTCTATAGTTTCCTTTCTTTGTTATGTCTTTCCTGGTTTTGGTATTAGGGTGATAACTGGCTTCATAGAATGATTTGGAGAGAACTCCGTAAATCTGTATCTTTTGAAATGGTTTCAGTACTATTGGTACCAATCTTTAATTGAATGTCTGATAGACTGCAGCTGGGAATGCATCTGGTCCTGGATTTTTTTTTGGCAGTTTATTTTAATTACAATTTCAATCTCGCTGCTTGTTATTGGTCTGTTCAGAGTTTCTATTTCTTCTTGGTTTATCTATTTCCAGGAATTTATTATTATTAAATTATTATTTATTATTACTACATTATTATTATTATTATTATTATTATTTTATTATTATTATTATTATTGAGACAGAGTCTTGCTCTGTCACCCAGGCTGGAGTGCAGTGGCATGATCTTGGCTCACTGCAGCCTCCGCCTCCCAGGTTCAAGCAATTCTCCTGCCTCAGCCTCCCAAGTAGCTGGGACTACAAGAGCAAACCACCATGCCCGGCTAATGTTTGTATTTTTAGTAAAGACGGGGTTTCACCATTTTGGCTAGCATGGTCTTTATCTGCTGACCTCGTGATCTGCAGGGGTTTTTCTTTTCTGTTGCATTGTCAGGCTGCAAATTTTTCAAGCTTATATGTTCTTCTTCCTCTTGAATGCTTTACCACTTAGACATTTCTTTCACCAATACCCTAAATCATCTCTTTCAAGTTCAAAGTTCCACAGATCTCTAGAGCAGGGGCAAAATGCCACCAGTCTCTTTGCTAAAGCATAGCAAGAGTGACCTTTACTCCAGTTTCCCATAAGTTCCTCATCTCCATCTGAGACCAATTCAGCTTGGACTTAATTGTCCATATCACTATCAGCATTTTGGTTAAAGCCATTCAACAAATTTCTGGGAAGTTCCAAACTTTCCCACATCTTCCTGTCTTTGGAGCCCTCCAAGTCTCTAGGAAGTTCCAAACTTTCCCGCACTTTCCTGTCTTCTGAGCCCTCCAAACTGTTCCAATCTCTGCTTGTTACCCGCTTGCAAAGTTGCTTCCACATTTCGGGTATCCATATAGCAGCACCCCACTACCTCAGAACCAATTTACTGTATTAGTTCCTTCTCACACTGCTATGAAGAAATACCAGAGACTGGGTTGGGAACGCAGAGCGGACAGATTCGATTCAGCGGGGTTCCGGGCCGCGCTGTGCTATGAAGCAGGTCAATGAGCTGAAAGAGAAGGGCAACAAGGCCCTGGGCGTGGAAAACATCGACAATGCCTTACAGTGCTACTCTGAAGCCATTAAGCTGGATCCCCACAACCACGTGCTCTACAGCAACTGTTCTGCCACCTATGCCAAGAAAGGAGACTACCAGAAGGCTTACAAGGACGGCTGCAAGACCGTCGACCTAAAAGTTTGACTGGGGCAAGGGATATTCACGAAAAGCAGCAGCTCTAGAGTTCTTAAACCGATTTGAAGAAGCCAAGTGAACCTACGAGGAGAGCTTAAAACACGAGGCAGATAACCCTCAACTGAAAGAGGGTTTACAGAATATGGAGGCCAGGTTGGCAGAGAGAAAATGTATGAATGCTTTCAACATGCCCAATCTGTAACAGAAGTTGGAGAGTGATCCCAGGACAAGGACACTGCTCAGTGATCCTACCTACCGGGAGCTGATAGAGCAACTATAAAACAAGCCTTCTGATCTGGGCACAAAACTACGAGATCCCCGGATCCTGACCACTCTCAGTGTCCTCCTTGAGGTCGATCGGGGCAGTATGGATGAGGAGGAACAGGTTGCAACACCTTCACCACCACCCCTTCCCAAAAAGGAGACCAAGCCAGAGCCAGTGGAAGAAGATCTTCCAGAGAATAAGAAGCAGGCACTGAAAGAAAAAGAGCTGAGGAACGATGCCTACAAGAAGAAAGACTGACAGCCTTGAAGCATTACGACAAAGCCAAGGAGCTGGACCCCAGCAACATGACTTACATTACCAATCAAGCAGCGGTATACTTTGAAAAGGGCGACTACAATAAGTGTTGGGAGCTTTGTGAGAAGTCCATTGAAGTGGGGAGAGAAAACAGAGAAGACTATCTACAGATTGCCAAAGTGTGTGCTCGAATTGGCAACTCCTACTTCAAAGAAGAAAAGTACAAGGATGCCATCCATTTCTATAACAAGTCTCTGGCAGAGCACCGAACTCCAGATGTGCTCAAGAAATGCCAGCAGGCAGAGAAAATCCTGAAGGAGCAAGAACGGCTGGCCTACATAAACCCCGACCTGGCTTTAGAAGAGAAGAACAAAGGCAACGAGTGTTTTCAGAAAGGGGACTATCCCCACGCCATGAAGCATTATACGGAAGCCATCAAAAGGAACCCGAAAGATGCCAAATTATACAGCAATCGAGCTGCCTGTTACACCAAACTCCTGGATTCCAGCTGGCACTCAAGGACTGTGAAGAATGTATCCAGCTAGAACCGACCTTCATCAAGGGTTATACACGGAAAGCCGTTGCCCTGGAAGCGATGAAGGACTACACCAAAGTCATGGATGTGTACCGGAAGGCGCTAGACCCGGACTCCAGCTGTAAGGAGGCGGCAGACGGCTACCAGCGCTGTATGATGGCGCAGTACAACCGGCACCACAGCCCCGAAGATGTGAAGCGACGAGCCATGGCCGACCCCGAGGTGCAGCAGATCATGAGTGACATAGCCATGCACCTTATCCTGGAGCAGATGCAGAAGGACCCCCCAGGCACTCAGCGAACACTTAAAGAATCCTGTAATCGCAAAGAAGATCCAGAAGCTGATGGATGTGGGTCTGATTGCAATTCGACAATGACTTGTCCATCCCCGCTTCCCTTCGCCCTCATGCGGAAAGAGGAGCGGGGACCGCGGCAAGCAGCACGGAGCGGAAGGGAGAGCAGGGGGAGAGAAGGCCTCACCTCTCTGTATTTATACGTAAGCCCAGGGAAAACACGGAGATTTGTACCTGCGCTGTTCGTGCTGCCGCTGCCTCTGGGCCCTCTCAGCACATACATGGTCTCTTCACAGCTGCCCTTGAGTTCAGTGTCTCCTTTCCCTGCCCCCAGTGGCTGTCTCAGTTGCTCTCCCATAGTTGGTTATTTTTTATTTGGGGCAGTGGGCATGTATAGGGAGGGGAGGGGGTTCTTCCCAGCCTCAGGTCCCAGCTGTCTCACGTTGTTTATTCCGCGTCCCCTTCTCCAATAAAACAAGCCAGTTGGGCAAGGTTATTAAAAAAAAAGAAAGAAAGAAAGAAAGAAAGAAATACCAGAGACTGGGTAACTTATAAAGAAAAGAGCTTTAATTGGCTTACAATTCTGCATTGCTGGGAAGGCTTCAGGAAACTAACAACCATAGCAGAAGGCAAAGCAGAAGCAGGAACGTTCTTTACAAGGCAGCAGGACAGAGTGAGTGCAAGCAGGGGAAATACTAAATGCTTATAAAACCATCAGATCTCCTAAGACTCACTCACTATCATGAGAACAGCATGGAGGAAACTGCCCTCATAATCCAATTACCTCTACTTGGTCCGGTCCGTGTGAGGATTATGGGAATTATAATTCAAGATGAGATTTTGGCTGGGGTCACAGCCAAATCATATCAGGGTACCCTGCTTATTACCTGGTGATGAAATAATGTGTACTCCTAAGACCCTGTAACACTGAATTTACCTGTATAACAAACCTGCACATGTACCTCTTAACATAAAAGTTATTTGGGAAGAAAAAAAAGACAAAAACGC
Source organism: Homo sapiens (assembly GCF_000001405.40). Lineage (NCBI taxonomy): Eukaryota > Metazoa > Chordata > Mammalia > Primates > Hominidae > Homo > Homo sapiens. Next base: position 86,083,784 of record NC_000023.11, on the reverse strand, counting down.
TGGGCATGGTGGCTCACACCTGTAATCCCAGCACTTTGGGAGGCCGAGGTGGGTGGATCACAAGATCAAGAGATTGAGACCATCCTGGCCAACATGGTGAAACCCCATCTCTACTAAAAATACAAAAATTAGCCGGGCGTGGTGGCATATGCCTGTAGTCCCAGCTACTTGGGAGGCTGAGGCAAGAGAATCACTTGAGCCTGGGAGGCGGAGGATGCAGTGAGCAGAGATGGCACCACTGCACTCCAGCCTGGCAACAGAGTGAGACTCTGAAAAAAAAAAAAGACAAAAACAACTACAGACTACAGACAATGTAAGCTTTAAATTGGAGCTGAGCTGTGCACTGACACAAAGCTTTCAACACATCAAAAGTAATTGCATGTTGATTGGGTAAATGAGAATTGACTACCAAGGGTGGGTTTAACACTAGTGATCAGATTTCTGGTATACCTGCTATGATAGGTTGGAGAATATATCTATATATATACAGCAGAAGTCACAAACTCATGTTCTCACAGGTACCTGGCAGGTAATATAAATGAGTGAAGTTGTCTGATGTAAGAAGAAATATTTTGACATGGGAAACAATACTTGATATGGTTTGGCTCTGTGTCCCCACCCAAATCTCATCTTGAATTGTAATCCCATAATTTCCACATGTTGTGGGAGGGATCTAGTGGGAGATCATTTGAATCACGGGGGCAGTTTCCCCCATACTGTTCTCATGGTAGTGAATAAGTCTCATGATGTTTGATGGTTTTTCAGGGGTTTCTGCTTATGAATTCCTCTTGTTTTCTCTTGCCACCACCATGTAAGAAGTGCCTTTCACTTTCTGCCATGATTCTGAGGCCTCTCCAGTCATGTGGAACTGTAAGTCCAATGAAACCTCTTTTTCTTCCCAGTCTTGGATATGTCTTTATCAGCAGTGTGAAAATGGACTAATAGAGTAAATTTGTATTAGTAGAGTGGGGCGCTGCTGAAAAGACATCCAAGAATGTGGAAGTGACTTTGAAACTGGGTAGCAAGCAGAGGTTGAAACAGTTTGGAGGGCTCAGAAGAAGACAGGAAAATGTGGGAAAGTTTGGAATGTCTATAGAGACTTGTTGAATAGCTTTGCCCAAAATCCTGTAGCAATATGGGCAAAAAGGTCCAGGTTGAGGTGTCTCAGATGGAGATGAGGAACTTGTTGGGAACTGGAACAAAGGTGACTCTTGTTATGTTTTAGCAAGGAGACTGGTGGCTTTTTGCCTCTGCCCTAGAGATTTGTGGAACTTTGAACTTGAGAGAGATGATTTAGGGTGTCTGGCAGAAGAAATTTCTAAGCAGCAATGCATTCAAGAGGTGACTTAGGTGCTGTTAAAGGCATTCAGTTTTAAAAGGGAAGCAGAGCATAAAAGTTCAGAAAATTTGCAGCCTGACAATGTGATAGAAAATAAAAACCCATTTTCTGAAAAGAAATTCAAGCTGGCTGCAGAAATTTGCATGTCATGAGGAGCCAAATGTTAATCCCCAAGTCAATGGGGAAAATGTCTCTAGGGCATGTCAGAGATCTTCATGGCAGCCCCTCCCATCACAGGCCTGGAGACCTAGGAGAAAATGGTTTCATGGGCCGGGCCCAGGGTCCCCATGCTGTGTGCAGTCTAGCAACTTGGTGTCCTGTGTCCCGGTCACTCCAGCCATGACGAAAAGGGGCCAAGGTACAGCTAGGTCTGTTGCTTCAGAGGGTGGAAGCCCCAAACCGTGGCAGTGTCCATGTGGTGTTGAGTCTATGGGTGCACAGAAGTCAAGAATTGAGGTTTGGGAACCTCCGCCTGGAATTCAGAAGATGTATGGAAATGCCTGGATGCCCAGGCAAAAGTTTGCTGCAGGGGCGGAGCCCTCATGGAGAACCTCTGCTAGGGCAGTGCAGAAGGGAAATGTGGGATCAGAGCCCTGACACAGTGCCCCTATTGGAGCACCACTTAGCGAAGCTGTGAGAAGAGGGCCACCATCCTCCAGACCCAGAATGGTAGATCCATCGACAGCTTGCACTGTGCACCTGAAAAAGCCTCAGACAATCAACACCAGCCCATGAAAGCAGCCAGGAGGGGGGATATACTCTGCAAAGCCACAGGGGCAGAGCTTCCCAAGACCATGGGAATCCACTTCTTACATCAGCGTGACCTGGACATGAGACCTGGTGTCAAAGGAGATCATTTTGGAGCTTTAAAATTTGACTGCCCCACTGGATTTTGGACTTCCGTGAGCCCTGTAAACCCATTGTTTTGGCCAATTTCTCCCCTTTGGAATGGCTTTATTTACCTAATGCCAGTACCCCCATTGTATCTAGGAGGTAGCTAGCTTGCTTTTGATTTTACAGGCTCATAGGTGGAAGTGACTTGCCTTGTTTCAGATGAGACTTTGGACTGTGGACTTTTGGGTTAATGCTGAAATAAGACTTTAGGGCACTGTTGGGAAAGCATGATTGCTTTTGTAACGTAAGGACATGAGATTTGGAGGGGCCAGGGTTGGAATGATATGGTTTGGCTCTGTGTCCCCACTCAAATCTCATCTTGAATTGTACTCCCATAATTGTCATGTGTTATGGGAGGGGCCTGGCAGGAGATAATTTGAATCATGGGGGCAGTTTCTCTCATACTATTCTCATGGTAGTGAATAAGTCTCTTGAAATCTGATGGTTTTTTCAGGGGTTTCTGCATTTGCATTCCTCTCATTTTCTCTTGCTGCTACCATGTAAGAAGTGCCTTTTGCCTCTCACCATGATTCTGAGGCTTCCCCAGCCATGTGGAACTGTAAGTCCAATTAAACCTCTTTTTCTTCCCAGTCTCGGGTATGTCTTTATCAGCAGCATGAAACTGGACTACTATGAAAGTGATCTTCCATTTTCCTGCTTTTGACTGAGATACAGCTACAGAAAGTTATTATTTTTTATTTTCCTTTCAATTACTATAGGAAAAACAATTGTGCAAGAAAAACAAGAATTAACAACTGACACTTAAATTCAAATGTGTTTATGTGAAAGATTTGGCTATGTGTTGTCAGTTTGTGACTTCTTATTTAGAGTGAAATGTAAAAATTGTTAGGTTATCCAGACATTGTGACGTCAGGCACACAGCACCATCTGTGAAGTACTGTTCCCAGGAAGTTGAAGCTGAGTGTAATTAAGTCCCCAGAGTTAACTTTCATTTATAAAAATAAGGAAGACAGAGAAACTAAGAAGGACATAGACAAATCCAGAAAGTGGGATATTCCATAAGAACAACTGTTGTGGTTTCTCTAACTAGTCAATGGCAGGGAAAATAAAAGTGAGAGAAGATACTGTTCTAGATTCACAAAGACCAAAGAGGTATCAATTAAGTGGAATTTATAAATTTTGTTTCAATCCTAATTAGAGCACACATTTTTAAATAACCAGGAATATTTACTTGTAGACAAGATATTAGATTATTTATTGATACAAAATAATAATACATATTTGTGAGGTATATGTGATATTTTGATACATGCATACAATATGTAATGATCAAATCAGGGTATTTATGCTATCCATCACCTCAAACATTTATCATTTTTTTGTGTTGGGAACACTTAAATCTTCTCTTCTAGCTGTTTTGAAATATACAATAAATTATTATCAATGATAGTAATCCTGCTGTGCTGTTAAAAGTTGGAATGTATTCCTTTTATCTAACTGTATGTTTGTACCCATTAACCAACCTTTTTTCATCTACCCTACCCTTCCCAGCCTGTGACAACTATCACTCTACATTCTAACTCCATGAGATCAACTTTTCTAGCTCCCACATATGAGTGCAAATGTGTGATATTTGTCTTTTTATTCCTGGCTTATTTTACTTAACATAATGACCTCTAGTTCCATCAATATTGCTGCAAATGACAGGATTTCATTGTTTTCTAATGGCTGAATAGATTACAGAGTATGTATACAAAATTTTCTTTATCCATTCATATATTGATGGACACTTAAATTAATTCCATATCTTGGCCATGGGAATACTGCTGCAACAAATGTGGGTGAAGTACTGTATTGTATGGTAATTCTATTTTTAGTTTTAGAGAGCCTTCCATACTGTTTTCCATAATGACTGTACTCATTCACATTCTCACTAACCATAAATAAGGGTTATGTAACAGAGTATCCATGATTGTATGTAGAGGTGAAATTATGTGATGTCTGAGACTTGTCTTAAATACTTATGAAAAATGAGAAAGAACAAAAAGAGATAGATGTGGCAAGTGAGGCAAATCTTGATAATGACTGAGTCTGGTGATTGGTATATGTGGGTCCATTGTACAATTTTCTATTTTTGTTTATGTTTGGAAGTATTCATTTAAAAAATTTAAACTACAGAGAATTTCAGTTCTAGGTATGGTATATTATTACCCTACCTGACAACTCTCTCCTCCATCCCACTGAAGAAAACAAATATAAAACTCAGGCATGAAACAAAAAGTGAATACTTGAATGTAGTGGAGAGTGGTCAGAAGTGTCTGTTGGATGGGAAGTACACGTTTACTTGGTGGAAGGTAGATAAGTACATTCCCATCTCTGCAATTGTTAGTCAGCAGCTAAGTGCACTCCACACTTAGATTTTTCTGACTCGACTACCAATCTTTTATTCTGAAAATTGATATTCAAAAAAACACTTTTTTTTTCTGAATAAACCTTATTTCAGGGAACACAAATAGTTGACTGGAGAAATTCCTTCTTTGTAGACAAATACAAGCTTTTAAAAGAAGAAGAATGACAGAATTAAGAAATCATTTTGTTTTGTTTTATTATGTTTCATTTTGCAACATCTAGTGAGATAATGGATCTTGGTAACAATCATCAGTGGATGCTAAAACCATTAGGAGAAAGGCTATGGGGATTACGCAATGGATGAATTGGACTGATAACACAGGAACTCACTCATCAATCTTAATGACCATCATTAACAGGGGACGACGAGATATCACAGCACAACGCAGAGGAAATACACAGCACTCCCTCTGAAGCATCATGCCCAAGGAATTCAAGCTGAATTTAAGCAAGCCTCTGGATCTGACTTTCAGTTTAATAGGAAATATGGCGGATACAGAAACAAGTTAGATGATACCAAGTCAACAGTGTAGGACATTCTACAAGTCAATTGATCTAATTTCTCCAATACCTTAATGAAATGATATGAAAACTAGGTGAGGGAAGGTGGCAATTGTAGAAATAAGATATTTTTGTGGTAGAATCTCTGAAAGTCAGAAGTGGACTTTGTTTGGATCCTGAAACAAACACAACAATTAAAAGCTATTTTTGATACAGTGTAGGAAACTTAGAATATAGAACAGATATTAAATGATGACAGGGAATAATTATTAATTTATTTATTTGTAATAATGGATAAATAGTAAGATAAACAAGAAAAAATGTTTATTGGTTATAGACACATATAGGAGTCTAAAGTATTTAGAATAAAGTGATACGATAGCTTGGATTTCTCTAGAAATATTCCAGTAAAAAAAAAAAAGAAAAACGGAACATAATTGGGAAGTTATGGTAATTTTTTTATGCTGAATAGAGGGACTCATGTGTTCATTATACTTTTTTTTTCTTTCAGAGATGGGGTCTTGCTCTGTCACCAAGGCTGGAGTCCAGTGGCATGATCATAGCTCTTGGGCTCAAGCAATTATCCCACCTCAGCCTCTCAAGTAGCCAGGAATACAGGTGTGCACACCATGCTTGGCTCATTTGTTTGTTTGTTTTGTTTTGTTTTTTATTATGAAATTCCTTAAAGAACAAATTTCTATTTGGTTTTCATTACATAATGTGACACATCTTGGGTTTATAATGTATAGGAACAGAAAGACCAGTAGTTTGTCTGCAATGGAAAAATTTTATGATCTAAACTCTGGTGAAACATAATTTATGGACCAAATATCAGAAGGCTTCACATTTCATATGTATTCAAAATTTCATTTACATATTTCAGTTAAATTCTCAAGTTTTCAGAGGAGTCAACAAAAGTTGTTTTTATCTTTCAGCCTAGTAGGCTGGAAAATGTAGCATCTCTTCAGATGTTGGAAACACTCTTCTCAGTGTTCAGGAATGCCACCGCTGCTCCTTTTAGCACAATCCCCATATCCCTGGGCTTTTCTGATCCACTTGAATTAGTTCCTGGTGCACAAGGATTGCTATCTGTGCCATGCTATGGTTCCTATTCCATAATAGAGATTACCAGTGGGTAAACGTGTGAGGTAAAGATCATAGGCCAGAACAGGAGAAGACAGTCAGATCTCCCCAACTTGGCTCCCTCTATGCCCTCTTCTCATATGCAGTTGGGTTGATGTCTGCTTCACAAGAGAGAAAGAGACTTTCATGCCTCTGTCTGGAAAAGACTAATTCAGCCCAACCTTCCTCTCCTGAGCCAACCAGATAGGTATGCTCTGTAATCAATGTATGCAAAGTTTCAAAGGGAAAGCATAAGTTGATGCATGACAGATGTGATCACTTTCCTTCTTGCGTGTGTTCTGAATGTTTTATTTTATTTTGGTAGTTTGTTCCCTACTTTTTTTCCCTACTTTTATTTTAAGTTCAGGCAGTCCATGTGCAGGTTTGTTACATGGGTAAATTCTGTGTGGCTCAGGTTTGGTATATGAATTGGCTGGGATTTGTCTTCTGATTTGTGAAACCAAAAAATTGAATCCAATAAACTGAATGCTGAAGCCATGGGGAGAATCCTACCTGAGAAAGAACCAGAGAATACATATCCAAATTCTGTCTACCCACATTTTTTAGTGATCTCTGAATCAGGCATTTATAGAACAGACTAAAGGCATCTCAATTAAAGACCATAACATTCTAATATAGAGGTTGCAAACTGACAACTCATGGGTAATTCCTGCACACAGACATATTTAAAGTCAATCTGAACAGATAATGGAGATGCTGCCCAAAAAGTAACTTTTGAAGTTCAAGCCCAGCCCCACCTCCCACCGAAAAAAATCACCTGCTAAAACAAAAGAAACAACGTTCATCAGAGAAAAATAAGAGAATCCCAAATCTTCATAATTTAACATTCATTGTATCCAGGATATAGCAGAAAATTGCTAGGCATATAAAGAACTAAGAAAATAGAATGTTCTTCCATTTGTTTGTATCCTCTTTTATTTCATTGAGGAGTGGTTTGCACTTCTCCTTGAAGAGGTCCTTCACGTCCCTTGTAAGTTGGATTCCTAAGTATTTTATTCCCTTTGAAGCAATTGTGAATGGTAGTTCACTCATGATTTGGCTCTCTGTTTCTCTGTTATTGGTGTATAAGAATGCTTGTGATTTTTGCACATTGATTTTGTATCCTGAGACTTTGCTGAAGTTGCTTATCAGCTTAAGGAGATTTTGGGCTGAGACAATGGGGTTTTCTAGATATACAATCATGTCGTCTGCAAACAGGGACAATTTGACTTCCTCTTTTCCTAATTGAATACCCTTTATTTCCTTCTCCTGCCTAATTGCCCTGGCCAGAACTTCCAACACTATATTGAATAGGAGTGGTGAGAGAGGGCATCCCTGTCTTGTGCCAGTTTTCAAAGGGAATGCTTCCAGTTTTTGCCCATTCAGTATGATATTGTCTGTGGGTTTGTCATAGATAGCTCTTATTATGTTGAGATACGTCCCATCAATACCTAATTTATTGAGAGTGTTTAGCATGAAGTGTTGTTGAATTTTGTCAAAGGCCTTTTCTGCATCTATTGAGATAATCATGTGGTTTTTGTCTTTGGTTCTGTTTACATGCTGGATTACATTTATTGATTTGCGTATATTGAACCAGCCTTGCATCCCAGGGATGAAGCCCACTTGATCATGGTGGATAAGCTTTTTGATGTGCTGCTGGATACGGTTTGCCAGTATTTTATTGAGGATTTTTGCATCAGTGTTCATCAAGGATATTGGTCTAAAATTCTCTTTTTTGGTTGTGTCTCTGCCTGGCTTTGTTGGCCATACTGCCCAAGGTAATTTACAGATTCAATGCCATCCCCATCAAGCTACCAATGACTTTCTTCAAGAATTGGAAAAAACTACTTTAAAGTTCATAGGGAACCAACAAAGAGCCCGCATCACCAAGTCAATCCTAAGCCAAAAGAACAAAGCTGGAGGCATCACACTACCTGACTTCAAACTATACTACAAGGCTACAGTAACCAAAACAGCATGGTACTGGTACCAAAAGAGAGATATAGATCAATGGAACAGAACAGAGCCCTCAGAAATGACACCGCATATCTACAACTATCTGATCTTTGACAAACCTGAGAAAAACAAGCAATGGGGAAAGGATTCCCTATTTAATAAATGGTGCTGGGAAAACGGGCTAGCCATATGTAGAAAGCTGAAACTGGATCCCTTCCTTACACCTTATACAAAAATTAATTCAAGATGGATTAAAGACTTAAATGTTAGACCTAAAACCATAAAAACCCTAGAAGAAAACCTAGGCATTACCATTCAGGACCTAGGCATGGGCAAGGACTTCATGTCTTAAACACCAAAAGCAATGGCAACAAAAGCCAAAATTGACAAATGGGATCTAATTAAACTAAAGAGCTTCTGCACAGCAAAAGAAACTACCATCAGAGTGAACAGGCAACCTACAAAATGGGAGAAAATTTTCGCAACCTACTCATCTGACAAAGGGCTAATATCCAGAATCTACAATGAACTCAAACAAATTTACAAGAAAAAAACAAACAACCCCATCAAAAAGTGGGCAAAGGACATGAACAGACACTTCTCAAAAGAAGACATTTATGCAGCCAAAAAACACATGAAAAAATGCTCACCATCACTGGCCATCAGAGAAATGCAAATCAAAACCACAATGAGATACCATCTCACACCAGTTAGAATGGCAATCATTAAAAAGTCAGGAAACAACAGAAGCTGGAGAGGATGTGGAGAAATAGGAACACTTTTACACTGTTGGTGGGACTGTAAACTAGTTCAAACATTGTGGAAGTCAGTGTGGCAATTCCTCAGGGATCTAGAACTAGAAATACCATTTGACCCAGCCATCCCATTACTGGGTATATACCCAAAGGACTATAAATCATGCTGCTATAAAGACACACGTACACGTATGTTTATTGCAGCACTATTCACAATAGCAAAGACTTGGAACCAATCCAAATGTCCAACAATGATAGACTGGATTAAGAAAATGTGGCACATATACACCATGGAATACTATGCAGCCATAAAAAATGATGAGTTCGTTTCCTTTGTAGGGACATGGATGAAGTTGGAAATCATCATTCTCAGTAAACTATCACAAGGACAAAAAACCAAACACCACATGTTCTCACTCATAGGTGGGAATTGAACAAGGAGAACGCATGGACACAGGAAGGGGACATCATACTACGGGGACTGTTGTGGGGTGGGGGGAGGGGGGAGGGATAGCATTAGGAGATATACCTAATGCTAAATGACGAGTTAATGGGTGCAGCACACCAGCATGGCACATGTATACATATGTAACTAACCTGCACATTGTGCACATGTACCCTAAAACTTAAAGTATAATAAAAAAAAAAGAACTAAGAAAATAGAACATAGCCTAAAGAGAAAAAATAATCAGTTGAGCCTGACCCCAAGATAAAGCAGTTGTTGGAATTATTAAACAAATATTTTAAAGTGGCTATAATGACCACCCTCAATGAAATAAACAAAATATGGTTTTAATAAGTAAAAGTCTCAGCAAAAATATAAGAAATCTCAATAGAGAAGGAGAAACAATAAAATCAAACTAAATGGAAATTCTAAAATTAAAAGATATACTTTCTGAAATTAAAAGTTCACAAGAGACTAAGCCAAATGAAACGACAGAGGAACAAGTAAATATACTTGAAGACAGATCAATTAAAATAACCTTACGTGAGCCCAGGCATGGTGGCTCATGCCTGTATTCCCAGCACTTTGGGAGGCCGAGGCGAGCAGATCACCTGAGGTCAGGAGTTTGAGACCAACCTGACCAACAAGGAGAAACCCCGTCTCTACTGAAAATACAAAATTAGCGTGGTAGCGTGTGCCTAAAATTCCAGCTACTCGGGAGGCTGAGGCAGAAGAATCGCTTGAACCTGGGAGGCAGAGGTTGCAGCGAGCCAAGATTGCACCATTGCACTCCAGTCTGGGCAACAAGAGCGAAACTCCCTTTCAAAAAAGAAGCCTTATGTGACATGCAGAGAGAAAAACAATAGACTGAGACTCAGATAACTCTTAGGTGTTATCAAATGATTTGACATATGTGTAGATGGAATATCTAAAGATGATGAGAAAGAATGGGGCAGAAAAAATTTTCAGAGATAGTAGCTCAAAATTTTCCAAATTTGATGAAAAACAGAAATTGGAAGATTTGAGATACTCAATGAATACCATGCAGAGTAAACAAAAAAGAAGTTCATGCCAAGGAGTATCACAGTCAAACTATTGAAAGTCAAAGATGTTTCTAGGAATACTATGTAGCCATTAAAAAAAGAATGAGATCATGTTCTTTGCAGCAATATGAATGAGGTGGAGTCCATCATCTTAAGAGAACTAACACAGGAACAAAAAACAAATACCGTGTGTTCTCACGTATAAGTGGGAGCTAAACAATGAGAACACATGGACACAAAGACGGGGAACAACAGACACTGGGGCCTACTTGATGGTGAAGGTGGGAAAAGGGTGAGAATCGAAAATCTACCTATCAAGTACTATGCTTATTACCTGGGTGGCAAAGTAATCTGTACACCAAGCCTTTACAACACCCAATTTACCCACATGATAATCCTGCATATGTACCCCCTGCACCTAAAATATGAGTTGGAAAGAAAAAAAGAAATTCAAAGATGAAGAGCAAATCTTAAAAGCAGGAAGAGCAAGATGTAATGGGAAGAAACAGGGGCAGGGGCTGCTGGGGATGGGAGACAGTGGGGGTGGGGGACAGAGACAATGGGGGACAGATCTACTTAACACCCAATTTCATCAGAAACAAGGGAGGCCACAAGATAATGAAGCAGAAATATTTAAATGTTAAAATAAAACTATAAACCTATAGTTCTATATTCAGCAAAACAACTCTTTAAAAATGAAAGGAAAATAAAGACATTTTCAGGTAAAAGGAAACAAAGATAATGCCAGGTCTGCATTACAAGAAATGCTAAAGGTAGTTCTTCAGGTTAAAGGGAAATAATTCCAGATGGAAATTTAGATCATTAGAAAAGAATAAACTGCATCAGAACAGTAACTATCTGGCTAAATACAAGGACTATTTTTTTTAAAAAATTTGCTCTTTTCTTCTTAATTGCTTTATAAACCACATAACTGTTCAGTGCAAAATAACGTCTTGTATTGTAATGTATATAGATATAATACACATGACAACGATAGCAGAGAATACATTATTAATTATAAACAGACTATAGAATTAGGGATTAATAACATAAGCTCTAGGGAAATAATTAAGAAATAAAATGCAGGCAGGTCACAGTGGCTCACACCAGTAATCCCAACACTTCTGGGAGGCCAAGGTGAGAACTTAAGGGACTGCAAAACCAGCATGGGCAACAAAGTGAGAACCCCATCTCTACAAAAAAAAAAAAAAATTAGCAGTGTGTGGTAGCATGCACCTGTAGTCCCAGCTACTTGGGAGCTGAGGTGGGAGGATCATGTGAACCCAGGAGGTAGAGGCTGCAGTGAGCTATTATTTCACCACTGCATTCCAGCCTGACCTGGGTAACAGAGTGAGACCTCATCTCTATAAATAAATAGATAAACAAACAAACAAACAAAAGAAAATAAAAATAAATAAAATGCAAAGAATTTTAAGTAAACATTTATCAGGAAATAATAATGTAATTCTAATAAAATCAAATAAGTCAATAAAAGGCAAGAAAGGAAGAAAAGAGGAACAAAAAGCAGAGGATGCAAACTAAAAACACACAAAAAATTGATGGACTCAAACATATGTCAATAATTTTACCTTAAAAATTACTTACCTAAATATTCCAAATAAATTGTCAAAACGGGTAAAAAGAAAACAAGACTCAACTGTATACCGTCTAAAAGAGATGCACTTTAAAAAAAGGTATAGGTTGAAAGTAAATGGATATAAAAATATACTTTACAAATAATAAGCATAAGAAGATGAGAATGGTCATATTGATCAGATGAAAGAGATTTCAAGATGAAATATATTACAAGAGATAAAGAAGAACATTTCATAATGATAAAAATTCGTCAGGAAGATGTAACAATCATAAATGTGTGTCCCACGAGAGAGCTTCAAAATACATGAGGCAGTAGTTGACAAAAATTAATGGCAAAATAGATAATTCCACAAGCATAGTTGGAGAATTTAATAGTCTGTATTAGTTATCTATTCTATGTAACAAATTACCTCACAATAATTGACTTAAAACCACAAACATTTATTTCAGTTTCTAGGCCCAACTTAACCAGATCCTCTGGCTCTGGGTCTCTCATAAGGCTGCACTCAAGGTATTGCTTGGGGCTACAGTTGTCATAATGTTTCACTGGAAGAAGATCCAGTTCTAAGCTCACTCATGTGGCTGTTGACAGGCATTAGAAGTTCCAGGTCAAAGTTCACTCATGTGGCTATTGGTAGGCCTTAGGTCTCTTCGATGGCTGTAGGTCACTAAAAACATTGGTTTCTTCCTACATGTGCCTCTCTAAAGGCTATTCATAATATGTTAGCTTGCTTTCTCAAGTGCAAGGGGAGGGAGAGAGAAAGAGAGAAGTACTTAATGAGCACTTCTTCATATGCTGCTCTGTGAATGAATTATTTCCTTTGAATGTATTTTGACTTTCCAAATTTTTGTCTTTCCATATTGTAAATTCCTCAATAGAAGAAACCATGGCATTTTCTTTATTACATCCATTTCCCTGTTCCACCCTCCAGTGTTAACTTCATGGTTCTACAATGTCACAAAATTTATAGCAGTTAACATGTTTAGTGTTACTCATGGCCTCAGGAAGGGCATACTGGCATGTGCAAAGCCATCCAAATAGAACACCAATGGGGAATTTTTAAAAAATGTAAACTACACATAGCTAACCATTGTATAGCCAGTTCATGAAGTTTAGAATTTGTACAGTGATAGCTTAACCATCTTAGGATATATTTCTAAGAATAATATAGGAAGTGGTATTTGAATTAACAGCTCCAGGATTTTTGACTTCTTGTCTTTGTACATTTGTGTTATGGAGGAGAACTAAGGGCACCTAGCAATTTAAAAAAAGGTGGTAAATTCTTATCCAGCTCTACTCATTGGAAGTTGCGGAATGGCAATACAAAGGTACTTGAATCTTGGTTGCTAAGGAAAAATAGAAATACAATTTCTGGAGCTAACCCCTCCATTCTATTAATGGGTTCTCTTTAACAGAATTTCTATTTTTTTAATTTCGAACTTTTACTTTAAGTTCAGGGGTACCTGTGCAGGATGGGCAGGTTTGTTACATAGGTAAATATGTGCCGTGGTGGTTTGCTGTACAGATCATCCCATCACCTAGGTATTAAACCCAGTATCCATTAGCTATTCTTCTTGATGCTCTCCTTCTTCCCAGCCCAACCCTCCAACAGGCCTCAGTGTGTGTTGTTCCCCACCATGTGTCCATGTGTTCTCAACATTCAGCTCTCACTTATAAGTGAGAACATGTGGTATTTGGTTTTCTGTTTCTTCATTAGTTTGCTGAGGATAATGGCTTCCAGCTCTATCCATGTCCCTAGAAAGGACATGATCTTATTCTTTTTTATGGCTACATAGTATTCCATGGTGTATACGTACCACATTTTCTTTATCCAGTCTATCATTGATGGGCATTTAGGTTGATTCCATGTCTTTGCTATTAGAAATAGACCTGCAATGAACACACGTGTCCATGTATCTTTATAATAGAATAATTCATATTCCTTTGAGTATATACCCAGTAAAGGGATTGCTGGATCAAATGGTATTTCTGCCTCTACGTCTTTGAGGAATTGCCACACTGTCTTTGACAATGGTTGAACTAATTTACACTCCCACCAACAGTGTAAAAGCATTCCTTTTTCTCCACAACCTTGCCAGCATCTTTTGTTTCTTTACTTTTTAATAATCGCCATTCTGACTGGTGTGAGATGGTATCTCATTATGGTTTTGATGTGCATTTCTCTAATGATCAATGATGTTGAGATTTTTTTCACATGTTTGTTGGCTACATGTATATCTTCTTTTGAGAAGTGTCTGTTCATGTCCTTTGCCCACTTTTTAATGGAGTTGTTTGGTTTTTTTCTTGTAAATTTAAGTTCCTTGTAGATCCTGGATATTAGCCCTTTGTCAGATGGATAGATTGCAAAAATTTTCTCCCATTCTCTATGTTGTCTGTTCACTCTGATGATAGTTTCTTTTGCTGTGCTCTTTAGTTTAATTAGATCCCATTTGTTAATGTTTGCTTTTCTTGCAATTGCTTTTGGCATCTTCATTATGAAATATTTGCCCATGTCTATGTCCTGAATGGCATTGCCTAGATTTTCTTCTGGGTTTTTTATAGTTTGGGGTTTTGCATTTGTTTGAAATGCTTGTTCCCCAGTGCCGTAAAGAAATAGCACTTGAACATAAATTTAATTTCCTCAGCAAGGCCATTTTTATACTTTCTGCAGAAAGGGTACACTCACCAACTGTTTTGCCACAAGAGTACACCAAACAAAGGAGACAAGGTCATTTATAACCTGACACGTCCATCCTACTGCTGTGTCCAGTTTCCATTGGCTTGAACAGGACCTCACATTCTGTATTTGTCCCGATTGGCTAGCAACTTAGAATGTTTTAAAAGAGGCATAGGCAGAGGAGAACAAAGGAAGGAGAAAGTAACTTGTGGAATGCTGAGAAAGGTAAAAACACCTTCAAATAAGGAAGAGGAACAAGCTATGACCTAATGCTTGCTTGGACCAGTATAAGCATTCCAGGGCAAATATTTAGGCTAAATTGTGGGGGCAAAGAACATAAAGTATGTTGATTTCTTTATTACGGCTAGCAGATATTTAAGAATGTTAGCACAGGTCGCTGGGCACGGTGGCTCAGGCCTGTAATCCCAGCACTTTGGGAGGCTGAGGCGGGTGGATCATGAGGTCAGGAGATTGAGACCATCCTGGCTGACACAGTGAAACCCTGTCTCTACTAAAAATACAAAAAAAATTAGCTGAGTGTGGTGGGGGGCGCCTGTAGTCCCAGCTACTTGGGAGGCTGAGGCAGGAGAATGGTGTGAACCCAGGAGGTGGAGCTTGCAGTGAGCAGAGATCATGCCACTGCACTCCAACCTGGGTGACAGAGCAAGACTCCGTCTCAAAAAAAAAAAAAATGTTAGCACTGGTCTTTGAATAAATTTTGCTTCTAAGAGAAGTTACTATTTATTCCTAGACGGGGAGGAAAGTCTTTGAAGAGGAACTTCTACTTTACTTTTTTTTTTTACACATTTAAGTCTTTAATCCATCTTGAGTTAATTTTTGTATACAGTGTAAGGAAGGGGTCCAGTTTCAGTTTTCTGCATATAGCTAGCCGGTTCTCCCAGCACCATTTATTACACAAGGAATCCTTTCCCCATTGCTTGTTTTATCATGTTTGTCGAAGGTCAGATGGTTGTAGGTGTGCAGTCTTATTTCTGGGTTCTGTATTCTGTTCCATTGGTCTATGTGTCTGTTCTTGTACCAGGACCATTGCTATTTTGGTTACTGTGGCCATATAGTATATAGTTTGAAGTTAGGTAGCATAATGCCTCCAGCTTTGTTCTTTTGCTTAGGACTGTCTTGGCTATTCAGGCTTGTTTTTCTTGTTCAATACGAATTTTAAAATAGTTTTTTTTTTTTCCTGGTTATGTGAAGAATGTCAATGGTAGTTTAAAGGGAATAGCATTGAATCTATAAGTTGCTTTGGGCAGTATGGCCATTTTCATGATATTGATTCTTTGCATCCATGAGCATGGAATGTTTTTTCTATTTGTTTGTGTCATCTCTGATTTGATTGAACAGCGGTTTATAGTTCTCCTTGAAGAGGTCCTCCTTCACTTCCCTTGTTAGCTGTATTCCTAGGCACTTTATTCTTTTTGTGGCAATTGTGAAAGGGAGATCATTCTGATTTGGCTCTAGCTTGCCTGTTGTTGGTGTATAGGAATGCTAGCAATTTCTGCACAATGATTTTGTATCCTGAGACTGCTGAAGTTGCTTATCAGCTTAAAAAGCTTTTGGGCCGAGATGATGGGGTTTTGTGGATATAGGATCATGTCATCTGCAAACAAAGATAGTCTGACGTCTTCTCTTCCTATTTGAGTACCTTTATTTCTTTCTCTTGCCTGATTTCCCTGGCCAGAACTTCCAATACTATGTTGAATAGGACAGACTTTCTTAACCTGGGACTATTGATAACTAGGTCTGGATGATTTTTTGATGTTGGGGGGTGGAGGAGACATGGGCTGACTTGTGCATTGAGGTTTAATAGCATCCATGGCCTCTGCCCACTAGATGCCAGTAGCTCTCCGCCCTCCCCCACCCCAGCCCCCACCATTTGTGAGAATGAAAAATGCTTCTAGACAGTGCCAAATGTCCACTGGGGGGCAAAATCACCTCTTTTTAAGAACCACTTCCGTGGACAATATTTTTCCAACTGAAGGTCACACCGGTTACTGGGGTATCGGGTACTGCAATAAGTTCAGTGGGTAACAGCATTTTTAAATGAAATTGAATTCAATAGAAAGTATCAGAGCACTTAGATTGTAATTAGAGTAAGCGCGTTTCTTGAAATGTAGACATAATACATCATGTGTGTATTGTGTTGCTATTTAAAATCCATTTCTTACTGTGTAATGCTGCCAAAAAAAAATGTCTGAAAGCAACTGTTCCTAGAGCCCAGCTGAGAGCATTCAACCAGAATGGCTGCTTTAAGGTCATAAACTTTCTCGTAGCTAATCTAACAGTCCGTGATTGCCAGTATTAACCTTCCTCTAAGGTGGACCAGGCACCACTGTTTCCTCCGTTAATAGGCTCATGCCTTCCTCTCTTGATGCCTTTTCTCCTACAGCTCTCCCTGAACTCTCATACCTTTCAATATTACCTATCTTTCAGGGTGTCCCAAAGTCCTTTATAACGTATTATCTGCCATTCCAGTGCAAAATGGTCTCTCCCTTCTCTGAACACCTTTTGTGCTTTTTGTCTATACTGTAGAAGCTGTCTTTAAAAATGTGATTAGAAACCATACTTGAGAATTTACTTTTAAAAATTAGTAAAAGAATTATTGGCTGTATGTGAGAGTTCACAAGAGAGGTTAAGAATATTGTACACAAAGATTTTTGATGTTCCTGAGAAAATGCCTAAAAATGCCACATATAGAAGACCAATATTTGATGACTTCAGGGTGGCCAAATAAAAGAGGTGATTTTTTCAGTCTGAAGATGAACTAAGCCTGGTGAGAAAAATTATGCAAAGGTAACTATGGGCACTGTTAATGGAAGAGCCTCCTGACAATTACTGGAAATAGACAAAATCATCGTCATTAAATGACCGTGGTGGGTTGATGGGAAACTGATGTAATTAAATGTTCTGTTATATTAAAAATATTTTGGGCCTGGCACAGTGGCTCATACCTGTAATCCCAGCACTTTGGGAGGCTAAGGCGGGCGGATCACCTGAGGTCAGGAGTTTGAGACCAGTCTGGCCAACATGGGGAAACACTGTCTCTACTGAAAATACAAAAAAATTAGCCGGGCATGGTGGCACATGCCTGTAATCCCAGCTACTCAGGAGGCTGAGGCAGGAGAATCGCTTGAACTGGGAGGCAGAGGTTGCAGTGAGCTGAGATCGTGCCACTGCACTCCAGCCTGGACGACAAGAGTGAAATTGGAAACAAATACAACTGACTCTTGGTAAATACAGAACTTCTAGAGCAGGGCTATGTAGGTGTCACAGAGTATTCTAGCTGTCAGCATTCAGTGTGCCATAGGCATCAATCATTTTGTGGGGGAAATGAATGGCAGGAGAAGGACAAGCATTTGTAGCAATCAATATCCTTTTCTTTACTGGCCTCTTACTATCCCACAATTGCCCCAAAGTAGAAGTATGGCTACAGAGGAAGCAGGGTAAGTGGTTACTTTTGCTTGAGCTTTGTCCTCCAAAGTAGCACCTTATCAACACTTTTAAAGGTGGTCTAAATATCACTTAGACCAGTGATTCTCAAGCCATCTGTTATGAAATAACTTTTTTAAAATTTTGGAACCAATTGCAGACTGATACTTTGTAAAGTGTAATAAAAGTATAAAATAAAAGTAATAAAGTGTAATAAAGTAATAAGATTGATTACTAGAAAAATGAAAAAAGACATAAAATACAGGCTCCAGTTTTTTTGTTTTTGTTTATTTTAGCTCTATTAAGGTATAACTGACAAATAAGAATTGTATATATTTAAGATATATAACTTCATTTTTTGATACATGTATACATTGTGAAATGATCACCACCATCAAGCTAATTAACATATCCATCAACTAACTCACACAGTTACCATTTGGGTTTTGCTTTTGTTTTTTGGTAAGAACACAGGATCTACTCTCTTAGCAAATTGCAAGTATACAATATGGTATTGTTAACTGTAGCTACTACGTCATATATTAGATCTTCCACATGTACTTGTCTTAGATAACTGAAAGTAGGAAATGAAATCAGTATCTCAAAGAGATTTGTGTTCCCACATTCATTGCAGCATTATTTATAATAGGCAAGATACGGAAATATCTTAAATTTCCATTGACAGATGAATGGAAAAGGAAAATGTTATATATGTATATACGCCATTATCTTCTAAGACTACTCAAAACTTAGAATAGTCCATTACATATATAATGGAATGTAATTCAACCTTAAAAAAGAAGGAAATCCTGCCATTTGCCACAGCATGGATGAAAATGAAGGACATTATACCAAGTGAAATAAGTCAGACACAGAAAGACAAATACTGTATGATCTCACTTAAATATGGAATCTAAAATAGAACCCACAGAAGCACAGAGAAGAATGGTGGTTGCCAGGAGTTAAGGGGTGGGGGAAATGGGAAGACGTTGGTCAAGTTCCAGGTTTTATTATTGTATTCAACATACATAAAATTACTCTGTTAAATTGCTATAAAAGTTTCTAAATGTTTACAGTAAGTTTCTGTACTTAGACCAGGAACAGTTTGGAGACCTTACTGTGAGTAGTCCTATAATATAATGGCAAGAACTTAGAGGAAGTAATGTAAATTATGCAGTTTAAAAATTAGTAATAAGACCCTGAGAAGAGTGTAAAATTGTTACGGTAGGTCGCTAGTCAGCCATGAGCAGGGTAGGAGAGGGCTCCCCACCACACCCCACCAGGAAAGTCAGGAGATCATCAGGTGATGATCAGGCAGTTGTCACACTGCCTCTCTAAAATAATCATTGGTTGCAGCCAGCACCAGGAAAAGGTAGTATCTCTGTAGATAGAAAACACCTGAAGTTGGTGATCGATAGCTTCTCAATAAGACCTCAGGAATTAGGTGAGTGGGCTTGAGCATGGGGCACTCCACCAGAAAAGGGAAAAACGCCTCAGGTGAGCATGCATATGACTCCAGTAAACCCACTGTGCATGCTCATCTCCCAAGTGCTAGAAAGCCACCGCACATGCAGGCAGGTCACCGTAAGGAAAGAATCAAGGAAAAGGGATGCAGGACCCTGGAAGTATGCCAACACATAAAACTGTAAGTCAAAGGTCAAACACCGCACATGACTTCCAAGATGCCCGCTTGGGTCTCATCCAAGTGTACTTTCCTTTCTTTCCTGCTGTAAAGCTTTTTTTTCCTTTTTTGAATATGTTTCATGACTTATATATATATTTTTATTATGCTTTAAGTTCTAGGGTACATGTGCAAAACGTGCAGGTTTGTTACATATGTATACATGTGCCATGAAAGACCAAAGATAGATAAAACTGCAAAGATGGGGAAAAACAGAACAGAAAAACTGAAAATTCTAAAGCTTTTTAATAAATTTCCACTCCTGCTCTGAAACTTGCCTCAGTCTGTTTTTCTGCCTTACGCCCCTCAGTTGAATTCTTTCTTCTGAGGAGGCAAGAATTGAGGTTGCTACAGACCCATACGGATTCGCCACTGGTAACCTGGATACCTTCCACCACTAACAAAAGGATATTACTGTTACATGTCCTCACCCACCCACCATCTAAAACGCACAGACTCTTGCCCATTCCCACATCCCTGTTGGAACCTGGCAAGTGCTGGCAGACAAGAGAGTGGAGACAGAGAGGTGCCTTGGTTACAGCCCAGAGGCAACATTGATGTTCATGTCAAGCTTCCTTAAAATCCCATTCATCCTCATCTCCATTGCCTACTTCCAAAATACCTACTATATCTAAGGCTAATTGCTGATTAAATAGTTGCTTCTTTAAAATGTGTCACTCTGTATAAAAGAAACCAGGATAATTGACTAAACTAAGCTATGTTAAAAAGCTTTCTTCTTGACATTAACATGTATTTACTCTTTCTGCTAAAATGTAAATATTTTAAGCACCTTTTGACCTCTTTCCTTGAAGTCTGTTTTCTCCCAGATGGCACAAGTTTTCTTCTTTAAAAACACACACAAAGTGAAGCCAATGAACTCCGTATCCAGAAATGAGGAAACATTAACCTAAGGAGCAGTACATGCCCACGCTATTTCTAAATTTGAAGACATATGGTATAGGAGAGAGCCAGATAGACAGTAATTATAACCACACTAAATACTTGCAGTAAACATATTAAATATATAGTAAATGTCAACAGATATAAATAATTTTGATAATTACAATAGTCCACTGTGCTCCAGGGCTTATAAAGATAATTATTAGGATTTTTTCATTATTTGAGTTTTTAAAACAATTATGATATTTGCTGCTAATGTATTTACAGAATCACTTAAGTTAAATTATTCACATTACAGTTACTTCTTTTATTTAAAATTGTGTAAGCTCCAAGAAGGCAAGGAATGTGTTTTTCTGGTTCACCGCTGTATCCCCTGCATCTGTCACAGTTCTTGATATACAGCAAGTACTTAAAAAATAGTTATTGAATGAATAATACCGCATAATTTTCCTGGGATGACTATAATTGTATTTGGAATGTACGTTCTTAAAAGATGGGGTCTGTGGGTTTTAGGGTATGTAGAGTATCTTATGCACCTATCAGCACTCAATATCACTTGTAGGCAGCGGTGTGCTGGTAAATAAGTGTGGTTTAAATCTCCCACCAAGGCTGAATTCAAGTTACCCACTTGATATCACTGAACTTGGAGCTGGGAAGAGATGTGGATATTGGCTCATGAAAGCTAGTATGAGCAGGCTGCAGCACACCACTGCTCAGGTGTCAGTTCCACTTACTCTGCCCTATCAAGTTTTAGATTTTGTGACCTTCAAACTGTAGATTTAATCTCTCCCCCTCCTAAAACAGGAGGGGGAATCCAAGCCTGGCATTTTACCGGGGGCTCTATTTCTACCAGAAGATGGGAGTTTGTAACTACTCTTGTTGCCATAGTCTATTAGTTCTCAAAGTGAAGACCCAAGAACAGCAGCATCAATGTTACTTGGGAACTTTGTAGAAAAAATTTCAGGCAAATTATTAGTCCCCACCCCAGATTTACCAAATGAGGAATCTTTATGCATTTTTTAATTTAGTAATTTTTAAATTCACATATAATAATTGCACATATTTATGGAGTATAGAGTGATATTTCAACACGTGTATGCAATACGTAATGATCAAATCAGAGTAATTAGCAATCCATCACCTGAAACATTTATCATTTCTTTGTATTGTGAACGTTCAAAATCCTCCCTTCTAGCTATTTGAAATAGACAATAAATTATTGTAATTTTGTATACATTAACCAACTTCTCCCTATCCTCTTTTCCCCTTTACCCTTCCCAGCCTCTAATAACCAGAATTCTATTCTACTCTTTACTTCTATGAGCTCAAATTTTTTAGCTCCCAGATATGAGTGAGAGCATGCACTATTTATATCTTTCTGTTCCTGACTTATTTCATTTAACATAATATCCTCCAAACTCTTCCACGTTGCCACAAATGACAGAATTTCATTCTTTTTCATGGCTGAATAGTATTCCACTGTGTATACATACCGCATTTTCTTTATAGAAGGAATCTTTGTTTTAACAAGTTCTTCAGGTGATTTTGATGTGTGCTTAAGCTTGAGCACTCTTACCCTAAAACCGGAGTTCAGTAGGCCTGAAGCAAGATTCATAGGTACCTGCATTTTCATTTTATCAGCTGCATTCTTTTTCTCTTAAATCCACATGTAATTTCAGTTTGACTTGGTGTCTGCCTCTTTTTCTGAATCTTATTCCACTTTTCTGAAGAAACTAGCATCCTGGCCTACAACCACAAATAGAACACTTGAGAATTAGATACAGATTCTAGCAGAGTTGGAACCAGTTACCCATACCCAGGAGAGCAATGTTAGTCATCCTAGCTCAGTTGTAACTCTTTCTCCAGTAGCCCTCCAGTAAGCTTTCTGCCTAAGCCCCACATATTTTGGTTTCAGGCTCAAAGATATGGAAAATTTAAATGATAAGCATGATAGTATTTTTTTTCCTGTTTTCTACTTTTTCTCACAAACACCATAAAAATGTGGTTTAGGTATGATTTTAGCTTTGAGAAACTCTAAAGCAAAATGTAGGCTTTAAAAGTGTACCCTAAGGCAGCTGTAGAAATAGTAAAATATAAGAAGCCAATCTCCAATTATGACTTTCTTATTTGTCATGTTATTTAAGCACTAAGTCCTAGGCCTTCTTCCTGGGAAAGGCCCTTCCCAGGGGCTCCTTCCTTTATCCTATCCAGGTCTACCACAGGAGTATAGAAAATATGTCACAGAAAGTATGAATATAAAGAACTGAGAAAAAAGAAAACAAGGTTCTTTCTAAATCATCAGAAACCACAAAAATAATGTAAATTAATAAAGGCCTTGAATTTTGAGATGTGAAAGAGATTATATGTAACTTTAAAGTAATGATAAAAATGTAACCCAAAATATTTTCCTACTATCAAAATGTTTTAGTGGATATCTATTACTTATGTTGCTGAAGAATCATTCAACACTTGGTTTGTGACAAAATGTACAATAATTTCTCTTGGGGAACTATCCTTTATTCTACTCTCAGTTTATGTGCTTAGGGTGGAGTTAAGCCTATATCAAACTCCAGGGGAAGAGACTTATGCCACTTGATCCTTGCCATCCAGAACTTTACATCTCCACAGTAATCAGTTCAGAGATGGGCACATGACCCAGTTAGAGCTAGTAAGATTCACTGAGTTGATTGGAAGAAAAGCAAGTAAGCCACCCTGTTGGAAGTTTGTTTGCCTGAGAGGGTCAAGCTGCTCCAACCATCTCACCAATAGAAGGGGAGAGCCTAGAATTACTGGGGGCCACCACAGACTGAAAAGGAGTGGACACAGCAGAAGGTAGAGGTGAAAAATAGAGTGAAGTGGACTTCTAATGACATTGTTTGTGGACTTCTAATGACGTTGACATTGATTTGGTTATACAAGTCAATAAATTCTCCTTTAGACTTCAAGGAGTCTGAGTTTGATTTTCTGTCTGATAGAAATGCATCATCATAAAGTCTGTGAGGAATAGTAAGTTGTGAGCTTACATCTCACTCCATTCACCATAATGTTCTTTTTCTTTTTCAACATAATGTTCTGAAGGAAGAGTCCTAGAAAACTACAAGGGCACTCAGTAAAGTGTGCAGAACCAAATAAGATGTCTCCACAGAACATGCTGAATAAATAAACTGACAGATTTAAGAGCTGAAAGAAATTAGGGGCAAGTGAAAAATGACTCTTCTTCTGAGGAAAATTTTCAGGGGAGGTAAGTGGACATCATGTTTTCCTCTTTCTTGAAGATTTTGGAAAGCAAAGCACTTTGGGAAGGATTCAAACAATTAGGAAGTCCTATTGGTAAATAATAGAGAATATTTTTGTGAATTTTATAAACCTATGTGAGAGGTTTATTTTTGCATTTTGGAGACAAGTTTTGTACCTCCAAATTTCAAAAATAATCACAAAATAGATAAAATGTACATTTCTTGATGAGCTATTTGTTTCATTCTGTCAAAGAATAGATAGCTATCTCAACATAAGGTTTGCGTGTATGTGTGTGTGTGTAAAGAAGAAATTATAAACTCAAACACTACAGAGGTCTGTCAGGTAATGTAAATGAAGGAAGTGGGCTATTTGAGACAAAGGACCACAGGAGACTGTGATGAACTGGAAAGCAAATATGCTATTCAATTCAGATGTCACATGGGAATATAGATCCAGTGTTGCCATATGCGCCCCAGTTTTCAATAAGGCAACAAAATCTATATTTTTACATGAAATACCCAAATTTAATATTATTGGCAACTACTCTTTTGTCGTTGGTAGTGGTAGTGTCGCTGTTGTTGTCTAAACTGTGTGGGGCAAACAAAATATAATCCAGGTTATTAGCTATCAATTTAAATTCCAGTATTAACGCATGCAACAAATATTTATTGACTTCTTACTATTTCCAGACCCTAATCTAATCAACAAGGATTAAAAACAGTGAAAAAAAACCAGACAAAATATTTGCCCTCATGGAGCTTACATTCTAGGAGCATAGAATAGGCAACACAATTTATACTAATGTTTCTCAAGGCCTTGTTCATAAAAGTGGGCAAATATAGAGAGTTTCAATGGAACACATATGGAAATGTACATGCATTTCCACACATATAATTTTTGTTTTCTCCAGTAAATAAATATCACTTCAAGTTATGTCTCAATATTATTATTATATTATTGTGTAAACAAGAATGATGATTATTTTTTCTAATTTTCCACTCCTTTCTAGGGAGGGTGAATACTGAACTTAGGGATGTTTATTTGTTGAGCTCCTGAGTATGTGCATGTAAAATATTGTGAGCTAATATTTTGAGATGTTTCATCTTCACTGCCCCTCTTTCTTTATTCATTACTCTTTCCCAATAACCCGGCAACAGAAATAGCTTTCTATATGTCTACATGCCCTGCCTTTGCTTGCAGGTTGGCCTTATTTTAGAACAAAGAAGTCAACTGAGTTGCTGAATGGATTTTAAAACATAGCAGACACAATAATCTCAGGGTCTATGCATTTCAATTTATAAGAGCCAAGTATGATTGCTGAAGATAATAAGTTTTCTTGGAATTCTAAAATTTCTATATGAAACCAAAGCTGAGAACATAAGTTTGTATCTTCAACCATTAAGTAAGGGACTTTTTGGAGGGTAGGACCCAGAGTACAGGAGACCACTGTCTAGCTTCCCAAGGTGTGCTATCCTGAAAACTAAGTCTCATAGGGATGTACCTTGGCAGATTAGCAGTGGCAGTGGGAGATATTTAGGAAGGCGGACCTCAAGGTAGTCTGAATATGTCATGCATACCTCAACATGGTGCATGGAAAGCAGCTAAGTAAGTGCTCCAGAACCCCCAAGAAGGTGTCAAGACAATGCTAATGGAATCAGTTTTGAAGACAAAAGGGGAAGGAGAAAGTGATAAGTTCAAATCTTACACTGATCACATTTACAAACTAGTGGTGATTGAGTTACATCGAATTGACTGGTTTCAGTTTTTTTGCCAGGTGAAAAAATGTGGCTCATGAGCTAATTTGAGTTATAGTAAAATAAAAGTTTTGAAGTTTCATACCTGACTTTTGGGACAATGCAGCTTATATCTGTTGCAAAAGTTTGGAAGAACTGAAGCTGACTTCAGACGTACTGCTTAAGAAAGGAGTGAGATTTACAGGTCCAAGGCTAAAGATCTCGGATCGAAGGAGGTCCAAGTCAGTAAGAGTAGACACTAAGAAGAAAGACTGAAAGTGAGATGGAAAGAGGGAATATAAGAACACTCCCCCACCCCATGCTTCCCTCCCCACATGCACACACATTGATAGTGCAACCAGGGAAACTTGTAAGGAGACACGTGCCCACTGGGGATTTTTGTCACTAAATGTTATGCAATGTATAATGTGAACCTTCCTGTGTTTCCATAAATGCACAGTAAAATTCAAAACCAAAAACGTAAACAAAGACAAACAACAATGATATGTGTGGTATAATTGGAATTCTGTGAAAGCCAGTGCAAGGGTTGAGTTTTGTGTCAAATGTTTTGGGAGGCCAAAATATATTCAAACTGTACAGATGGGGTGGGTAGTAAATAAACAACCTTTTAAACGTTAGTTATATGTGATGGAGTTCAATATAGAAAACATATTTCAAATGTCTTTGGACCTCTCTGAATCTCAACTACCTAATCTGTAAAATGAAGATTTTTTCTTGCAAAGTTGTTCAAAGGATTAGTGATAATATATTTAAAATACCTAACATAGTGTCTAACACAATAACCCCCTAAGAAATGGTGTCAATTATAATATTATTAATATACTTCATTGCATTTAGTTTTAAAAATTAATGTACATTCAAAATTAGACATTATTGTACCATGCATTTAGCCTATGTGTTACAGCCCAAATGCCACTATCTCCTAGATGCCTTCTCCTATCCTTTTTGGCAGAATAAATCACTTTTTATTCTGTAGACTCATACTATTTTATTTATATGTTTTATCATACTCATTTTATTTCTGGTATTATAAAACATCTCTGTGTGTCCATCTTTTCCATTGTCACTTCTCATCTTTGTTCTTCCAGATCTATTACCTAACCTTTTCTACTCTGATCTCTGGGAGGCTGGCCTTTACAAAATACATCAGTGGGTTCCTTTTCTCTGCTTTCTTGTTGGGTTTGGCCAATGGGGAGCCTTGGAGAGAGAATAAAAGAAGGGAGGACAATAAGGCCAGGTAATTTATTCCTGCAGTTATTTTCTTGCACAGCTGCTGTAAATTGGTTATGCCCTTTTACTGAAGTCACAACACCTATCAGGTGGCCTCCTCCTCCACAAAGCTACCCTCTCTGGGCTCAGATAAGTGTTTCCACCCCTTCCCCTTCTGGCCTAGGGGTGATAACAGTTCTCTTTTGTTGTTATTGATGCACAACTCTCTGTTGGATTCCCCAAACTCTGCCAACAAATTACTCAGGTTGAGTGTGCCCTCAATTCCTGCTGGGACCCTGATAGGGTCAATTAGTGTTCCCTGATATATGGACCTGGAAAGAGAGGCTCTCTAGTTATTGAACAACAAACTGTAGTGTGTATTTCTAGCAGCTATTTTCTCTGACAAATAGAGAGACTGCCTATGGAATGAAGCCTATAGGATGAAGCCTATGAGATGAAGACAATGTTTGAGACTCAGAATGCAGTCAGGCTTAAGCCATCTCCACACCTGGATATCCCAATTACGTGATCCAATAAAATAAATTCCCTTTTTGTTTGAACTAGTTTGAGTTGGGATTGTCACTTGCAGTGAAAATAGTCCTAGCAAATAATGGGCTTAAAATGAAGAAGAAATATACAGTTTGGGAGATCAGTAAAGCTCGCATAAAAAAATGGCAGCTAAGGGGGATTTTGAAGGAAGTATATGATTTTTGCACGGAAAAGAATGCTTTTCAGTCAGAAGAAACAATTTGAACAAAGACATGGAGACATACAAATGATCAGGGAATGGTGAAAGCTCAGTTTTGCTGGACCATAGAGTATAGGTAGGGGAGTAGTAGTTGTAAATAAAGCTGGAAAGGTGAGATTAAGCTTTGACTTAATTAAAACAGTTGAGATGATGTAGGGACATAGATTTCTTGGATATGGCAGTGGCTATTCTCTACTTGAAACAACATGATTGGAATGTCTGCTTCAGATGGATTATAATGGTTTTATTTTTCTACAAGTTATCTGTTGCTGAATAAGAAATCATTCTAAAACTTAGTGTCTTAAAATAATAAACATTTATTATCTCAGTTTATGTGGGTCAGAAATTTAGGAGCAACTCAGCTGAATGGTTCTGTCTTACGGTCTCTCATGAAGTTACAGCCAAGATGTCGGCTAAAGCTGCAATCATCTGAAGGCTTAACTGTGGCTGGACGATCTGCTTCCAAGATGGCTCACATGTCTGGCTGTTGGCAGAAAGCCTTGGTTCTTTGCTGCATGTAGATAGAAGGTCTTGCCACACAAACCTCTCTGAAGAGTTACTTCAGTGTCCTCATGAACTGGCAGCTGGCTTTTTCCAGAGCAAATGGTCCCAGAATGAGCAAGGTGGAAACTGCAATGTCTTAAGTTACATGCCCTCTGAAGGCTCACTCCATCATTTCCATAAAATCCTATTTGTACACAGGTCAGCTGGTTTGATATGGGAAGGGACTATGTAAAGGCATTAATGCCAGGATGTGTGGACCATGGACACTGGCTGTCACAGTTTCTATTTTTCTATCTTAATGAGAATTTCTAATTCATATACTGCTGTAGGGAAATTAAGACTACAACTGAGGTTTTACTATTAATGTGTTTTGTGTTTTCACGTGTTTTGATACTCCTATAATATTTCTCACATTGACATTTTCTTTTCCTCTCTGCAAAGCCAAGGGAGCCCATGATTCCTCCTTAGTTGACTCCTTATGATAGCATAATTTTTAATTTCATGATGCAATATTAATATAATACTAATGTGTCACTTAGAACTCTACATTTAATAATAAAAATTATAGAAACCAATATTTCAGTGGTAGAGTTTCCTAACAGTGAAGAAATGGGCAAAACAGAATAAAATATACTTCTCCAGAGGTCTTCAAAATAAGATAGATTTTTCTAACTGCCTGGAATAATTTGGCTATGAAATGGACTGAAGGCAAGGTATAGACAGATCACTTCTTAAGATCTGTCCTCGAGGAGGTTCCAAGATGGCCAAATAGGAAGAGCTCCAGTCTACAGCTCCCAGCATGAGCGATGCAGAAGATGGGTGATTTCTGCATTTCCAACTGAGGTACAGGGTTCATTTCAATGGGGATTGTCGGACAGTGGGTGCAGCCCTTGGAGCGTGAGCCAAAGCAGGGCAGGGCATCACCTCACCTGGGAAGCGCAAGGGGTCAGGGAATTCCCTTTCCTAGCCAAGGGAAGCCGTGACAGACGGTACCTGGAAAATCGGGACACTCCCACCCTAATACTGTGCTTTTACAACTGTCTTAGCAAACGGCACACGAGGAGATTATATCCTGCCCCTTGCTTGGAGGGTCCCACACCCATGGAACCTGGCTCACTGCTAGCACAGCAGTCTGAGATTGAACAGCAAGGTGGCAGCGAGGCTGGGGGAGGGGCATCCACCATTGCTGAGGCTTGAGTAGGTAAACAAAGCAGGCTGGAAGCTCAAACTGGGTGGAGCCAACCGCAGCTCAAGAAGGCCTGCCTGCCTCTGTAGACTCCACTTCTGGGGGCAGGGCATAGCTGAGCAAATGCTCATCGTCACTGGTCATCAGAGAAATGCAAATCAAAACCACAATGAGATACCACCTCACGCCAGTTAGAATGGCAATCATTAAAAAGTCAGGAAACAACAGAAGCTGGAGAGGATGTGGAGAAATAGGAACACCTTTACACTGTTGGTGGGACTGTAAACTAGTTCAGTCATTGTGGAAGACAGTGTGGCGATCCCTCAAGGATCTAGAACTAGAAATACCATTTGACCCAGCCATCCCATTACTGGGTGTATACCCAAAGGATTATAAATCATGCTGCTATAAAGACACATGCACACGTATGTTTATTGTGGCACTATTCCCAATAGCAAAGACTTAGAGCCAACCCAAATGTCCATCAATGATAGACTGGATTAAGAAAATGTGGCACATATACACCATGGAATACTATGCAGCCATAAAAAAGGGTGAGTTCATGTCCTTTGTCGGGACATGGATGAAGCTGGAAACCATCATTCTCAGCAAACTATTGCAAGGACAGAAAACCAAACACCGCATGTTCTCACTCATAGGTGGGAATTGAACAATGAGAACACTTGGACACAGAATGGGGAACATCACACACCAGGGCCTGTCGTGGGTGGGGGCCTGGGGGAGGGATAGCATTAAGAGATATATCTAATGTAAATGACGAGTTAATGGGTGCAGCACACCAACATGGCACATGTATACATATGTAACAAACCTGCACGTTGTGCACATGTACCCTAGAACTTAAAGTATAATTTAAAAAAAATCTGTCCTCAACCTATGATTTCCAGATAAATATTTGGATTTGAATCAATATTTCTAGTGTTTGAATAGCAATTTCTTAAAATCTTTTACAGTTTTAATTTTTAGGTAGAGCAACAGTTTGTAGAGAATCATCTGTGTGCCCGGCTATATGCATGTTTTAAAATCTTTTAATCAAAATTACTTTGCTTGCAATGCTCACCCTGGCTACCTAAGAAAAGGAGGTGCTGTTATAAGGACACTCAGAGTTTGCACGAATTAAAGCACAGAAAATAAAACACAAGCAGATTTCATGAACTGAGACCACAACTCTTTTTTTCACAAGTATAAACTTGCTTTTGCACCCATGACAATTATACATGTCCCTGCAGGTCTACTGTATTATCCTTTCTCTCTACCAATTGACTTTCTCTGGTAGTCATCTTGACTGTGGCCCATACACCAGATGGATGCTGCATATAATGGCTGCTCTACCCTACTTTACATCAAGACAAATCTCAATTCATTTCTTTCAGCTTCTGTTATACTGCATCTTTTATCTACATCATTTTTAAAGAATTTCCTGGAAAGGAAATCTGATTGGCCCAGGTTATCTTTTTAAAACAGGCCACAAGTCTAGGCATAAATTTGGACAAGCCATGGACTCCCTTGGATCAGCTTTCTTTTTTGCTCTCCTTTTGGCATGGCTGTAAGAAGGTATTGTGGCAATGGTAGACATTGATATTACAGAAATACAGAGACAATCCCTGTTTTTAGTAGGCATGTCATCTATTTCTTTACAAACTCCTATTTAATACCTATGTAGAATAAAAAATACAGTTGAAGTGACCTCATTATATTCAAAATTATCACAAAGTTAGTCCAAATATGAAGTGGTTCTTCTTATTCTTAATGCTTTGAGTCATATATAGAATTAATAAAACATTATTTCTGAGGATTAGAGAGAATAGAAAGCCCTGAATCTTGGGTTATTCAGCCATTTCTTGATAAAAATAAATGTAAAAATGCTTTTGCATTGAAATAAAACATTACAGTAAAAACAAACTGAAATAATAAGACATAAATAATAGGAGAAACTACTTGTACAAAAATAGTAAACTATTTTAAAATTTGACTATGAATAGCCATGTAATAAATTCTGGGGTGAAGTTTTGTCAGCAAATTTAGTGGAAATAGCTCACCCTTGGAGATTAAAATATGTCTTTAAATAATATTCTTATATCAAAAATGAAAAATTAAATACAATTAAATGCAAAACAACACAATATTGCCAATTTCAATGTGTTTGAACTTTTCATTTGTGCGATCATACTGAAGATTTACTATATTCAAACTTTGGGGATAAAAAATAGAAGAAAACAAGTTAATCTATTGAATTATAAATTTAAATGAGTAGTATCTATACTTAATCTTTTCTATGTGTGTGCTTGAATATGTATAGGCAATTTTAATTAACTGGAAGATCGTTTGATAAAATATTGGGAAACTTTGCAATCAGGCCACTGAATATTCAGTTTAATTATGTTGGTATGCACTTCTATTTGCTTCTAATGCCAAGGATCCATTGGTAAAATGAATGCCCATTTTGTGGTCTGTTATGCAGAAAATGTTTAATCCAGTGTTTGATTTACTCTGTTAAATCTTCCTTATTGAATGTGTTTATTCATCCATGCAAAATTGGGTATGCTGCTTTCTGTTACTATGACATTACAATTAAACAGCTAAAAGAAGAATAGCAAGACTTTCTATAAAGGTTGATGAAATTCCCACAAAATTATTCAGCCTCTTTGTTTTGTTTCGTTTTGTTTTGTTTTGCAGGGACTATGAAAAATGTAAATGTGTTCTGAATATTTCTGTATTGAAGAAGCTGACAAATACAATAGTTAGTACAAATAATCATTTTGTTACTAAAACTAACACTTAAAAAATATTTCTAATATATGGAAATAATTGCTGTCATGACATTGATTATCTTTTAAAGATGGAATTGAACATGAACTCAAAGACCTCAATTTTATAAACAAAAATGGTATGATAGAATAGTATTTATACACATTTGAAATGGAAAACTTTAAGTTAACTTCATCTGGATATATTGTGAAACTCCTCAAGGGGGTTGTATACTCACAACAGCACTAGTTCATGTAATTTGAGGATATTCTCCAGTAGACTGGACTTTCTTTACTTTTAGCTCTGTTTTATTGTCCAGAGTATTGGTACTGGTAAATTTTTACCACCACTACAACTACAGGCTTGGAGACACATTTTTTAATTCAAAATTAGCTTTAATACTAGTTCTGAATTGAAAAAAATTCTTTATAAGTCTGGAACTTATAATAAGATGTAATAATCTACTTCCTGAATTATTATTGCTTATTTTTCATAGTGTTAAGAGATACACATTCATACAAACACAACTATTTTCTAAGAATCTCTTTTCAATTGAAATGTCTGAAATGAGACAAAGAATTCAGAAACTGGATGTCAAGGATGCTCAGTAAGCATCCTTGAAATTCAATCCAAGGAAGCCAGAAAAACGATCCAAGACTTGACAGATGAAGCAGTCATATTAATAAATAACCAAACTGAACTTCTGAAATTGGAAAATTCACTATAGGAATTTCAAAATACAGTTGAATGCCTTAACAACAGACTAGACAAAGCAGAGGAAAGAATTTTGGTGCTTGAAGACTGGTTATTCTAATCAACCTACACAGACAAAGAAAAAGAAAAAGGAGTTTCAAAAAATGAATGAAGCCTCGGAGAGATATGGGATTATGTAAAATGATCAAACCTACAACTCATTGGCATTCCTGAGAGAAAAGAAGTGACAGTAAGCAAGTTGAAAAACATATTTCAGGATATAATACATGAAAAATTCCCCAACCTTGCAAGAGAGGTCGACATGCAAATTCAAGAAATTCAGAGAATCTCTGAGACATATTATGCAAGATGACTATCTCCAATGTACATAGTCTTTGGCCCAGTGGGGTGGCTCACGCCTGTAATCCCAGCACTTTGGGAGGTCAAGGCGGGCGGATCACGAGGTCAGGAGATGGAGACCATCTTGGCTAACATGGTGAAACCCCGTCTCTACTAAAAATACAAAAAATTAGCCGTGTGTGGTGGCGGGCGCCTGTAGTCCCCGCAACTCGGGAGGCTGAGGCAGGAGAATGGCGTGAACCCGGGAGGCGGAGCTTGCAGTGAGCGGAGATGGCGCCACTGCACTCCAGCCTGGGCGACAGAGAGAGACTCCGTCTCAAAAAAAAAAAAAAAAAAAAAAAAAGATGTCCTTAGAATAACAGAATAGATGCAATTCAGCTGTTTTGCTTTACGCTTTTTTTACTGCAATTATTAACTCCTATATTCATCTTTACTTTGCATAAAGTCTACAAAAATACATTTGAAATAAAAGGTATTTGGAGCATTTTCTCCATGCACAAGATTGAAATTTTCCTAATGTAGTAATCTTTTCCATGCCCAGAAAAGGGCATGAATAAGTCCCATAATAACTTTAGAGAAAGAACAGCAAAATATAAGTTGGTAATATTATCCTTCTGAGGATTGTGCTTTCTATCCTTAGGGGAAAAAAAGAAGGTTTCAAACTAAGGGCAGCACAGATTGGAAAATCTATGCTACAGAGTAATTACTTGTTTATTTTGTTTTACCCTACTAAATGTAAACTTCATGAAGACAGGGGTTGTTGTCTGTTTTGTTCATTGCTCTAATCTCAGCATCCAAAATAGTGTCTTGCACATAGTAGGTGCTGAATGAATATTTGAGGAATAAACAAATTAATGAATTGCATCTTCATGGTGTGATTGTCAGAAAATTTCTGAATCCCTAGAAGGTCAGTGATACTCATATTGAAAAGTATATGTATGTAGTTTATATATCTCGTATACATGAACAAATGTATATAAATATATATCCAAAGTATGGTAGAAATACTTTTATTTATCAGGTTTTTAACCATCCATCTGTGGCTTCTCATTATTAGAGAAGATTTTGGAAAGTTTTCTGTGTTTACTCTGAGAAATCCATTTGTTTCCATTTTCTACTGTCTTATCAAGAGTCTCACAAATAATATCTGTTTCACTTCTGATAATACTAAAAACTTGCTTTACATACCAAGGCAAATGACAAAGTGGTTTACTGAACAGTACATTATACTTCTCAGGGGAATCTGTTTTACAGAAAATACTAATCAAAGACCATATCTTAAGAGAGTTGTGTAATACAACTGGATGATCTATAAAAGAAAGTAATGAAACATGTACAATGTTGCTAATGATTATGGTAAAATGCAAGAGAAATGCAGTAAAAAGCGTATCAAAATACATTTTAAAGCATTTTCATGTAAATATTTACAATTAATGGACACTGAACATCTTCTAAATATAAGACACATGATAGTGGTGGGCAGATATAAAGGCAAAGATGGTAAGCACTATGAGGACAGGGACTCGTCTCATCCATCTATTAGGGGAGTCAAAATCAAGTTTGGTTTAGCAAACATTTATTAAATTCCTACTATGCACCGGGCTTAGGTTAGGTGCAGGAGTGAAAAAGATAAATGAGACTTGGTGTCTGTCATGCTGTACAGGGGTTTATAATTATGGTATTGCATGTCTGGGTGTGTATTTTTGTGTGGATATATGGGGATATGTGTACTCTATAGGAATCGTCATAAATGCAGTATGGCGGGTTAAGACAAAGTCTAGCACCATGTAGGGAAACAGCCCACACACGGAGACGAAAGGAGGAGGAGGTGGAAGCCCAGCGACATCCTGGGAATAACTGTTAGCTAGAGAATGGGAAGATCATTCCATGCTGAAAGAACAGCATGAGCGTGGTCAGAGACTGGAAAGAAAACAATGTCTGGGGAACCACAAGCATCTTAGCGGATAGGTGGTGTCAGGGAAGGCCCACTACTGCACATTATCTTTGATTTATTTTGAAACTCTTGTAAAATAACTACACAAGAAATTTCTGTCGTCAAAAAAGTATCCTCCTTCATTCCCAGCATCCTTCCCCTTTTGCTTTGGTGTTGTCAGACAGCGGAGTATTAAATAATCGGGGGCAGGGTGGGGGGCGGTTGGAGGGAAGCGGTGGGAGGCGACAGACCTTGAAGATACTTATGAGAGCTATGTTAGCTGTTAGACATAGACGACCTAAAGCCCCTCATCAGATACAATCACTTTAATATAAAGACCATTTTACCTTAATTATTTCTACGGTAGCTTATGGAAACTAATAGATTGGAAACTAAATGTAAACTAAGGAGAATCTTACATGAACTTATCTAGTTGGTGCGGAAAATCGAATTCAGACTCAACAGACGCTTATCCAGCGCAACCATGCTTTCATATATTTTTTCCCTCCTGTAAAGCAAGGCTAATTTATTGCCCGAGTGGCTGTCTGGACTAACTGGAACAAATACGGACGCGGTGGGAGTTCCATTCTGGCGAAACTAGGGTGAGAGGTTTTTTGTGGGTTTTCATCGAGGAGACATGGAAACGAAAAAGATATGGAATATATTCTGAAAGTATTGGTGTGAAAAACCATGCCTCGAGGGCCAACACGAAAGTACAGAAACGATGGCGGGAAACAGTTTTTTAGGCTGGAATGAAAGTCTCCTTTGTTCACAGAGCAAACCGCCTTCAATTTCACTCCGCTCTCCGTGTCTCCTAACAATTTTGCTTCAGTATTGTCAAGGGGTATCCAAGTCTCCCACATTCATCCTAGCTAACGGAATAAAAATCTACATTTCTTTCCTACTTCAACCCTCCAGGCTAAATGAGCTACAGCATTCAGCCTGGAAAATGAGTCGAGCTTTTAACTTACGTGTAAACATTTTAAATATAATACTGTAGTCGCCTGCCTGGACCTTCCACCCAAGAACTACAACACCCAGAATGCACTGTTTTCTTTTCCGCCTTCCACGGAGGGAATGCCTAACTTGATCTCATTTCCACAAGTAATAGTCACATGACACGTTTCCCGTCAAGATGGCGGATACTCTCCCTTCGGAGTTTGATGTGATCGTAATAGGGACGGGTATGTGTAGCCTGGTGCTTCCTGGACAAAGTTTAGGAAGACTGTCTTGTTTCTGTTTTTTCTGTCAGTGGCGAGTTTTGGGACAAACATCGTGGGTCGAGAGTGGGAGGGAGAACTGAAAGGAAGTGAGGTAGTCCGGAGTCAGCGCGGGAGTTGGCAGTTACAGGGAGGGGCTGGGACCCGCAGTGCTTATCGCCATTTGAGTAGGGGTTGATCTGGTCGATGCTGATTGCTGAGGTTGGTTGCTGCGGTGATTCCTGTTAATTTCCTTAGAGGGAAGTGGATGTGCAGTGTCATGAAATGGAGGGTCGGGATTTTATCAACGGAGACGACTTTGGCAAGACATTATGATTCCTTCCTTATTGATTTCAAGGTGATATTCCCCATCATTTTGTCTCGCCATTTCATAGGACTTTTTCATAGATTTGTATGATCTTAGCATACATCGCAGCTCAGACACAGCTTAATCCTCAGTTTTACAAGAAAGATGCTCAATTATTGCCCATGTGCGTATGAATTTACTAGGGAAAGTAAACGGATTCTATTTTGTTGAGAAACCTAGGGAATTTTATTTTGTTGAGGTAGCCATTATTCCTGCTTTATGGTGCTTAAAGCATCTTGCTTTCTACCATCAATAACTAAATGTGCTGAGAATAAGGTCCTGAGTTCCAGTTCAGGTGTGTGACCTTATCTAACTCTTGTTTTCCCGTCGTTTGTTCTTCATGTTTTGGGTGGAACCAGAAACTCCTCTGCAGTTTCTAGTTGACATATTCAGTGTACAACACGTAGCAGAACACATATGGCAGCAATTTCAATTTTTTTTAATAGTGTAAGGGATGATCATTTTAGATGGAATGAAATAGGTTGTTTGATGGGGTTTTTTACTGTTTGTAGAATGTGGTAGGCCAGAGAAGCTCTGGTGGATGGGACCCTGTCCATTGTGTTAATGAATTCAGTTCGTTGTCTTCTCATACAGCCATGATTAGGAGCAGCCATGTTTTCAGGTTGGGAGTAAAAATAATAGCTACCTGTTTTCGAATGCTTAAAATTTCCTAATCACTGTGCTAAGCACTTTACAAGCCGAACATAATCCTCACAACCTTGTTAGAGTAGTAGGTACTCTCTGCATTTTGTAGAAGAGGAAAAGGGGACTTGGAAAAGTTGTAATTTGCTCAGGATCACACAGCTGGTAAATTTCCAAAGGCCCATTCCATCCCAGGAAAACAGTCAGTGGTTCTGATCCTCAGAGTTGACCCATATTCGTAGAAACAATTGAGAAAACTTGGTTTTAGGTCTTGCTTAGTGCTAGTATGAATTGCTTGAATTGGGAGGGCCAGGCACTAAATCTCTCTGAGCCTCAGTTTCCTTGTTTTTGAATATAAGGAAGGTAAAATAGATGGTCTTTATGTTGTCTAACAAAAAATGCCTGGGTAACAGTTCTCAGAACAGCATGGACAGGTTTATTCTTAGCCTGAAAATAACTGCATGGCTGCAAATAACCTGGTTGTAGCTGCTATGAACAGATGTTGGATGAGAGCTGGAAAGAGCCAATGGACTATTCATTTTTTCTTTTAAGTCTATACTAAAACTGAGAACAGCATCCATTTTGGAATAGTTGTTATACCATACTTGAGTTTTATAATCTTGCTTTTTTTGTGTAGGAACTTGAGGTGTTTTTAACAATTTTTTTAATCAACAATTTTTTTTTTCAGGTCTGGGTTCAAATTTTAATTGATGAATGTTAATTCTTATGAATGATGCTAATGTTTTTCATAAATATTTTGCCTTCTGTACAGTTCAGAATTGGAAGACATCCATCCTGATGGAGTCTGTTATGGTAGAGGTAGGAAGTTACAGTGAGTGAGCCAGAGAATTGCATCAGGTGACATCGCTTATATTTGGAAAAATACTCATTTTATACTTATCCCAGTGAGTGCAATGTTATTTTTCAGTGTTTGGGAAGAACTTATTTGAAGTTAATCTTAAAACTTAAATTTTTCATATTGTTTATTGGTGACACATTCTAGGTTTTATCAAGCACATTGCTTAAATTTATGATATGTAATTTTGCTTTTAGGTACATCAAAAGTGTAAAAATTGAATAAAAGAGTCATTCCCCAAATAAATGATTCCAACAATTCCAATCATGATTTAATTTGATTTATTTTTTAGTGTGCTTGGGATATTTCTCTTGTGAAATAGTTTGCTGAAAGTAGCCTTTAAAATGTTTGCTTTATTAAATGTATTACATTGAGCAAATCATAGAAAAAGCAGTGTTTCATAGATTCAGTTGTATTAATAAAAGTAGAAGCAATAATGCATGCATCAGAAACATGAAGAAATAGGCTATTAGATATACTTTTTAGCAGATTTAGTCCTAGTTAAAATGTCATAAAGGAACAATTGCTTCATCAAGTATAATCATGGAAGATAATATTTTATAATCCCTTTCACCTTGATTAACTTGCATTATCATTTTCTGTAATGCAAGATGGAAATTGTTCCTTAAGATCATATTTTCGAGAGATTATGGAAAAAAATAAACTTTGTATTTTCTTAGTTAAGCCCATTTCCTTCTGATTAGAAAATACAGTAAATATCTCTTGAACATCCAAAGACAGAAGAGTAAGCTAAAGTGGAATTGCGGAAAAAATAGAAGAAAATGGAATAAAGAAGGAGGGCCAACTGGAGTCTCAAGGGAGAGGATAAAAATAGATATATGTGGTAAGGGTCTAGAAGGTGCTCTTCAGCTTGGGTACAGAATTGTCATTTTCAGGGTATTTTGCCATTTAAAAAGTCATTTAAATGACAGTTTTGTGGATTATAGACAAGTACCATTGGTTGAACGTTAAAAGTCGTCCCAGTAACATTACATCTCACTGGAGGTGACTTATCTGGAAGCCTGTGTAATCTGCAGCACAGCAGAGCCAAGAACTCAACAGAAGAGCAGTCAAGATGGAAGTTATAAGATCTATATGATAATATTGACATGCTTCATACATAGGGGAATCCCTGAGATCATCACTTAGAACATATTCATCCTCATTTTAAAAATAATTCTAGCAAGCTCAGCATATTAGAACCACCCCCTTAGAAGATACAAGGAATGTTATCAACTTCTGCAAAGACTATGTTTGGTGGGGTTGCTATTAGACATACAAATGACAGTTTG
This sequence comes from Homo sapiens, assembly GCF_000001405.40. Lineage (NCBI taxonomy): Eukaryota > Metazoa > Chordata > Mammalia > Primates > Hominidae > Homo > Homo sapiens. Next base: position 86,044,311 of record NC_000023.11, on the reverse strand, counting down.
TATAGGAAAGGGAAGAGAAAAACACCTAAAATGCAAACTTACATCAAACATCACAAAGGCCTGATAACATTTAGTGTAGTGACAAATACTCATTTTTCAGGTCATTCAACCCACATTTACTGAGAACCTAGTCCCTTCCCTTGTGAAGTTTACTGTATTGCCTATTCTCAGGAACGTTCTGGCCTTCCTAACAGTCATATCCCCAAAGCTGTTCTTAAGACAATGTAGGCTTTTCATTGCATCCTTCTTTCTTTTTGAAGACCATGTAGACATTCAGCCTGCATTTTTTCTTTTTAAAAGCACACTGCTCACATCTTTTGGAGTTCTTCCCCTAAGATGGGCTGCAGAGTAGGTTAGCTTAATTTTTCTACTGCATAGGATAAACACATATATTCTTTTGATTTAAGAGTTTTATTGTTAGCCAAGCATGGTGGCACGGGCCTGTAATCCCCATTACTCTATAGGCTAAGGCACAGGCATCCCTTGATCCTGGAAGGCGGAGGTTGCAGTGAGCTTAGATGGCACCACTGCACTCTAGTCAGAGAAACAGAGTGAGACTGTCTCAAAAAAAAAAAAAAGTTTCATTGGCCAGGTGCAGTGGCTCAGGCCTGTAATCCCAGCACTTGGGGAAGCCGAGGCAGGTGGATTGCTTGAGCTCAGGAGTTTGAAACCTCAGCCTCCCAAGTAGCTGAAATGGGTGACACAGCAAAACTGTATTTCTACAAAAAAAATACAAAAATTAATTGGGTATGGTGACACGTGCCTGTAGTCCCAGCTACTTGGAAGGCTGAGGTGGGAGGATTGCCTGAAACTGGGAGTTTGAGGCTGCAGTGAGCTATAGTTGTGTCACTGCACTTCAGCCTGGGCAACAGAGCAAGACCCTATCTCAAAAAAAAAAAAAAGTTTTATTGCTAAAGATTATGGGGAAAGAGAAGGGATAGCAAAGATAAACATGGAAATTATAAGGAGTACTGCCCCTAAATCCTGATTATCTTGCTAGATAGTGTTTAGCACCATACAGTAGTAGATGTGGCAGCATGGTGTATGATAATCACATGACCATCCTATTGTGTGATTTTGGGAAAATTACAGAATTTCTTGTGACATCATTTAGTTCATCTGTAAAGTGAGAAATTTCAATAGATGATCTCCAAGGTAGGGATCTACCAGCCCTAAAATTACCATTGTATATATCTATTTATGACACCATGTCCTTGAGAAAAGGCTAAATTCTGTTCTGTGTAGTCTTTTTAAGAAGGAAAGTCAGTGTTTCATATACTTCAGAAATTTTCCTATAAAAATGGCTGATAGGGTTTAGATATTTGTCCTGCCCAAATCTCATGTTGAAATGTTATCCTCGTTGTCGGAGGTGGGGCCTGATGGGATGTGTTTGGGTCATGGGAGTGGATCCCTCATGGCTTGGTACTCTTCTTGTAATAGTGAATTCGTTCTTGCAGGATCTGGTGGTTTATTTTTTAATTTTTTTTTTGAGACAGGGTCTTGCTCTGTCACCCTAGTTGGAGTGCAGTGGCACAATCATGGCCCACTGCAGCCTTAACCTCCTGGGCCCAAGCAATCCTCCCACCTCAGACTCCTGAGTAGCTGAGATTACAGACATGCATCACCATGCCTGGCTAATTTTTTTTTTTTTATTTTTGTAGAGATGGGGTCTGCCTATGTTGCCCAGGCTGGTTTTGCACTTCTGAACTCAAGCAATCTACCTGCCTTGGTGGCCCAAATTGCTGGGATTACAGATGGGAGCCACTGTGCCTGGTCGACTGGTTGTTTAAAAGTGTGTGGCATCTCCCCACACTTGCTTGCCTTGCCTCTCACCAAGGGAGATGCCTGCTTCCCCTTTGCCTTCTGCTATGACTAAAAGCTCCCTCAGGCCTCCCTAGAAGCCGAGCAGATGCCTGTACCATGCTTGTACAGCCTGCAGAACCCTGAGCCAATTAAACCTCTTTTCTTTATAAATTACCCAGTTTCAGGCATTCCTTTATGGCAACACAGGAACAGCCTAATACAGTGACTGATTAGAAAAGGCATTTTCTTAAAAATGATAGGCTGCTTTTTTCAGAAAAGGTCACTTAAGTAGCCTTTCCTTGATGTTGGGATGTTCCAGTCCCATTCCTTGATGTTGGTGAATTTAAACATTAAGGTAGTTAACCTTGACTGGCAGCTCATTGACTTATGATGATGTTGGAATAGCATCACTTCTGTAAGCCTTGGGGGATAGTAATATTGCAGGAGGAGTTGTGAAAACTGATATTTACCAAATATCTGTTTGTGCCAGCCTTAACACAAGTGATTTCCTATATTTCTAACTTAATCTTCTCCCAGGATGCCTGAATGTGGTTCTCACATCACAGGATGTCCATAGTCCTCCCTGTGTACTTCCAAAATCTTCACATCTATTGTCTACAGTGGATTTTTAAAAATTGTAAGATGCCACCTATTAGTGGATCATGGAGTGAATTCCAGCATTATAAAAATGAGGTAGAATATATCAGAATGCATGTAGTAAGGATGAATGTTGTTTTTTATATATATATGTATATATATATATATATATATATATATATATACACACACACCATATATATAACATATATATATATATACATAAACACACATACACACATATGTTTTTGGGGAGGGCAGGTTCAAAAAATTTAAAGCATAGAGTATATTGATCAGCTGAATGACATAGTGAGTAGGAGTGAAATGGTATTTCAAAAGTCCTTTCTTTGTTGTCTTCTCTTTTGTTCACCAGCTTGCATTATTTATCATTTGTTTTCCTCATAGTTTTTGGAACAGATTTAGTATCGGTCTTATTTGAGGTATAGTATGAAACACTCCGTTGTCAGCGTAAGAGATGCTATAGGAGTGAAAGATAGCCTGCAGATTTTGCTGTTCTGAAAAATGCTTTGCACTTCTTCAGGCATTTATTGATGGAAAAGTATGTTTTTGTTTGCTTCCAATACCTAGAAAAGTAAAGAGTTATCTAACTCTGGAGAAGACTCTCTGGGAGATGCTTACCCTTCTCTGTAAATCATGAATTTGAGCCAATACCTCAGAGAGAGCCACATCTGTTGCCATAATTTCCTCTGCAGCATCATTTTCATCTCCCATGCCTCATGTCATTTTTCTCATTTTCTCCAGTGTTTTCATGATGTTTTGGATAACAGGCTACAGTAATTAAATTCAAATATGGCAGCCCACCATTACATTCTCATGTTTAACATAAAATCCCAATGCACAGAAACAATTATAATTCCATATAATTGACCTGTTAACTCATGCTAAATCATCTGCTATTCAGTCTCAGTGCATTCTTTAACTAAAAAGTTAGTCTGTGCCTGTTCTGTATATAAATATATTTAAAAGTAAAATAGGCTAAAAATCACTGTTGGTGCTCATTGGAAACATTTTGGGGGCGTTTAGTTGTGGCCAGCAAAATAGGGATACATTGAAAGGTTGATGTTTTGTTTTTGCTTTTCTAATAATTTCATTTAAGGTTTGGTGTAAAAAGAGTTGATAATTTATCACAGATACTGCTTTTTTAGAGCATGATTATGAGAGCTAGCATGTTATCATATTGAGGGTGTTTTTGAAAAGAACAGTTTGCAAACAGACAGGAGAAGAGACCAGAGGCAGCTTGGCCAGTATGGTGCTTAAATAAGTGTTTCATCTCATACTGGATTTTATCAGGAGCTGAAGTTGGTAATGTATTCCTTGACTGATTTGGTTTTTATCACATTTTAAAAAGTACTGGTGAAGCAGGATATTTTCCTGACCCCTTCATGGGACTTGTGAAGGGAGCACCCTGTTTACTCAGCCCACCGCTTTCAACTCCTCATAGGAGGGAGCACGTGAGTGAACAAGGCAGGAACTGGAATACATGAGTGCTGGAGTCAGCCTGCCGCTCTTGTGCCAGGAGGAATGAACTCCACTCACTCGGACCTGCTGTGTTTCACCCCTCACAAGAGGGGATGTGCAGTTGAGTGGGTGCAGGAGCCGGGGCGAGTGCTTTTGGGCACTGGCAGGAGTCAACTCTGTGCTGGCCCTGTGGTAGCATCTCCGGGGGTGGTGCCTGCAACCCCTGAAGCTCCAGAGGGAATGTTACAGTGCTCTTTTAGCTCTGCTGTCCGCAGACGGCTTAAGGGTTAACAGCTCAGTGGGCCCTCTGCCTTTTTGTGTTAATCGGCTGCCTTCTACCAGTGAGGGCAAAGGGCAAGTGTGACAGCCTTTTTGTGTCCACACTCATCGTTCCCGAGCTCTTGTCCGGCATCCAGGAGAAATGAGGTCACATGAATGAATTGAAGGATGGTAAATGTAGGGGATCTTATTGCTGATGGAGATGGCTCTTAGTGGGAAGGGGAGCTGCAAAGGGCAGGAAGGTAGTCTTCCCCTGAATGCCAGCTGTCTCTGGCCAGATTCTTCTTCGAAGTTACGCTGTCAAGGTGTCCCTCTGAAGTCGAGCCACTTCTCTCTGATGTCCAGCTGTAGTCTCTAATGTCCAACTGCTTCTCTTCTCTCTGCTGGCTGAGCCTGGGGTTTTTATGTACACAGGATGGGGTGTGGGGTGGGCCGTAAGTGGTTTCGGAAAAGGCAACATTCGCACGGGAAAATGGGGATATAAGTTCTCACTTTGCGTCATGGTTTCAGGCTTGAGGGTGGGGTTTTCTCAGGGACCTGCCCTTTTCTGCCTAGAATTTCCCTGCCTCCTGTCCCTGTCACTCACTAACTTCTACTCTTTCTTTTGAGTATTCTCACCTGTCTTTTTTTTTTTTTTTTTTTTGGTCTAGGCCAGTGTTCTCATTGAGTTATTATGGCTACTAGTTAATGGTGGTTTTAATCATTTTATATTGCTTTGAAATGTTTTGAATCATGTTTCTGTGATCTGACTTTGCACATTTGTTAAACTAGTCTTATTTATGTGGATTTAAAATCATCATGAGAAAATTTACACAAGCTAAAGTATAGAGAAAAAGTTTTACACATGGATATGAGGCATATTAAGAAGATGCTGAGCTGTGAGTTCAAATCCTTATTTTCTACACCTGTGTTACTTTGGTTTAAGCTATGTAAGCAAAATCAATGATAATTAGAAAATTGTTTTTAGTACCTACAACACACTGTCAAACACATGAAAAATATTGTCTAACATTTGTTATATGCCAAGCACGGTGATAAGCCCCTACAATGCATTGTCTCATTTTCACAGTAACCCTGCAGTAGATACTATATCATCTCCATTTTTCAAATGTGAAGCCTGAGGCTCAGCTAAGTTTGATGTAGGTGAAACAGTTAAGACGAAAGTTTTTCTGACTAAGGTTGAGGTATTAGATTAAGTTTGCTAGAATCTTTCAATTGAAAAAATAGCTCATAGTATCAAGATGAGATTATTTTAACCTGGGTTTGTGGTTGGCAGTTGTTTTATTTTGGAGAGTTATCATTGTTGACATTAAAATCCTGATTCCAGCAGTAACCTCATGATGTCAGCTTCTTATTATTGACAGCATCATGACATCTGTGTCAGCTTGCAAACCTTCTTTTGATGAAGGTGAACGGAATGACCTGGTTGTGTTTATCCCTTAAAACTGAAGAGAGAATCAACCACTAAAGCAATGGCCAGAAATGGGATCAGAGATTACAGTTACATTTTAAGAAATGATTTGCTTCAGTAGGAATTCTTCATTGATCCTGTAAACCAAAATAATTTAGATTACCAAATTAATTTAGAAAGTTTATTTTACCAAGGTTAAGGATGCACCTGTGGCACAGCCTCAGGTCCTGATGACGTGCCCCAGGCGGTAGGGGCACAGCTTGATTTTACATGTTTTAGGGAGACATGAAACATTAATCAACGTTTGTAAGATGTATAATTCATTGGTTCCATCAGGAAAGGCCAGACAACTCGAAGTGGGGAGGAGGCTTCTGGGTCATAGTTAGTTAAGAGACAAATGAGGAATAGTCACTTATGCCTTAGTCTGTAGTGAAACAGTAGGGCGGAGGAAGCCATCAGATACGCATTTGTCTCATGGGAACAGAGGAATGACTTTGAGTTCTGCCTGTCCTTTGGTTGTCCACAAGGAATTTCCTTATGGGCAAATTGTGAGGGAGGTATGTAGCTTTTTAAAAATCTTTGTAGTGATCTTATTTAGGAATAGAAAGGGAGAGAGGTTTGCCCAACACAATTCCCAACTTGACTTTTCCTTTTGGTTTAGTGATTTTGGGGAGATTTGTTTTCCTTTCACAATCCCAAGGTACATAATTTCCCACTGAAATACTTGTGCATGTGCTGGGGTTTGCCATTTTGTGTCTTTTTTAGTGTTCTTCCAAATTAAATTTTCAAGATCAAATATGGGACTCATTGTCCTGTTTATGGAGCTTTTTTTCTTTTGGTTGACTATTCTTTTGTTTCCTACAGTCTTCAACAACTGTTAGTGCTTACAATGGATACATCATGCATCTTAATTGATAGGATGGATATGATAATACCTTTTTTGGTCCAAGGTCCCGCTCATTAAAAAAAATAGTTTATAAAGCTGAAAAGTTTTTATTTCTATTTTTTGTAAAATGATTTTCATGATAGGATTTTATATAAAGGGGAAGGGTTTTTTGTATCATTTTTATAACATTTTTGAAATGAATACTTATTCTCTTTCATCATCTATTTTAGACTCACAGTTTTATGAGTAATGCAGTAAAGGTCATGTGGCACATTAGTAAAATATGTTCTGAACACAGAAACTATTCTCCTTATCACAAATTAAATTTTATGTTAAGTTTGAAGAGCACTGGCCTGGGGTATACTTTGCTGTGAAAAGATCATTTTGGTCACTTAAATTACAATAGAAATATTTGTGTTAAGAAAATTAAGTAAAAATTAGGCTGGGCACAGTGGCTCACACCTGTAATTCCAGGACTTTGGGAGGCCTAGGCAAGTGGATCACCTGAGGTCAGGAGTTCAAGACCAGCCCAACCAACACAGTGAAACCCTGTCTGTACTAAAAATACAAAAATTATCCAGGCGTAGTGGCAGGAGCCTGTAATCCCAGCTCCTTGGGAAGCTGAGGCAGGAGAATCGCTTGAACCCGGGAGGCGGAGGTTGCAGTGAGCCGAGACTGTGCCACTGTACCCCAGCCTGGGTGACAAGAGTGAAACTCTGTCTCAAAAAAAAAAAAAAAAAAAAAAAGGAAAAATTAGTTGTAGTGGAGATTATTTCCTGGCAAGGATAAGGTCTTCAGCAAACATTTATATTTATTTAACAAAACTTCAAGAGATTTTGAGTTGATGTAGTTTTCTCCATTTAGATAAAAAACAGGATGCTACGTCCATTTTTAAGCTTTTTACAATGGAAAATTTCAAACATAAAAAAGTAGAATAAAGTAACCCTCCACATACCAGACTCCCAGTTTCAACAGTTATCAACTCATGGCCAGTCTTGTTTTCTCTGTAATGAGGACTAAGCTCTGATTTTTTATCTTGCCCAAATTCCTACCTAAGGGGTCTAGGGAGTCATGCCCTACAAACCATAAATTCTCATCAGATGGGTTTTATTTGACCCTATATATTGTGACTTATTTTTCAGTCTGACTCTGGCATTAACATTATGAGACAAGGAAAAGATATTTAGCCCCAAAATATATTTCCTTGCCATACCTTGAAATTGCCCTGCAAAGTCTCTTGTGGGAAAAATCCACATTCTATAGAGAATACCCTCCCCCCTTTATTTTGCTTCCTTTCTTTCCAGATCCAGGAGGTAATCAACTAAGAGCCAGGCACCCTTTTAGGTCCAATAGGAAACATTTTACAACCTGCTCTGTCTCTGAGGTCTGCTACCTGAAAGATTCCTCTGCACAATAAAATTTGGTCCCCACAATCCTTTATTTTAACCTGAACTTTCCTTTCCATTAATCTCAGGTCTTGAGATAAACTCAACAAATTGTCAGCCAGAAAATGTTTAAATTTACCTATAGCCTGGAAGCACTTCCCCCCCCACCAGCTTTGAGTTGTCTCGCCTTTCTGAACCAAACCAATGTATTTCTTAAATGTATTTGATTGATGTCTCATGCCTCCCTAAAATATATAAAACCAAGCTGTACCCCAACCACCTTGGGCACATGTTCTCAGGACCTCCTGAGGGCTGTGTCACGGGCTGTGGTCACTTATATTTGGCTCAGAATAAATCTCTTCAAATATTTTACAGAGTTGGCTGGGCATGGTGTCTCACGCCTGTAATCTCAGCACTTTGGGAGGCCGAGGCGGGCGGATCATGAGGTTAGGAGATCCAGGCCATCCTGGTTAACACGGTGAAACCCCGTCTTTACTAAAAATACAAAAAATTAGCCGGGCATGGTGGCGGATACCTGTAGTCCCAGCTTCTTGGGAGGCTGAGGCAGAAGAATGGCGTGAACCCGGGAGGCGGAGGTTGCAGTGAGCCGAGATCGCGCTACTGCACTCCAGCCTGGGCAACAGAGCGAGGCTCCATCTCAAAAAAAAAAAAAAAAAAAAAAAATGAACTCTTTTCGTCGACAGTATCTTCCACTGTTTCTCTCATTTCACCATCCAACCCTGTTATTTTGAAGCAAATCCTAAATATCGTATCATTCTATCTGTATATATTCCAACATATATCAAAAAGTGTAGGGCTCTCCTTTTTAAACATAACTACTGTTTTGTTTAACATGTGCTTAACACTTACATCACGTGCCCTCCTTTGTATCTTCAGTTTTTTCTAAGGCATCTATCCATTTTGTTTCTTTGGTCTTGTGCTCTTCCTAGTTTAGTTTTCTTATCTGAAATGATTTTTTCTTTAATTTTTTAACTCCATTTTTTCAAAATGTTCCTGTTCTCTAATCACCTTACTTTTGAGTTTTTCTAATTTTGATTCATGTTGTTCTCTCAGAGCTGCCACCATTTTGTTAATTTCTTTTAGCACATAATACCATAATTAGCTACGTTTTTCATCTAATTTGTGAGGTTGACATTCTTTTATTGTCTATTGGGATATTATTTTGTTCCTTATTCCCTTTTTTCCAATGTACATTGAATGTGATTCAACTGAAATCCTTTTGCGTTGCTCATTTTTAAGTGAAAAATGTTTTCCTTTTGTTTTCAATAGGAAGGAGGGGCCAGTAAAACTATTCGAACTGTTTTGCTGTAGACCTCTCTTCTTTGTTTTCAGGAGGTAATCAAACATGTAGCCTGAAATCTGCTGGCTCTGTTACCCTCCCCTAGTTTTGTCTAGACCTTCTCTTTCCTTTGCCTCTATTTTCCCTGCTGAATTTGGATTAGGTTCCCAGCAGTTACTCCTCAGTGTGGGACTATCCCCTCATTCACAAGGTGAAGTCTGCAAAACCCCTTCCCAGTTTCTGCTGCTGTTCTCAGAATGGTCTGCCAAGCTTCCAGTGAGTGCCTGATAGCACTTTTGGGGTTTTCTGGCTCTCAGGGCTGTAACAGTTTTTTTGATCTTCTCTTCATTTCCTTTTGCACACTTTCTTTTTTTTTGTTTTGTTTTGTTTTGAGACAAAGTCTTGCTTTTGTCGCCCAGGCTGGAGTGCAATGGCGTGATCTCGGCTCACTACAACCTCTGCCTGCCAGGTTCAAGCGATCCTCCTGCCTCAGCCTCCCGAGTACCTGGGATTACAGGCGCCTGCCACCATGCCTGGCTATTTTTGTATTTTTAGTAGAGACAGGGTTTCACTATGTTGGCCAGGCTAGTCTCGAACTTCTGACCTCAGGTGATCTGCCCACCTCAGCCTCCCAAAGTGCTGGGATTACAGGTGTGAGCCACCACACCCAGCCTGCACACTTTCTAATACCATGTGGGTGTTACAGCTATTGGTGGCTTGTAACTACCCATTTCTATTTTGGGGTTCATGATGATATTGTATCACCTTGCTTTGTTATGGATGTTGTCCCTGGGAGTTTGGTTTGGGTATCCTGATTGTACTGTCTGTTTTTATGGGAGTTATGGGGGAGATTCAACAACTGCTGCCATCTTTACAGAAGCCTCTTTTTATCTTTCACTTTATCATTTGCTCAAGAATAGAGGTCAAGTTGTTGACCTAGCATAAACATTCACTTTTCAGAACTTGAAACAAACCTTTGGGTCACTTATTCCAAGCCCTTTATTTTATCTAATAAGGATATCTATAAGGAATCTGAATTCCAGAGGTTAAGTGACTTTCGTGAGGTCACAGCTATTTAGTATCCACCTAAAAACAGGAAGCCAGTCCTTCTGATTCTTAATTCAGTACTCTTGAATACTGAAACTCTTTTTATTAGCCATCCCTAAAGGCTCACACCATAGTGAATTTTTAAAAATTAAAATAAATTTTCCAAGTTAATGTTTTAATGGGTAGTATATTTTTCAAAAAATTCTAAAAATTACATGGCTATAAATACACATTTTGTTCCACGAGGAAGAAGTTCAGAGATTTTAAATTACATTTACTAATATTTAGTATTTTGTGGGGAGGTTAGAGTGAATAAAAATAATTGTCAATTTAAAAATGATATTTTTATCTTTATGTTGTGGTAGTTCCCTAGGCTACTTCATTTGCAATTTTTCCCTTTTTATGGTAGCCACTAAAAAGTAGACTTAAGATGTAAATATTTATTATAGAATTTAAGATAGGAATCAACAAAACTACTTAAACCTGGGTTGAAATTCAGTTTCTGCTTAATTTTGTGATGTCATTATTTTGAGTGGCTGCATGAATTAAGTATGTAGTTTCACCTTTGCATTCATTGCTCAATCAAGTTTTCCTTGCCAGCAATTCTGTTTTTCCTAAAAAAGAACTTACTCTTTATTAAAGCAGTCACAGTAAATTTTCTAGTTCTATGTAATTTTCTTTCCATTCTGGTCTTCACTGGTTATAAATAACACATGGAATGACTTTCAAGGTAGAAAGCAGAAATCCATTTTGAAATGTTCTATAAAATAAAGAGTGATTTATGGTTTCATATGATTTGAGCTGAAAGTACTTGGGCTTTGCCAGGTCATCAAAGTCCTGTCAGGGGAATCTATTATTTATTGTTCGATATGCTGGGAGTGGTGTAAGTACTTTATTTTATGTTTATCTCGTGTAAGCATAGTGTTAGGAAAAATCAATCCCAGATACTAATACATTTTAAGAATATATCATGGGGAACTAACCTAAATGTTATAGTTGTAAATGATGAGATTTGACATTAAGAATTTGGATTAAAGGGGGATTTTGAAAAATGAATAGATAATGGTTTTATCTCTGTAAAATATCTTAGGTGAGGTTCTTGGGTCCTGATTTTAGCCTAGCTCCTTCATTTGATAATGAAACATCTCTATTTCATCTAGACAGGTTTTTAGAAAATTGCAGAAAGCTGGTACCATACATATTAGTGTATGATGATATAACATTCCATAAGCTTCTAATTTTTTTTCTAGCTGCCACCTTTGTAACAGAACCTCAACTGTGAAAGTCATGATGGAGGAAACCTCAGTTTCCCCCACTACAACTGTTATGAAATGGTAACTTAATACCTAATATTTACCTGTGTTTAATAAAAATGACTTGCCAAAGTTGTTGTCTTGCATCAGAATTACACATGCTTGCTTATAATACTGTGGCAGAGCAAGTTGTTTGGTACAACCTCTCTAATGAATGTAATAATTATATTCAATAATGTGAAATGTTTAAATGATATTAAATGTTTGATGAACCTCTATAGTTTACATAAAGAAAAGGTTATTGGACTTTTTAAAAAATGATTTTAAGTTGCTAGATCTTTGAGGGTAACTTAAGTAAATAGTAAGCAAGTGATGCCTTTTTTTTTTCCTTCAAATAACTAATCTTATTGAAGGGGAAAGGAAGAGGAGGGAAGAGAAGCAACATTTACTGAATGCCAGTGACATGCCAACAGCCACTGTGTATAGTGTTTGATACCGTTTTGTACCTGTTCTCCCTGCACCCATATGAGATGTATTATTAACCTCATCTTACAGTTGAAAACGTTGTACTTGTATATTTGTGCTCACACATTTTACAGAGTGTTTCCAGTGGAATGCTGTAGGATTTGACCCTCATCTAGGTTATCTGTTTCTAACTCATGTCGGGCTTTTCTTTGTGGGAGAGACTGTATAGTTCAAAATAAGCACGTACATGTTTCATCTAAATGCCTCACAAATATATTGTGTGAACTTGAGTAGTAGTTCACTTTTTTAAGCATTGAATTTGAACAGGTGTTATTTTGAAATTAATCAAGAGTTTAAGTGCCATTAAAATTGAGCTTAGAAATATTAATTTAAACAAAACAGTCATTATTTTACTAAATTAGCAATAAGACCAAAAACTTTTAAGTATGCACTTAGAAATATTAATTTAAACAAAACAAGCAGTCATTTTATTATTTTACCAAATTAGCAATAAGACCAAAAAGTTTTAAGTATGTTAACTTTTCCTAAATAAATTTTTTTTTTTTGAGACGGAGTTTTTCTCTTGTTGCCCAGGCTGGAGTGCAATGGTGCGATCTTGGCTCACCGCAACCTTTGCCTTCCGGGTTCAAGCGATTCTCCTGCCTCAGCCTCCCGAGTAGCTGGGATTATGGGCATGCGCCACCGCGCCTGGCTAATTTTGCATTTTTAGTAGAGATGGGGTTTCTACATGTTGGTCAGGCTGGTCTCGAACTCCCGACCTCAGGTGATCTGCCCACCTCGGCCTCCCAAAGTGCTGGGATTACAGGTGTGAGCCACCGTGCCCAGCGCTAAATAATTTTTAAAAACCATGAAGCATAAAGCTCCAGTTTTATACAAGTTTATCCTCCTTGCTTTGACTACAGTTTTTATTTTTATTTTTTGAAACCCTGATTTGACCATGATCTGGCTAAAGTCCTTTCAAGACTCCCTATTCCTCAGAGGCTCAAGTTCAGATACTATAATTTGGCTTCAACCTCTTGGAAATTTTTTTAAATTTTGTTTTATGTTGGTAAGAAGACTTGACATGAGATCCCTGCTCTTAACAAATTTTTAAGTGTGCAATACAGTGTTGTTTACTATAGGTACAATGATGTAGAGCAGCTCTTTAGAAATTATTCTTCTTTCATAACTGATACTTCATGCTAGTTGATTAGCAACTCCCCATTTCCCTCTCCCCCAAACCCATGGCAACCACCATTCCACTTTTTGATTCTGTGAATTTGCCTATTTTTAAATACCTCATATAGGTGGAATCATGTGGCATTTGTCCTTCTGTCACTGGCTTTATGTTTGTTGCAGCAGTGTTCACAATGGGTAACATGTGAAAACAACCTAAATGTCCATCAACAGAAGAATGGATAGAGAAATGTGATATATCCATATAAGGGAATATTACGTGGTTATTAAAAAAAAAAGTAATGAAGTACTGATCCATGCTGCAACATGGATAACCCTTGAAAACTTTATGCTAAGTGAAGTAGGCCAGTCCAAACACTTTTTTTAAAGGATCACTTTTTGGTTCTCCCTTCCTTTAACTTTGCCAGGAATGCTCCTTTCCACTTTCCTTTTTCCGTCTTCTGCACTCCTCAGTTAGGGTTGTTAGAGACCCTGAAAGACCCAGCTAATTTCTCCTGTTCTTTGGAGCTTTCCATGACTCCCTCTACAGAGGGAGTGTTTCTTTCCATTGTGTTTCTATCACAGTTTTAAATACACTTATTATTTTAATCTCTTTAAATTCTTGTTACATAGACTCTGAGCTCTAACAGGCTAGGGATTATCTTGCAAAAAACGTATGGCAACCTCTCACTACCTAGCACAGTTTGTTCTCTCTCTCCCTTCCTCTCCCCTTTCCCCATTTTCTTTTTCTTTTCTTCAGCAAATATCTATGGAGAACCTACTACATGCCTCCTGTATCCTGGAAATTCTGTTTATTGAATGGGTGGGAAGAAATATGAAATCTTGGCCAAGAAGACATTGTTAACTGTATTATTAGTTTGCTATTTTAGTCATTCTAAGCATGAAGATAATAGGCCCTTGCCATTTAACATTAGAACAGCTTATGAATTTCACAAACTTATGGGAATGTTTGGATGGAAGTATTAAGGAAAAACACAAATGATAGTCATTTTGGCTTTATGTAATTTGGACTCAAATCATGTTCAGTATTGAAATCCATTCTTGGCTTTGCTTTAATAGCAGAGATTTGACTTCTGACATTGTTGATCACAGCCATGGAAATAACCACGTGTATAACTGCCTACCCTAAGTAAGAGTTATTTTTGGGCCAAATGGAGGCGAGTAATTTTATTATTGTTCACCATTGGAGCTGGCATCTGGTGAAAATAGGTTTATGTTTGGGGTAGTGTTAGATGGAAATAATGCTTCTAAAATATCATTCTGAAGGATAATAAGAGTAGATAGTGTTCATAGGGCAAGTACCCTTGCTAACAACAGAACTGAATTCTGTGAGGTAGATCATGATATTCTCATTGATAGATGAGGAAACAAAGGCTCAGAGAAGTCAAGTGACTTATCTGAGGTTGTGCAGCTAGGTGAGTAGCAAAACCAAGATTCAAGTCTAAGTCTGTCTGATTGAGACCATGCCTGTTTCATTTTGTTGCTGTATTGTCCTTGAATCTTCATTTTCAAACTTGCATCCAAGTTGGAGATAGTGAATTATCATGGTAATTTGAATTGGGGATATGGAATTACCAAATTACTTGGTATTTGGCAAGTTATTTAACCTTTCTTAACCTATTTCCTCACATAGATAATACTGCCTGCCTCCTAGGATTATAATGAGGAATAAATAAGATGATGTATGTGAAAATACAGTTTGGAGGATAAAACCCTATACTAATATTTGGTGGCATTGTTATTAATGCTGTGATTATTACACATAAGAGCATTAATCTTTAACTACTAATTCTGCTTCCTGAGTATTTCTTTGCCATTATCCTTTTAACTAAGCTGCTTATCAGCTTTTAAAGTACCATAATGACTGCATTTCACTAAAAAGGAACATTATTTCTTTAAGTGTAGCAAAAAGTTCAGATGGTCTTTTGATTTCAATAAGGGTTTTAACTTAAAAACTGCATTTAGCTATTTAAAACTTTCTCCTATTTCCCTCTACTCCAGAAATTCTTATTTTGTTTACTTGAATTATATCTAAAGTTAAGCTTGGAACTTTATGATGGCTTGTTTTCGATGATTGATATTTAATGGTTATTTTCAGTACATTTGTTAGAACTTCTTTTGTTTTGAACCAAGCATTATATTCCCACAAAATGTTCAACACTGGAAAACTAGTTCCTCTGTGAAGGCAGGCTGGAGCTTGTGTTTAATATGGATTTTAGCTAGAGATTGACTGTATCAATTGTTTCCATATGCATATTGCTTTTTATATACAGAAGATGACTTTCCCCTTTCCTGAAATCCTTGATGCTTAGTGTGTAGTTTAAACCCTTGCCAAAAGACTGGTGCTGTTTTTTTTTCCACTAAGTAAAAACACGAGAGGATCAGGATGTTTCATCATGGTGAAGGAGTTCGTAGTAGCACTATAGAATTGCACTAAACTTTTAAAGCATGCTTTATTTTTATAACTAATATAAAAAATACTAGCTTCTATCAACATGGTAGATCATATGACAAAAATTTTTGAAGAGTCTGGAACTTACAGGGTATTAACTATCAAATAGAAAACTTGAATTTTTAAAATCATAAAACATCATTATCTTTGGCAATTTTTAATTTTTGGTTGGTGCTGGTAGAAATAATATATATATGTCTTTTTATGATAATCAGCTTTATGGTATGATTAAGTTTGATTCTAAAGCATAAATGTTTTGTTTTTATACTGCTATATTGGTCAAAAGCAAAATAATGTATCTTGTAAGCAGCCCCTTTCTAAACTAGCTGACATATTTCTTAAGCTAAAAAGTGTGTGCCATTCCCCCTCAGAGGCATTGTGGCTTCGGAGTTATATCTGGGTTTAAATTTCAACTCTAGAACTTTTTTTTGTTTGTTCTAAGCATTGGGCAGAAAGTTAAGATATTCATGTCCTGGTTCTTTTTCTTCTTCTCTAAAATGCATATGCATATGGTTATCTCTCAGTGCAATTGGGAGACTCAGATGAGCTAGTGTGTGAACATGGTTTTTAACTGAACAATATATAGTAGTTACAGTTGCTCATTGATGGTAATTTACATACAAAAAGATTGTAAGTACTTTTAAAAATTATTTTTTCTTGCCAAATTAAGCAGAACTGCTTTTTAAAAAATATATCTGGCCGGGCACAGTGGCTCACGCCTATAATCTCAGCACTTTGGGAGGCCGAGGTGGGCGGATCACAAGGTCAGGACATTGAGACCATCCTGGCCAACATGGTGAAACCCTGTCTCTACTAAAAATACAAAAATTAGCTGGGTGTGCGGCGCATGCCTGTAATCCCAGCTACTCGGGAGGCTGAGGCAGGAGAATCATTTGAACCAGGGAGTCGGAGGTTGCAGTGAGCCGAGATCGCGCCACTGTACTCCAGCTGGTGACAGAGTGAGACTCCGTCTCAAAAAAAAAAAATGTCTTCCACATAATAAAATTTTCAGTATGAGTGGTATATGTTTAAGAAACATCTTACAGTATAATTAATATAAACTTTATAATTCTGAATACAAGCAAGGATGGGTCTCTTTGGTGGTTAAACTGTTCTATACAGCAATGGCATGTATTGAACATTTTATGTAAAATATATATATTTCTACATTCTAAATGATACGGGTGTGTGTTTTTGTAGGTTTGCCTGAATCCATCATTGCAGCTGCATGTTCAAGAAGTGGCCGGAGAGTTCTGCATGTTGATTCGTAAGTTTATCAACGATAGCATTTAATATTTCCTAAATATCTCTATACAGGATTAAAATTTACATAAACACATATATGTCTGTACGTATGTACATGTATGTGTATATCATACATAAACTTAAGTTAGAAGAAAGATCGGAGTTGTTTAATTTTAACCACTAATATGTGAAATATATAGCATACAAGTTTTACTATTTTGTGAAATAGTGATCTTTGAGAATAAACCAAATGCATCATTTTATTTTTCTCATGAGTGATTTTGTTTAAAATAACAAGTAATTCTCCAAGAGGCTTGGAAACCTCATGCCTGCCCCTTTTCCTACATATGTGTGTGGGTATATACAACCTATATATGCTATTGTATTTTAGGCTTCATATTTGATGGTTGTAAAAGTCAGCCAATAGATTTTGAGCATTATTTTCTTAAACTTCATCAAAATTTAAACTTAGGAAGTCTTAACTAGGAAAAATATCTACAATTATGTTTTTCCCTTTTTTTCTTAAATGTGATGATAAGCAGGAGGTTGATGGAAAACTCAAGTTTAAGATAAAGCATAGGTTAAATCTCTCCATTTCTATATCCGCCCAAAACAAACCCCTAATCTCCCACCTATTAAGTGCTTTTGACTGTTAGATCTTGGCACTTTAATTCTTCATTGAATAGGAATAGAAAGAAGAAACACACTTTTTATTTTCTGTTAGATATTAACTACAGTGTTTTTCAGAATGCTACAATATAAAAAAAATTAGATTTGTCATAGCTTATAGTGTCTTCCCATATGTTATCTCATTGTAAATATGTAGGAATCCAAAAAGTAACATGAGTTAATCTTCTTTTAACCTGTTCTAAATTCATTTTGAAAGCATATTCTGTTATAATAGCTAAGATTTGGGAGCAACTGGATGAAATTTCTAAATTGGATTCAGTTTTCATACACGTCCTGCCTTTGTAATTTGCTTTTACTATTTCACTATTGTATGCACGACTGCTTGTGTTAATCTCTCAATTCAGTCTTTTTGACATATCATGGGTTTACATGTTAGAAAATCTGCTGCCTTGGGCCAGGTGTGGTGGCTCATGCCTGTAACCCAGCACTTTGGGAGGCTGAGGTGGGCGGATCACTTGAGGTCAGGAAGTCAGAAGTTTGAGACCAGCCTGGCCAACATGATGAAACTCCATCTCTACTAAAAATACAAAACTTAGCTGGGCGTGGTGGTGCATGCTTGTAATCCCAGCTTCTTGGGAGGCTGAGGCAGGAGAATTGCTTGAACTTGGTCCGGTGGTGGAGGTTGCAGTAAGCCGAGATTGCACTACTGCACTACAACCTGGGTGACAGAGAAAGACAGTCTCAAAAAAAAAAAAAAAAAAAAAAAAAAAAAAAAAAAAAGAAAATCTGCTACCTTGAAAGCCCAGGTACTGAGACAGTATACTTTAAAATATTAATTCAGATATGTTTTTCATGACCTTATTTAACCTAAAATTAAAAGTAAAATTCTTGCTTCTCATTTCTCAAAGGTAGAATGATAGTAAAAGTTATTGTTTGTTGAGCTTGCACTACGTGCTAGTCAACATATTAGTTTCTTTACACATGTTATGTAACTTAATTCTCATCACAGCCAAGTAAGGTAGGTGGTGTTATCCCAATTTGACAAATGGGGAATGTGGGACATAGAGACATTAAGTAATTTTTCGAAATTTACCTTCCTAACATGTATAATTTTAGTTTCAGATTTACTTTGTGTGTAGGTATGTGTTTTTTTTTTCTTTTTCTTTTCCTTTTTCTTTTTCTTTCTTTCTTTCTTTTTTTTTTTTTGACACAGGATCTCACTCTGTTGCCTAGACTATAGTACAGTGGCATGGTAATAGCTCACTGTAACCTCAAACTCCTGGGCTCAAGTTATCCTCCTGCCTCAGCCTCCTGGGTAACTAGGACTACAGGTGCATGCCGTTGCACCCAGCTAACTTTGAACATTTTCTTTAGAGATGGAATCTCGCTATGCTACCCAGGCTGGTCTTGAACTCTTGGCCTCAAACGATCCTCCCAAAATGCTGGGATTACAGGCATGAACTACCGTACCTGGCCTATTTTGTGTTTTCTTATTCCAGAACATGAGGTCTTCCCAGAATGAAGACTATTTTACAAATCAAATTGGGTTTACTCATATTCCAAAAATAAAGTTTGATTAAAAATATAAGAACCTAGGTCTTACTTTGACAAGCAGTGAATCAATTAGAAAAGCTTGATAATATGGTTGTCTTAAGACATTATAGTATAATAAAAATGGCATTTCAAAGTGACGAAACTTTTCTTCTTCTCTTGTACATCCTCAGACTTGGTGGCTTTTGAAAGTTTAGATACATCTAGGTATTGATTCTCCCACATCTTAAGCTTAGATTTGGGGCTTCTTTGGCACCATTATCTGAGGGTAGTGGTTGTCTGCATACTGATGATATCTCCTGATCTGAATCTGTTCTGAGCCCCAGTTTCATATAGCCTATCATCTGATATCTTCATCTAGATGTTCCACAGGCACCTTAACATGGCTAATATTAAGCCATGAATTCATCCTCCCCATTCTCACCTCAAAATGTACAGAACCCAAAAAACAGCATCCTGCTCCCAGTCTTTTGGAATGATAACACCGTCTACCCAGTTTCTCAACTTAACGAAACTTGTATACTTCTGTTGATTTTCTTGCTTTATCCTCCAGATTTATTCAGATGATTTTGATAATAATAGAACACATTTATTGATCTCTTCTAGGTACTATGATACATACTTTGAAAACATAATTTCACTTATATCCCCTAACTTTAATAGCTCTCCATATCTCTTTTTCTTTATGCCACTGTCATTTCCCTAGTTCAAACCTTTGTCATTTCTCAACTGAATGAGCTCATAACCTCCTGACTTTATCTCCAGCTCTCTAGTTTATTTATCACACTGCCACCAGTCACATCACTCTGCTGCATGAAATCCTTCAGTGTTTCTCTGCTGCCTATGTTAGTGATTTTCCAAGTTTAAAAGAAAGACTTAGTGAGGGAACCGAAACAACTTGAAAAGATGAAAGCAGAGCTGCTGTGGTTGAAATGAGTGGGTCTGGGTCAGTGTAGATATAACTGGATTTTAGGAGAAAGTCCAAATTTTCTGTATGTCATACAGTGCCATCTATGATGTGGCCTTGCTTAAAACACCTTCAGCCTCATCTCTTGCCACTTCAATCTTTAGGTGTAGACACCAGCAATGCTGAAATTTGCAGTAGCTGAACATATTGTAGTCTTTACTTCATCTTCCCACTTTTTGTCTGGGATTTACATAAGGTATCCCCTCAGCCTGGATTGCCTGTCTCTACCCCTCAGCCTGGCTAACTTCTATTTGTCTTTCAATGTTTAGCTTACATACCACCTCCTCAGGGAAGTCCCACTTCCTTAAACCCCACTGGCTATGTGTCACAACTATGCCCAGGTTTTTGTAATACTGTATAAGAGTGCCATGGCATTTATCATACTCTTAATCATTCACTTCCCTGTCTTCCCCACTACCCTTTAAGCCCTTACATCATAGGTCTTATTCATCTTTGTATCTCCAGCACCTAGCACAGTTGCTGGTATACATTAGATATTTGATGGGTGGATAAGTACTAATACATATTTGTGTGTATGATTTTTTTTTTTGTTAATGGTTAGTTTGGTGTTGTATAATCTTTATGTCACACACATTTTGGATAAATAGCCGTTGTTAGAGATGTAATCTGTGGCTAAAAATTAAAGTATGCAGTCAGTAACCTTGACTTTTAGTGTCATCAAGTTTTTAAACTATCACCATTCATTTTTATTGAGAATCTTTGTGCAAGGAATTGTGCTAGATGTTAAGAATGCAAAGATAAATAAAAATACACTGACTCACAATCTAGTAAGGGAAGTAAAGAAATAGACACACATGCTATGCTATTTGATGGAGGTATATATAAGGTGCTATAGGGGGACAACTAACTCAGTGAGAGGGCTTCCCATAGGAGTAGGTACCTTATCTAAGGTTCTAAGGACAGGTAGGATTTCATCGGATGAGATGTACTAGTAGGGGTTGGAGCTGGGAGTAACATTTTGGACAGATGGAGCAACATGTACAAAGATTTGAGAGATGAAAGAGAGTGACAAGTTTGGGAAACTACACGTAGTTGAGTATGACAGGTGCAGAGAATATACAATTAAGTACAGGTTGGGGTGGAAAGTTGAGGGTACAAAGGTAGGGCTCAGGTCAAAGAATTACTTTATCTTATAGATATTAAAGAGCTATTAAATGCTCTTAAGCAGAGGAATTAAATGATCAGATGTGTGTTTTAGTACTACACAGTAGATGGTTGGTTGGAGAAAGGTAGGCAGACTTGCTAGGTGGCTGTTTGCAATGGTCTAGTTTATGGATGATGAACTGAAGAAGCTATTGGCAATCAGAATGAATAAAAGGTAGAAGGATTTGAGGTTATAGCAAGAATTTTTGGTGGTGGATCAGATAAAGTAGGTGAGGGAATGGAAGGAATTACAGATGACACCAAAGATTCTGGTTTGAGCCGTTTGGTGGATGGTGGTGACAATTTCATTTACTTATGCAAGGAATTCAAGAGAATGTTCAGACTTAGGGATAGAACTGGGGAAGGGAAGATAATGTGTTCAGAATTGAAGATGTTGAGTTTGAGGTACCAGTGACATACCTTGGTGAAGAGATCCATTCACCTAGGGATGTGTATGTGTATGTGGGTATGTGTATAAGGAGCCTGAGTGGAAGATCTAGAGCTGGAGATAAGAGATTTGGGCATTATTTGTGAATAAATGGCTGTTAAAACCAAAGAAGTGAATAGAATCATCCTGAAAATGCATATAGTGAAACACAAAACAGGCAAGTATAGAAACCTGGGCAAGAGCAACTTTTAAGGCATGGGTAAAAGGAGAAAAGCCATCAAAGGAGATTGAAAGGAAACAATCAGAGGTTGAGAAGAAAAGCAGGAGGGTGTAGATTTTCATATATGGCGACTTCACTCCTTGAAAACCTTAGTGTCTCTCTACCCATAGAGGAGAAAGTCTGAAGGAAAGGAACATTTATGTAATGTTTTCCTGCTCTGGGCCAGGATTAAATATTTTATCATTTAAAATTCATTTTAGCATTTAAGACTCTTCATCAGGTTCAGTCTACTTCCCCAGCTCTATCTGTCATGTCTGCTTTACATGTAAAATTATACCATATATCTGTGTTCTGTGGACATGCCTTTATTTGCTTTTCTAAAAATAATTTTTTAAAAATTGTCATTTAAACATGCAAAGTTTACCATCATAACCATTTTTAAGCATAGAATTCAGCAGTGTTCAGTATGTTCACATTGTTGTGCAACAGATCTCCAGAGCTCTTTTGATCTTGCAGAACTGAAACTGTGTACCCATTCAACAATAATTCCCTATTTTCTACTGCTCTTCCAGCCACTAGCAACCACTACTCCACTTTCTGTCTATGATTTTGACTACTCTGGATGCCTCATTCATATAAGTGTACTTATGCAGCACTATATTTGTCTTTTTTGTGACTGGCTTATTTCACTTAGTACAGTGTCCTCAAGGCTTATCCATTTTGTTGCATACTGCAGGATTTCCTTCCTTTCTAGGCCTGGATAATATCCCACTGTGTGTGTATGCCACATTTTGTTTATCTCTTCATCTGTTGATAGATATTTGAGCTGCTTCCACTTCTTGGCTATTGTGAATAATGCTGCTATGAACATGGCTGTGCAAATGTTTTTTCAAGATCCTGATTTCTGTTTTTTTGGATAAATTAAAGTGGGATTGCTGGACCATATAGTAGTTCCACTCTTAATTTTTTAGGAAGTGCCATACTGTTTTGCATAGTGGCTATACTGTTTCACATTCCCACCAACTTCCTATTCTTTGGCTTTATTGGGAAGTTGTATGTGAGCTTTTAAGCCAGAGTGCCTGTGTTCAGATCTTGGTTTCTCCACTTACTAGGTGTGTAACCTTTGGCAAGTTATTTAATCTTTCTGTACCTTAGTTTCTTTATAAAAATGACATAATATTGGTACCAATGTTTGCAAAAGAAAAAAGGGCATAATAATATTTAATATCTAAGATTGTTGATGGGATTAAATCAACTAATCTATGTAATGGATTTATAACAGTGCTTCATAGTAAGCCCTCAGTAATGTTAGCATCTACTACTCTTAACAATGCTGTTTCTGCCACTACAGGTGAATAGCCCTTATCTGAAATGCTTGGGACCCGAAGTGCTTCGGATTTCATATATATATATATATACACATATATATACGTGTATATATATATATATATATATATATATATATACGTATATACACATATATATACGTATATATATGTGTATATATATGTGTGTATATATATGTGTATATATATGTGTGTATATATGTGTATATATATGTGTGTGTATATATGTGTAAATATATATATATACACACATCTGGGATTCAGATGTATATATACACACATATATCTCTGATAGATAATGATATATATCTCTGATATATAAGATATATATATCAGATGTATGTATCTATCATATATATCAGATATATATGATAAATATATATAAATATGATATATATGATGTATCACATATCAGAGATATATATAAGAGCATCTACTGCTCTTATATATTTAAATGCTGCTTCTGCCGCTACAGGTGAATGAATAGCCCTTATCTGAAATGCTTGGGACCAGAAGTGTTTCGGATATCGGAGATATATATCAGATGTATATATCAGATGTATATATCGGAGATATATATCATATGTATTTCATATATATCGGAGATATATATCAGATGTATATCATATATAAATTTTTGTAATATTTGCAATATATAGTAATATTTGTAATATATATTTGTAATATGTATATTTTGTAATGTTTGCAATATATATAGTAATATTTGCTATGTATATATATATATATGTAATATTTGCAGTATACTTACTAGCTGCATGTCTCTAATCTGAAAATCTGAAATGCTCCAAGGAGCATTTCTTTTGAGCATCATATTGGCACTCAAAAGGTTTTAGATTTTGAAGCATTTCAGATTTCGGATTTTCTAATTTGAGATGCTCAACAGGTACTAATACTACTGCTACTATTAGATAAGAATAGTAGGAAGCCAGATTAAAGGCGTGACTAATTATGCCTGTGAGATTTGTGGAAAGCTTCACAGAGGTGACATTTCAGCTGAGTCTTGAAAGATGATTGGGATTTAATGAGGAATTGGAGCATTTCAGAAAGAGGGAACATACTGAAAGAGCGTGGGATGCTAGGTGAATGGTGAGAATTTTAGTAGGACTGGAAGGTAAGCTAAGTGAATTGGGTTCATGAGAGTTGAAATTAGAAGAATTAAACTGGAATCATTCTGAGGACCTTGTATGCTGAGGTAGGAAGTACTGATTTTTGTCTTTAATAATTATCTTTAATCTCATCTGTCTTTCCTTCAAACTCATATTTCATGCTTCAGCATATCCTGTCACCTCTACTTCCAAAAACAGTTTAAATCTGTTTTCTCTGTCTCCACTCTTCCTCACCGTCATTGCCATTGGACTACTCTGATAACCTCCTTATTGATCTTTCTGTTTCTACTACTACCCCAATTTTTGGCCTTTTCCCCATTTCTAACTGCATCATTTATATTCTCTTTCTTGCTTACTATACTGTGCTATTGCTGTAACTATGCACTCATTTTTTATTTTATTTTTTTAGGCTAGTCAAGTGAAGCAGTGGGAGTTGAAAAGGAGAAGGAACAAATAAATCTGTAACTGATTATGATCAATTAGTTGTAAATACCACTGCACTTGGACCAGCCTCTGGACATTTTTTCATTGTTAATATTATTTATGCCTCTTCTCTGTTTCTTTCTCCTTGATCTCTCTTGCCAGATATTTGTTTGTTTTATTAGACTTTTCAAATAACCAGCTTTAGCTTTGTTGACTCCTTCAGTGTTATCTTTAATATGTACTTTTATCTTTATTTCCTTTCTTTGGCTTGGAATCCCTCTTGTGCTTTTTCTAACTTTTTGAATTAAATTCTTAGCTCTTTATTTTTAAGCCTTCTTTTTTGCTTAATATAATCATTTATGACTATATGGTTTCCCTTAAGGACCACATTAGTTCTCTCCCATGAGTTCTATGTATTTTCTAATAGCTGTTATGATTTCTTCTTTGCTCTATTGGTTATTTAGAGGTTATTGTTTTAAATTTCGAAATATATTTTTAAATTTCAACATCTTTATTGACTTTTAAATTCCAACACTCATGACAGAACATGCAAATGACACAAAGTAAAAAAGTTCAAGTGTGCCTCCTCTTCCTGCCTGCACCCCACCCACTCTGTCCCCTGTCCCACCTCCCAGAAGCAGCTACTGTTACCTTTTATACATTCTCCAGAGACGTAAGTTACAGAAAAATATGTATTTATAATGTGTATGTTAGATTTGGTATAGAAAAATTATAAGATACTGAGCAGTTAACATCAAGGATCTCTCATGTTGCCTTTTTATAACTGTATCTACCTCCCTCCTCTGCCACTCCCCTGCCTTCAGTTCCTAACCCCAGTGACCACTAGTCTGTTTTTCATCTCTATTATTTTGTCATTTCATGTATAGAACTGTACAGTTTGTAAACTTTTGGCATTGGCCTTTTTCACTCAGCCTGTTTCCCCAGAGATCCATCCAGGTTGTTGCATGTATCAGTAGTTCATTTATTTTTATTGCTGAATGATATTTCCTATTATGTATGTATCACAGTTTGTATAAGTATTCCTCTGTTGAAGGGTACCTGGAGTGATTCTATTTTTTGGTTATTACAGATAAAATTGCTATGGGAACATTTATATAGTTGTTTTGGTGTGTGTGAATGTAAGTTTTTATTTCTCTGGGATAAATTTCTAGGAGTACAATTGCTGGGTCATATGGTAATTATATATATTTAGCTTTTTAAGAAATTGCCAAGCTATTTTGCAGAGTTCCTATACTATTTCCCATTAACAGTGTATGAGTGATCCAATTCCTCTGCATCTTTGCCAGAATTTGATGTTGTCACCTTTTTTTGTATTTTTGGTAATTCTGATAGGTGTGTAGTGATATCTCCTTATTTTAATTCACATTTTCTTACTGGCTAATGATCTTGAACATTTTTCACGTGGTTATTTGCCATCTGTATATCTTTTATGATAAAATGTCTTAATGTATTTTGACTGTTTTCTAATTGGATTGTTTGTTTTACTGTTGGGTTTTGAGTTCTTTATGCCTTCTAACCAAATACATTTTTAACTTTAGTTTTTCTTTTCATAAATGGTTTCCAATTTAATTACACTATTGTCAGAGAATGAGCTCTGCATGACATCAATTATTTGGCATTTTTTAGAATTGCTTCATGGTTTGGAAGTATATGGCTTCATGTGGCTTGTTGTGTTTTCTCTAATTGTTAGAGCTTTATATGTTAGATCAAATTTGTTAATGTTATTGTTTGAAATTTATGTTATCTATTAATTGAAGAGTATATTAAAATCTCCTATCCTGATTGTGGAATTCTTATTTTTCCTTGCAATTCCAATTTTTGCTTTATATGTTCTGAGTATAGATAGGGGCATACAGGTTTAGAATTGTGATATCCTTGTGTAATTACTCCATTTGCCTAGATTTTTTCTTTTTTCTAGCTTTTTCGTAGCTTTTTTCTTTAAAGACTATTTTGTGTGATGTTAATGTAATGACATTAGGTTTCCTTGTTGTATTAGTCTGTTTTCACACTGCTGATAAAGACATACCTGAGACTGGGAAGAAAAAGAGGTTTAATTGGACTTACAGTTCCGCATGGCAGGGGAAGCCTCAGAATCATGGCGGGAGGCAAAATGCACTTCTTATATGGTGGCAGCAGGAGAAAATGAGGAAGATGCAAAAGTGGAAACGCCTGCTAAAACCATCAGATCTCGTGAGACTTATTCACTACCATGAGAACAGTATGGGGGAAACCATCCCCATAATTCAAATTATTTCCCACTGGGTCCCTCCCACAACATATAGGAATTATGGGAATACAATTCAAGATGAGATTTGGGTGGGGACACAGAGCCAAACCATATCATTCCGCCCTTGGCCCCTCCAAATCTCATGTCTTCCCATTTCAAAAGCAGTCATGCCTTCCCAACAGTCTCCCAAAGTCTTAACTCATTTCAGCATTAATCCAAAAGTCCACAGTGCAAAGTCTCATCTGAGACAAGGCAAGTCCCTTCTACCTATGAGCCTGTAAAATCAAAAGCAAGCTAGTTACTTCCTAGATACAATAGGGGTACAGGTATTGTGTAAATAAAGCCATTCCAAATGGGAGAAATGTGCCATAGCAAAATGGCTATAGGGCCCATGCAAGTCCGAAATCTAGTGGAGCAGTCAAATTTTAAAGCTCCAGAATGATCTCCTTTGACTCCAGGTCCTTTGACATCCAGGTCACCCTGATGCAAGAGTTGGGTTTCCATGGTCTTGGGCAGCTCCGCCCCTGTAACTCTGCAGGGTACAGCCTCCCTCCTGGCTGCTTTTATGAGCTGGTGTTGAGTGTCTGCAGCTTTTCCAGGTGAACGTGCAAGCTGTCCGTGGATCTACCATTCTAGGGTCTGGAGGACAGTGGCCCTCTTCTCACAGCTCCACTAGGCAGTACCCCAGTAGGGACTCTGTGTGGGGGCTCTGACCCCACATTTCCCCTCTGCACTGCCCTAGCAGAGGTTCTCCATGAGCACCCCGCCCCTGCAGAAAACTTCTGTCTGGGTATCCCGGCATTTCCATACATCCTCTGAAATATAGGTGGAGGTTCCTAAACCCCAATTTTTGACTTCTGTACACTTGCAGGCTCAGCAACATGTGGAAGCTGCCAAGGCTTTGGGCTTGCACCCTCTGAAGCCACGGCCTGAGCTTTACATTGGCCCCTTTCAGCCAAGGCTGGAGCTGCTGGGGCTCAGGGCACCAAGCCCCTAGGCTGCATACAGCTGGGGGATCCCCGGCTTGGCCCAAGAAACCATTTTCTCCTAGGCCTGCAGGCCTGTGATGGGTGGGGCTGCTGTGAAGACTTCCTACATGCCCTGGAGACATTTTCCCCATTGTCTTGGGGATTAACATTGGGCTCCTAGTTACTTATGCAAATTCCTGCAGCTGGCTTGAGTTTTTCTTCAGAATTTTTTTTTTTCTATCACATTGTCAGGCTGCAAATTTTCTGAACTTTTATGCCCTGCTTCCCTTATAAAACTGAATGCCTTTAACGGCACGTGAGTCACCTTTTTTTTAATTTTTATTTTTTGAGACAAAGGCTCACTGTGTCTCCTAGGCCAGAGTGCAGTGGTGCGATCTCGGCTCACTGCAAACTCTGCCTCTCGGGTTCAAGTGGTTCTTGTGCCTTAGCCTCCTGAGTAGATAGGATTAGAGGTGCCCGCCACCATGCCTGGCCAATTTTTGTATTTTCAGTAGAGACGGGGTTTCACCATGTTGGCCAGGCTGGCCTCAAACTCCTGACCTGAGGTGATCCACCTGCCTTGGCCTCCCAAAGTGCTGGGATTACAGGCGTGAGCCACCCCGCCCGGCCCCAAGTCACCTCTTGAATGCTTTGCCGCTTAGACATTTCTTCTTCCAGATACCCTAAATCATGTTTCTCAAGTTCAAAGTTCCACAGATCTCTAGGGCATGGGCAAAATGCCACCAGTCTCTTTGCTAAAACATAACAAGAGTCACTTTTGTTCCAGTTCCCAACAAGTTCCTCATCTCCATCTGAGGCCACCTCCGCCCAGACCTTATTGTCCATATCACTATCAGGCTTTTGATCAAAGTCATTCAACAAATCTCTAAGAAGTTCCAAACTTTCCCACATTTTCCTGTCTTTTTCTGAGCCCTCCAAACTGTTCCAACCTCTGCCTGTTACCCTGTTCCAAAGTCACTTCCACATTTTCGAGTATCTTTCAGCAACACCCCACTCTACTGGTACCAATTTACTGTATCGGTCTGTTTTCACGCTACTGATAAAGTCATACCCGAGATTGAGATGAAAAAGATGTTTAATTGGACTTACAGTTCCACATGGCTGGGGAGGCCTCAAAATCATGGTGGGAGGTGAAAGGCACTTCTTACATGGCAGCAGCAAGAGAAAATGAGGAAGATACAAAAGCGGAAACCCCTGATAAAACCATCAGATCTTGTGAGATTATTCACTATCACAAGGACAGCACGGGTAAAACCCGCCCCCATGATTCAGTTACCTCCCACCGGGTCCCTCCCACAACACATGGGAATTCAAGATGAGATTTGAGTGGGGACACTGTCAAACCACATCAGAGTGACACATGAAGAAGTTTCTATTCCTTTAGAATAAAAAAAAAAATAACTTTTTCATGTATATATTGAAACTGAACTTCTAAGCTAATCAAAGTGTTTTCTCAAGCAATGCAAGGCCCACCCCTCTCATGTTTTTTGTTATGTAGCATTTTGGTGACACTTTGACTTTATAATCCTTATTTTTTTAATCCTTATTGTTATTATGTTTGATTTTGTAAGTCAATGCTTATCTAGATTTGCCTTTTTGTACCAGTTTCTTTGCTTGCTCTTCATTCTGGCACTAATGTCCTGCTTCCTGAAGTTCTTTCACCCTGAGTCTGTTGTTTCACACTCTGTCTTTGTGATCCGCCCGCCTTGGCCACACAAAGTGCTGCAATTACAGGTGTGAGCCACCGTGCCTGGCCTATTTCATTGTTTTAAAACATGTAAAGCATACTTGTTATATAGTGATGCAGGATTTTTCTTGGCCACTTTGCCAACCAGAGACCTCCACAGCCGGGGACACCCCCACTGCCTGGGCCTCGCCTGGTCCTGGCAGTGTCTTGATTTCACCTTCAGTTTCAAATTACAGTTTAGTTAGTTCTGTAATTCATAGTGTTTTCCATCAGCACTTTGTCCTCTGGCTTCTTTTATTGCTTTTGAGAAGTCTGCTGTTAGTCTGTCATTCTTTTGTAGATGAATTCTCTTTTCCTTCTGGTAACTTTAACATTCTCTTGTTTGTGTTTATAGTCAGGCAGTCTTGCTCTTAGCTGTCTAGATTTGGGCTTTGTTTTTATTTATCCTGCTCAGGACTTGTTTTGCCACTTGAAATCAGATATTTTATGCCTTTTATTGGGAGGAAAGTGCCGATATAGTTTTTTTAATGTTGCCTGTCTCTTATTCTTCCTTTTGGAAATTCTTAGAAATATATTGGATCTTCTCATTCTTTTATTCCTCATAACATCTCTTTCCCATTTCTTGTCTTTTTCTTTTCGATGCTGTATTCTGAGTAATTTCCTCAGCTTTATCTTCTGGTTTTGAGTTTGCAAACTATGGCCCACTGGCCACTTGGTTTTGTAAGTAAAATCTTATTGGAACGCATATTTACACATTAACTATGGCAGGTTTCACACTACAAAGGCAGAATTCAGTAACTGCAACAGAGGCTGTGTGGCCTGCAAAGCCTAAAATATTTACTCTCTGGCCCTTTATAAACATTGCTTGCAGACCTCTTTGCCGGTTCTCCCCTTCTTCCTTAAGATGTGTCTGATTTTAACTTAGCTATCATTTTTATCTCAATGGCTTCTAGAAGTTCTGTTTGGTTATGTTTTTTAAAGCTGTCATGTTCTTTGTGTTTCAATTTATTACATTGTTTTTCTTTTCTTTTTTTTTTTTGAGACGAAGTCTTGTTCCATTGCCAGGCTGGAGTGCAGTGGCACAATCTCGGCTCACTGCAACCTCTGCCTCCCGGGTTCAGGCAGTTCTCCTGCCTCAGCCTCCCGAGTAGCTGGGACTACAGGCACATGCCACCATGCCTAGCTAATTTTTGTATTTTTAGTAGAGACGGGGTTTCAAAACATCTTGGCCAGGGTGGTCTCAAAACTCCTGACCTCATGATCCGCCTGTCTCGGCCACCCAAATTGCTGGGATTACAGGCATGAGCCACCGTCCCTGGCCTATTTCATTGTTTTAAAACATGTAAAGCATACTTGTTTTATAGTGACGCAGGATTTTTCTTGGCCACTTTGCCAACCAGGGACCTCCACAGCCAGCAACATCCCCACGCCTGGACCTCACCTGGTCCTGGGCCTTCCACTGGAGGTGACCCGCCCACTCAGCCTGTGTTGCAGATTGTACTCGAGTTTGGTGGTTCCCCGAGCTCTTTTCCTGTGTTCAGGAAGAATGAGGATACACTGACAATTAGAAGGGTCTGGATGGGCAGAGAAGAATTTTATTGAGCGATGGAAGAGGAAAGGGGACTCCAGGTGGTTTCTCTCTCTCTGTCAGTATGGCTGTGTCCGGGGTTTTTTATGGGCTCAGAATAGGGGAGTGTGTGCTGATTGCTGA
Organism: Homo sapiens; assembly: GCF_000001405.40. Taxonomy (NCBI): domain Eukaryota; kingdom Metazoa; phylum Chordata; class Mammalia; order Primates; family Hominidae; genus Homo; species Homo sapiens. The sequence goes on along the minus strand of NC_000023.11, from coordinate 86,013,061 downwards.
GTATGCAAAGAAAGGCTAAAGCAAAGGCACCACTCAAAGTTGGGCATAGCAGTGTAGAAAAGCAATTAGGAAAGGGTAGATATAAGTAAAATAGGTGAAGGGTGGGGATCAGTCAGAGAAAGCATGCCAGACAGGAACACAGGTTTTCAATCCGATCTGTGGATTTGACTTCTAGCTTGGCTTTCAGGCTTTAAACTGTCTTCAGCTTGGAGGTGGGGTTTCACTGTAGACCTGCCACTGTCTGCCTAGGCCTTTGTCTGCCTCCTGCCACTATCAGTAGCCTCTTTCACATATTTCTATTATATTGCCAGGTGAGGTATCAGAGCCCTGGCACTGGGAAGTGGTCAACTTCTGGGTTGGTAAAAAGAATTTGCCAACAACAGTATAGGTTTGAAAAAGGAGTTTATTAGGAAGAACTCTGCAAAAGGTTCCAGCGGGGTGCCTCAATGAGAGGACTGAGCATTCAGCCTTGGCTTTTTCCTTAGGGCTATTTATGGACCTTAAAGTGGGAGCTTAGGGTTGTAAAATGAGTTTCAACATGGCATTCCAGAGATGTATAGAAATTTTAGTTACTTATAAAAGTTGAAAGAGGCCTGGAATCAGATGTCAACTTTATATACCAGGGAAGTTTAATTATTTCTAAATTCCCTAGATAAGGAGTTTATCCTCCAAATGGCCTGTTTGATGGCCACCAGGTGGTCTTTGCTCCCTTTTAAATTCCTCAGATAATGAGTTTTTGTCTCCAGGGCCTGTTCAATTGCCACCAGGCGATTTTCACTTTCCTCATATATAATGTTTTTGGAGGGTTTAATATGATTTGTTATTTTCTCTCCAGCTTTAGGGTCAGTATTTTTCCTTCCTTTTCCCCCTGAAATGTTGAATTTTGAATTTCTCTTAAGTGGCACTTTGCCTGGAGGATCCCTATGTTTCTGCCGAGTGGTTTTGCATTTCCTTTTGCCTCATCACTTACTGCTATTACTAGTGGTCTTAGTTTCCTATTACTGCTGTTATAAATTACCACAATTGTAGTGGCTAAAACCAATACAGACTTATTCTTTTACAGTTCTGTAGGTCAGAAGTTCAAAATGAGTCTTACGGGGACGAAGTCAAGGTGTAGGCGGTGCTGCATTAGTTTTGGAGGTTCCAGGGGAAAATCGGTTTCCTTATCTTTTCCAGTTTCTAGAGGTCACCTGAATCCTTTGGCTCATGGCCCTTCCTCCAACTTCAGAGTGCATCACTTCAGACTCTGCTTCTCATTCCATCTCCTTCTTCTGCCTTTGAATTTTTTGCCTCCCCATTTTAAGGAACTTTGTGATTACATTAGGGCCTACCTGGATAATCCAGGATAATCTTCCCGTGTGAAGATCCTTAATTGCATTAACAAAATCCTTTTTGCCATATAAGATAATATATTCATAGCTTCTGGGTATTAGGACTTGAGCATCTTTGGGGAGCCATTGTCTACCACCTTGGGCCAAAGCAATGTTTGTGTTTATTTCTAGAATTGAGGGTTCCTGTTGTATGTGAGTAGTATAAATTAGAGCACTATATTTACTTGTGCTCCAAGTTTACAGTTATATATGCTTCTCAGGAAAATTTCCCCTCCTTCTACAGTCATGCTTCAGCAGCATGACACCATGCACCTTGCTGTCTGAATATATATTCTCTCATACCTTTATGCCTTTTTTATGCTGGTCCCCATTGTACGTGAACAATTCTTTCTCCTCCTTCAGGACCCATCTAAAATACTGCTTTCTAGTGATGGCTTATTTGATAATCCCGGTAGTATCAATTTTTCTCTTTGTGCTTTCAAGTACCATGCATGTTTTTGTAATATAACATTTTTCATACTGTATTATTGTTTATAGATCTGTTGGCCCTATTAGACTCTTAAAGATGGGGGATCATGTCTTATATGTCTATATATCCTCAGTGCCTAAGAGTGCCTGGAATATAACAATCCCTCAATAAACCTTTGATAAATGAATAAAGTTTAAGAATATGTATATGTGCCAAGCCACTGTGCTGTTGGTAGTAATTTACAATTGCCTAGTACAGTTGCCTAGTATAAAGGAAGCATTGATCCCTTGCTGATCATCTGTAGATTTATAAATTTATGGTAGTTCAGATGGAAGTCATCTGTTGATGAGAAAGTTGAGGTGAGCCCAGTGTCAAATGGACAGATCACAGCAGGACTGGTGCCAAAACTAAGATCTTCTTGTTCCTATTCCAGCATTCTTTGAAATATACCACACTAACTTTGCTGTTGATGATTTGTATTACTCTAATTATAATTTATAGACAAAATACATCATCACCTTATATTTTTGGATATTCCTCAATTAAGTTCTGCTTTTGAATAGGCTAGAAGCATGCTTCTAAGAAACTGTAGTCGTATTCTGGCACTTGGTGGGGTGGTGGTGGAATATAAAGCCACAGGATAAACACTGGAGCATCTGCCTGGTATATACGTTTTATTAAATTGAAAACATTAAAGTTTTTATTGGTCTAAGTTTAGACTTACAGAAAAGTTGTGAAATTGGTATAGATAGTTTTTGAATATATTTAATTTTACTTTCCCTAATGCTAATATCTTATATATCCATAGTATAATTATAAAAACTCAGGAATTAATATTGGTAGAATACTATTAACTACAGACCTTATTTGAATTTCACCAATTTTTTTCTTTCTTTTTTTTTTTTTTAATTATCCTTTAAGTTCTAGGGTACATGTGCGCAACATGCAGGTTTGTTACATAGGTATACATGTGCCATGTTGGTTTGCTGCACCCATCAACTCATCATTTACATTAGGTATTTCTCCTAACACTATCCCTCCTCCAGCCCCCCCCACCCCCCTACCCCCCCACCCCTCTACAGGCCCCGGTGTGTGATGTTCCCCTCCCTGTGTCCATGTGTTCTCATTGTTCAACTCCCACTTATGAGTGAGAACATGCAGTGTTTGGTTTTCTGTCCTTATAATAGTTTGCTGAGAATGATGGTTTCCAGCTTCATCCATGTCCCTGCAAAGGAAATGAACTCATCCTTTTTATGGCTGCATAGTATTCCATGTTGTATATGTGCCACATTTTCTTTATCCAGTCTATCATTGATGGACTTTAAAATTATTATTATTGATGGATTTTTAAAAAAATGTTATTCTGTTCCAGGATCTGGTCCAGGATACTACCTTGCATTTAGTTGTTAATAGTCTCAGATCATCTTCCCCATGATACACTGTGGTGTTTTCCTATGCTGATATTTTTCTTGCTCTTGCTATAGAATCAACCACTTACCTCTATGAAAGAGGTTTACATTAGGTATTTCTACAAGAGCCTTGCCTCTATGTATTTGAGAGTGATATTTAGAAACCAAGATCTGAAACACTAAAAACCATAAATCTGTGTTGATACTTTCAATTAAATAGAATACATTTAAGAATATTATTTAAAACATGGATATACAGTGGAATAAGATGCAAAATATACCAGATTTTTTTGTTAGGATGACCCATGAAAATTAAACATTTTGTGTTTATATAGGACGACTGTAAGCTCTCTCCTGGCTTCCCCTAGCATAAGCTTTCCCTTAAGCCATGAGAGCTGCTTTGAAGGAAATGTTGGAAGCCTTGTGTTAGTGTACACTTTGTCTGCTCTGAGATGGTTGGCACATAGTAGGTACTCAGTAAATACTTTCTGGATGTATGACTCAATATAATAGTATATGACTGGTGGGACCAGAAACTTACATTGTTCCATGATCATGGTCAGAATTTGTAACCCTGGCCATCTTGCCAGATGTATATCATTGACCATATGGGAGATTCAATAAATAAATTAACCCTTTCAATTCACCATCACATCTAGAACAACAGCAGTTAGCACATATCCTGGCATCATCTTGTCATATGAAGGACCTTCCTTACCTTTGTTACTTGGCAGAGCACCATATGAGGGTAGACACTTCACAAATGCTATTTGGTAATAGGGTAGTGTTGAAGAAAGCTTACTGTTCATTTCTATGAGGATTAGTATATGAAAGTTTTCACAGAACTCGTTTGATTTGCTTTTCACCTTTTCAATTTTTAAAGATTTTTCCATTCATGGAGAATGAATGCTACTTGATATTTTCTTTAATATTTTAAAACAATCTAAACTATAAAAATAGTACAATAAGGACTATGTTCTGAAAGGGTTGGCAAACTGTGGCCCACAGTACAGTTGCTTTTGTGAATAAAGTTTTTCGGAAAACAGACATGTCCATTCATTTTTGTATTGCCTCTGTCTGCTTTTGTTAGACAATGGCAGTGTTGACTAGTTCCAACAGAGACCATATGGCTTAAAATATTTACTATCTCATCCTTTATGGAAAATGTTTGCTGACCCTCCACTAGAAAATTTTTTTAGCCCATATAAACGCATATATTGTATATTTAACTGTACAATAGCTGTTTATTAAGGGAAGACAGCGAAGTAAGGATCAGAGAATAATTAAATAATGATTCATATTTTAAAATTTATTAAAATACTACTTTTAAAGTTTATTGCAAAATAATACATGTATACAAGATCATGAAGACAACAATAAAAAGCATACTGCTATCACTTTTTAAAATATAGGTGCCATGAACATGTGTCATGGCAGTTTTTTTTATTATACTTTAAGTTCTAGGGTACATGTACACAACGTGCAGGTTTGATACATAGGGTATACATGTGCCATGTTGGTGTGCTGCCCCCATCAACTCATCATTTACATTAGGTATTTCTCCTAATGCTATTCTTCCCCCAGCCCCCCACCTGCCGACAGGCCCCGGTGTGTGATATTCCTCGCCCTGTGTCCAAGTGATCTCATTGTTCAGTTCCCACCTATGAGTGAGAACATGTCATGTTTGGTTTTCTGTCCTTGTGATAGTTTGCTGAGAATGATGGTTTCCAGCTTCATCTATGTCCCTACAAAGGACATGAACTCATCCTTTTTTATGGCTGCATAGTATTCCATGGTGTATATGTGCCACATTTTCTTAATCCAGTCTGTCATTGTTGGACATTTGGGTGGGTTCCAAGTCTTTGCTATTGTGAATAGTGCCACAATAAACATACGTGTGCATGTGTCTTTATAGTAGCATGATTTATAATCCTTTGGGTATATACCCAGTAATGGGATGGCTGGGTCAAATGGTATTTCTAGTTCTAGATCCCTGAGGAATTGCCACACCAACTTCCACAATGGTTGAACTAGTTTATACTCCCATCAACTGTGTAAAAGCGTTCCTGTTTCTCCACATCCTCTCCAGCTTCTGTTGTTTCCTGACTTTTTAATGATTGCCATTCTAACTGGTATGAGTTGGTACCTCATTGTGGTTTTGATTTGTATTTCTCAGATGACCAGTGATGATGAGCATTTTTTCATGTATTTATTGGCTGCATAGATGTCTTCTTTTGAGAAGTGTCTACTAATATCCTTTGCCCACTTTTTGATGGGGTTGTTTTTTTCTTGTAAATCTGTTTGAGTTCTTTGTAGATTCTGGATATTAGCCCTTTGTCAGATGGGTAGATTGCAAAAATTTTCTCCCATTCTGTAGGTTGCCTGTTCACTCTGATGGTAGTTTCTTTTGCTGTGCAGAAGCTCTTTAGTTTAATTAGATCCCATTTGTCAATTTTGGCTTTTGTTGCCATTGCTTTTGGTGTTTTAGACATGAAGTCCTTGCCCATGCCTATGTCTTGAATGGTATTGCCTAGGTTTTCTTTTAGGGTTTTTATGGTTTTAGGTCTAACATGTAAGTCTTTAATCCATCTTGAATTAATTTTTGTATAAGGCGTAAGGAAGGGATCCAGTTTCAGCTTTCTCCATATGGCTATCCAGTTTTCCCAGCACCATTTATTAAATAGGGAATGCTTTCCCCATTTCTTGTTTTTGTCAGGTTTATCAAAGATCAGATAGTTGTAGATATGTGGCATTATTTCTGAGGGCTCTGTTCTGTTCCATTGGTTTATATCTCTGTTTTGGTACCAGTGCCATGCTGTTTTGGTTACTGTAGCCTTGTAGTATAGTTTGAAGTCAGGTAGCGTGATGCCTCCAGGTTTGTTCTTTTGGCTTAGGATTGACTTGGCAAAGTGGGCTCTTTTTTGGTTCCATATGAACTTTAAAGTACTTTTTTCCAATTCTGTGAAGAAAGTCATTGGTAGCTTGATGGGGATGGCATTGAATCTATAAATTACCTTGGGCAGTATGGCCATTTTTATGATATTGATTATTCCTATCCATGCGAATGGAATGTTCTTCCATTTGTTTGTGTCCTCTTTTATTTCCTTGAGCAGTGGTTTGTTGTTCTCTTTGAAGAGGTCTTTCACATCCCTTGTAAGTTGTATTCCTAGGTATTTTATTCTCTTTGTAGCAATTATGAATGGGAGTTCACTCATGATTTGGCTCTCTGTCTGTTATTGGTGTATAGGAATGCTTGTGATTTTTGCACATTGATTTTGTATCCTGAGACTTTGCTGAAGTTGCTTATCAGCTTAAGGAGATTTTGGGCTGAGAAGATGGGGTTTTCTAAATATACAATCACATCATCTGCAAACAGGGACAATTTGACTTCTTCTTTTCCTAATTAAATACCCTTTATTTCTTTCACTTACCTGATTGCCCTGACCAGAACATCCAGCACTGTGTTGAATAGGCATGGTGAGAGAGGGCATCTTTGTCTTGTGCCTGTTTTCAAAGGGAATGCTTCCAGTTTGTGCCCGTTCAGTATGACACTGGCTGTGGGTTTGTCATAAATAGCTCTTATTATTTTGAGATCGTTCCATCAATACCTAGTTTATTGAGAGTTTTTAGCATGAAGGGCTGTTAAATTTTGTCAAAGGCCTTTTCTGCACCTCTTGAGATAATCATGTGGTTTTTGTCGTTGGTCCTGTTTATATGCTGGATTACATTTATTGATTTGCGTATGTTGAACCAGCCTTGCATCCCAGGAATGAAGCCGACCTGATCGTGGTGGATAAGCTTTTTGATGTGCTGGTGTATTCGGTTTCCCAGTATTTTATTGAGGATTTTTTCATCGATGTTCATCAGGGATATTGGTTTAATATTCTCTTTTCTTGTTGTGTCTCTGCCAGGCTTTGGTATCAGGATGATGTTGGCCTCACAAAATGAGTTAGGGAGGATTCCATCTTTTTCTATTGATTGGAATAGTTTCAGAAGGATTGCTACCAGCTCCTCTTTGTACCTCTGGTAGAATTCGGCTGTGAATCCATCTGGTCCTGGACATTTTTTGGTTGGTAGACTATTAATTATTGCCTCAATTTCAGAGCCTGTTATTGGTCTATTCAGAGATTCAACTTCTTCCCGGTTTAGTCTTGAGAGAGTGTATGTGTCGAGGAATTTATCCATTTCTTCTAGATTTTCTAATTTATTTGCGTAGAGGTGTTTATAGTATTCTCTGAAGGTAGTTTGTATTTCTCTGGGATTGGTGGTGATATCCCCTTTATCAGTTTTTATTGCGTCTATTTGATTCTTCTTTCTTCTTCTTTATTAGTCTTTCTAGCTCTCTATCAATTTTGTTGATCTTTTCAAAAAACCAGCCCCTGGATTCATTGATTTTTTTGAAGGGTTTTTTGTGGATCTGTCTCTTTCAGTTCTGCTCTGATCTCAGTTATTTCTTGCCTTCTGCTAGCTTTCGAACATGTTTGCTCTTGCTTCTCTAGTTATTTAAATTGTGATGTTAGGGTGTCAATTTTAGATCTTTCCTGCTTTCTCTTGTGGGCATTTAGTGCTATAAATTTCCTTCTGCACACTGCTTTGAATGTGTCCCAGAGATTCTGGTATGTTGTGTCTTTGTTCTCATTGGTTTCAAAGAACATGTTTGTTTCTGCCTTCATTTTGTTATGTACCCAGTAGTCATTCAGGAGCAAGTTGTTCAGTTTCCATGTGGTTATGCAGTTTTGAGTGAGTTTTTAAATCCTGAGTCCTAGTTTGATTGCACTGTGGTCTGAGAGACAGTTTGTTGTGATTTCTGTTCTTTTACATTTGCTGAGGAGTGCTTTACTTCCAATTATGTGGTCAATTTTGGAATAAGTGCGATGTGATGCTGAGAAGAATGTATATTCTGTTGACTTTGGGTGGAGAGTTCTTTAGATGTCTATTAGGTCTCCTTGATGCGGAGCTGAGTTCAATTCCTGGATATCCTTGTTAACCTTCTGTCTCGTTGATCTGTCTAATGTTGACAGTGGGGTGTTAAAGTCTCCCATTATTATTGTGTGGGAGTCTAAGTCTCTTTGTAGGTCTCTAAGGACTTGCTTTATACATCTGGGTCCTCCTGTGTTTGGTGCATATATATTTAGGATAGTTAGCTCTTCTTGTTGAATTGATCCCTTTACCGTTATGTAATGGCCTTCTTTGTCTCTTTTGATCTTTGTTGGTTCAAAGTCTGTTTTATCAGAGACTAGAATTGCAAACCCTGCTTTTTTTTATGCTTTCCATTTACTTGGTAGATCTTCCTCCATCCTTTTATTTTGAGTCTATGTGCGTCTTTGCCTGTGAGATTGGTCTTCTGAATACAGCACACTGATGGGTCTTGACTCTATCCAATTTGCCAGTCTGTGTCTTTTAATTGGGGCATTTAGCCCATTTACATTTGAGGTTAATATTGTTATGTGTGAATTTGATCCTGTCATTATGATGTTCGCTGGTTATTTTGCCCGTTAATTGTTGCAGTTTCTTTATAGTATCGATGGTCTTTACAATTTGGCATGTTTTTGCAGTGGCTGGTACCGGTTGTTTCTTTCCATGTTTAGTGCTTCTTTCAGGAGCTCTTGTAAGGCAGGCCTGGTGGTGACAAAATCTCTCAGCATTTGCTTGTCTGTAAAGGATTTTATTTCTCCTGCATTTATGAAGGTTACTTTGGCTGGATATGAAATTCTGGTTTGAAAATTCTTTCGTTTAAGAATGTTGAATATTGGCCCCCACTCTCTTCTGGCTTGTAAGGTTTGTGCCGAGAGATCCGCTGTTAGTCTGATGGGCTTCCCTTTGTGGGTAACTTGACCTTTCTCTCTGGCTGCCCTTAACATTTTTTCTTTCATTTCAACCTTGGTGAATCTGACAATTGTATGTCTTGGGGTTTTTCTTCTTGAGGATTATCTTTGTGGCATTCTCTGTATTTCCTGAATTTGAATGTTGGCCTGTCTTTCTAGGTTGGGGAAGTTCTCCTGGATAATATCCTCAAGAGCGTTTTCCAACTTGTTTCCATTCTCCCCATCACTTTCAGATACAGCAGTCAAACGTAGATTTGGTCTTTTCACATAGCCCCATATTTCTTGGAGGCTTTGTTCGTTTCTTTTTACTCTTTTTTCTCTAACCTTGTCTTCTTGCTTTATTTTATTAATTTGATCTTCAGTCACTGATACCCTTTCTTCCATTTGATCAAATCGGTTATTGAAGCTTGTGCATGCGTCATGAAGTTCTCGTGTCATGGTTTGCAGCTCCGTCAGGTCATTTAAGGTCTTCTCTACACTGTTTATTCTAGTTAGCCATTCATCTAACCTGTTTTCAAGGTTTTTAGCTTCTTTGCGATGGGTTCGAACATGCTCCTTTAGCTGGGAGAAGTTTGTTATTACCGACCTTCTGAAGCCTACTTCTGTCAACTCGTCAAAATCATTCTCCGTCCAGCTTTGTTCCATTGCTGGCGAGGAGCTGCAGTCCTTTGGAGGAGAAGAGGCACTGTTATTTTTAGAATTTTCAGCTTTTCTCCCTGCTTTCTCCCCATCTTTGTGGTTTTATCTACCTTTGGTCTTAGATGTTGGTGACCTACAGATGGGGTTTTGGTGTAAATGTCCTTTTTGTTGATGTTGGTGCTATTCCTTTCTGTTTGTCAGTTTTCCTTCTAACAGTCAGGTCCCTTAGCTGGAGGTCTGTTGGAGTTTGCTGGAGGTCCACTCCAGACCCTGTATGCCTGGGTATCACCAGCGGAGGCTGCACAACAGCAATTATTGTAGAACAACAAATATTGCTGCCTGGTCTTTCCTCTGTAAGGTTTGTCCCAGAGGAGCACCTGCCTATATGAGGTGTCTGTCGGCCCCTACTGGGAGATGTCTCCCAGTTAGGCTACACGGGGGTCAGGGACCCACTTAAGGAGGCAGTCTGTTCGTTCTCAGAGCTCAAACCCCATGTTGGGAGAACGACTGCTCTCTTCAGAGCTGTCAGACAGGGATGTTTAAGTCTGCAGAAGTTGTCTGCTGCCTTTTGTTCAGCTAAGCCCTTCCCACAGAGTTGGAGTCTAGAGGCAGTAGGCCTTGCTGAGTTGTGGTCAGCTCCGCCCAGTTCAAGCTTCCTGGCCACTTTGTTTACCTACTCATGCTTCAGCAATGGCGACGCCCCTCCCCCAGCCAGGCTGCCTCCTCGCAGTTCTCCCTTGGTTAGGAAAGGGAAATACCCCGACCCCTTGTGCTTCCCAGGTGATGCGACACCCCGCCCTGGTTCAGCTCTCCCTCTGTGGGCTGCACCCGCTGTCCAACCCATCCCAGTGAGATGAATCAGGTACCTCAGTTGGAAATGCAGAAATCACCTGTCTTCTGCGTTGATCACACTGGGAGCTGCAGACCAGAGGTGTTCCTATTCGGCCATCTTGGAACAGTTATGGCATTTTTCTATGTTGTACTACATTAGTTAGAATGAAAGAATAAGAAGCTGTAAAAAAAAAAGACCCAGACACAATGGCTTGAAAACAATAACTGAAAATATTTTGTGGTTAAAACAAATGTGAAGAGTCCATGAGCACTCTGGTTCCTTTTATCTCATTTTCTTTACCACCCCCTAGGGTTTTCTTTGTTAGCACAGTCTAAAACGGGTCACAGGTTTGCCCAGGTTCCAGCTTTCAGAGAGGAGATAGAGAGTGGATAGACTTTTGTTCTTTTAAGTCCTGGACCTGGAGTGGCATATATCATCTTTGCTCATAGTTCCTGGACAAAAACTAGTCATAATCCACATACAGTTTTATGGAGTTATAAAACTCATCGCTAGCTTGATTGCCATATGTCTATATCCACCTGTGGGAGATGGGAGATTCGGTAGAGAGGTAGTGGTCTTTGCTTGTAATTGCATGCAATTTTCAGAGTCCAGGGTGTTGACCATTACACCATGGGGCTGGCTTAATTGCATGCAGTTTTCTTACAGAAGATGTACTTGTTGTTGTTGTTTTTTTAAACAACACTTTAACAACAACTTTTTTTTTTGAAAAAATTGTTTTTCAATTGATTGTAATGGGCTGTGATGTGGCTCGGATATTTGTCCCCTCCAAATTTCATGTTGAAATGTAATCCCTAGTTTAGTAGGTGGGGCCTGGTGGGAGATGTTTGGATCATGGGAGTGCATCCCTCGTGAATGATTTAGCACCATCCCCTTGATGATAAGTTAGTTCTCACTCAGTTCACGTGAGTTCTGGTTGTTTAAAAGTGTGTGGCACCTCCCCCTTGTTCTTTTGCTTCCACTCTCATCATGCATGGTGCCTGCTTTCCCTTCACCTTCTGCCGTGATTGTTAGCTTCCTAAGACCCTTTCCAGAAGCGGATGTTGGCACCTCACTTTTTGTCCTGTCTGCAGAACCTTGAGCCAACTAAACCTCTTTTCTTTATAAATTACCCAGCCTCAGATATTTCTGTATAGCAATGCAAGAACTCCCTAATACTGGCAGTATAGTATTTTTTTTTTTTTGCAGATGAACATGTCATGATTTATTTAGCCATTTCTCTACTGTTGCATATTAAGCTGTTCCTGATTTCTTGTTATGAACAAAATGTAAACATTCATATATGCATGTCGTTTCTATTTATAACTGTCCAATATTTAAAAAAGGGGCATTGTCCCACATCTTTATCACATTTTTGTGTTTGTAAAATGGACTTATGATATTTTTCTTATTTATTTGTATTTTTAAACAATTGATACACCATAGTTGTATATATTTTTGGGGTATACGTGATATTTTCATACATGTATACAATGTGTAATGATCAAGTCAAGCTAATTGGGAAATATATCATCTAAACATTTGTCTTTTTGTTGGAAACATTAAAATTCTTCTCTTTTAGCTATTTTGAAATACATAATTATTTTAAACTGTAATTTCCCTACTATGCTATCAAATACCAGAACTTATTATATCTACCTGTATTTTTATACCCATTTACCAACTTTACTTCATGCCCTCTGCTCCCCTTTCCTTCCCAGCCTCTGTTAACTATCATTCTACTCTCTACCACCATGACATCCACTGTTTTAGCTCCGACATATGAGTGAGAACATGAGATATTTGTCTTTTTGTGCTTGGCTTATTTCACTAAACATAATGACCTCCAGTTCCACCCATGTTGCTGAAAATGACAGGACTTAATTCTTTTTCAGGCTGAATAATATTCCATTGTGTATATATACAATATTTCTTTATCCATTTAACCATTAATGTACATTAAAGTTGATTCCATATCTTCGCTGTTGTGAGTAGTGCTGCAGTTCTTTGATATACTGATTTCCTCTTTTTTTTTTTTTTTTTTTTGAATATATTCCCAGTAGTGGGATTGCTGGATCATATGCTAGTTGTACTTGTAGTTTTTTGAGGACCCTCCATACTGTTTTCCATAATGGCTATACTACTTTACTGATCTTTTTCTTTTTCTCTAATTTAAACAACTGTCACAAAGTCAGTTTGACTTATTGAACTTGTATAACTTCTGTGCCTCAATAAAACTGAATGTTACAGTAAGGAATTAGGTGAAATTTACTTTTTTTTTTTTTTTTTTCAGGAAGACTTACTTAGTTAGGTAGCTAGTAGAATAGTAACCTGAACTCAAGAAATGTAATTTCATCCTGATAAAACTGCTGAGTAGGGCTATCTTCCTAATTTTCATTAAATATTTCTTACTTGGAAACATTGAATATTAAATGAGACAAAAACTGTAAGACTAACAGCAAACAAAAATACACTTTGACTTTTTTATGTGCGTGTATTACATTCATGACTTTGTGAAGATCATCTTAGTACTTGTAATCTTTTGCTATTGTTTGCATGTATATTCTATTCAAGTGATATTGGTTGATGATTCTGAAGTGCCCCGCTATAAATATCAAGTACAACCTCTGTTGATTTATAAACAGTGTCTGTCATTATCAAGAGCAGCTAATCTTATTCAAAATAGTCACTTCATTGTTGTGTTGCCATAAATTTCTGCAGACATATTTTAAACTAAAGTTAACTTCTGCTATATTGTAATTGAGGGAGCTCTATTTTTGTGTGCCAGCTATCTGTCTCAGTAAATGTAAAATCTCTAGTTTTTTTCAGAGGCCTACAATTGCTGTAAATATTAATGAGCTGCGGACACGTGAAATTTAAAGAATAGATGTGATTTAAAAGAGCAATTTGCAATTCTTAAATGTAGAGATTGGCATTTACTTTAAACTCGAAGTTGTTAAATGGAGGTGTAGTAAGCACAGAAGTTTATACTTGAACAAAATCTACTTCTACCAATAATTGTTCATTTACATGACCTCAACTGATCCTTTTTTCTGATCATTTATGTCATTTGGCTTTATATTTTTTTCATATCAGTCTTCATGTTCTGTTATATACTACCTTCATATATATGCTAACAATTCATTTAGATTCAGTTTTTCTTAGTCATTATTAAAAAGAGAATACTTAATATTTGGGGTCTTTAAATCTCATTATACCAAGTGTTTGGTGAATTTATGTCATGGGTCCAAATAATTGTCATAAATACAGTTGTTGATTTTTAAATCTTATATAATAACCATATTATTCCTAAAAGGTGAAAACATTGGTATGTTTTAATAATTTCACCAAGTAAGCATATTCATCTAAATAGTATTATCTTAGATTAAGAATTGATGATGTCATTGTTATATGTCTGTCAGTCCCTGGACTAGATTTCTCTTTGGCCTGACAAATGAATTTTTTTTTTCTAGGTAGGAGTTGTGACTATTTAGGAATTGTGATAAAGAAAAATGACCAATTATCTTTGTCTCTGTAGTTGTTTTTTGTTTATTGGTTTGAAAAAAACCTTTTTTTCTGTAATTATAAAAATATACATATGCTTGTCATAAGAATTCAAGCAACGTATATATCTATATATTACAAGCATATATGCATACATACATGTAAGATATACATGTCATCCTTCCCATATACCACTCCCAATAGACCATCAATATAGATTGTCCCCAACTTCTGATGGTTTAACTTACAGTTTTTCAACTTTATGATGGTACAGAAGCCATACTCATTCAGTAGAACTCATATCTCAAATTTTAAAATTTGATCTTGGGCAAACAGTATGCGATAGGATACTCTCCTGTGATGCTGGGTAGTGACAGCCAGTCACAGCTTCCAGGCAGCCATGTGATCTTGAGGGTAAGTAGCTGATACTCTACAGTGTTGCCTGATGATTTTGTCCAACTGTAGTCCAACGTAAGGTATGCTTACATGTTTAAGGTAGGCTAGGCTAAGCTATGGTGTTAGGTAGGCTAAGTATATTAAATGCATTTTTGATTTATGATATTTTTAACTTATTGTGGGTACATCAGGATGTTATATCATAAGTCAAGGCACATCTGTATACATGAAAAATGAAAAATATGTGTTATCCTTCCCACATACCACTCCCAAGAGACTCATTATCGTTTTTTATGTTCTGTCTGGGGGACTTAAGAGAGAAAGTTTCATGACAGATGAAGGAGAGTATGAGTGAAAGGATGAAATGAAGTGAATTGATGTAGTGAAAATATGCCATAATAGTATCTCACCATCACCTCTGTGTATTTACTCATTCTTTTCACATTTGAGAATATTATTTAGTAATAGTATGCTGTAGTACTAATAGTGAAAGAACAATAAAAAATTAATTTTTTTTTTACAAATAAATATTTGACAAAAGCTACAAAACGAAATGAGACCATATAGGAATGTATAAAGAAAATTCATCCCAATAGATTTCTTGGGAGCTGTAGAGCTATGGCCAACAGTCATTTCAAAGTGTAGCTTGAAATCTCTATTGTGCTACTGAAGATTATCAGGATTTTTTGTAGCTTCTTCACTTTTTTTTTTAGACGGAGTCTCGCTCTATGGCCCAAGCTGGAGTGCAGTGACGCCATCTCAGCTCACTGCAACCTCTGTCTCTTGGGTTCAAGCAATTCTCCTGCCTCAGCCTCCCCAGTAGCTAGGATTACAAGCATGTGCCACCACGCCTGGCTAAAATTTGTATTTTTAGTACAGACGGGATTTCACCATGTTGGCCAGCCTGGTCTCAAACTCCTGATCTCAAGTGATTTACCCATTGGCCAAAGTGCTGGGATTACAGGTGTGAGCCACCGCCACCGCCCCCAGCCAGCTTCTTCACTTTTAAGGGAGAGTTAGAATTTCCTCCTTCAGGGCTTTGTAAGGTAGGGTAGGTAGTAGTGGTGGGGAAAGTGGAGTAGGGGCTTTTTGTGCTCACTTTTTCTTCAGCATTGACTTGACATTGTATTGGCATCCGTTTTCCTACATGTCATTGTTGGCTATGTTGTGGCACTCAAGTGGGATACCCTAAAACTTGTCAATAATTGTCACTTCTCAAGAAATATAGAAATTATAATATAATTAGAAAGCAGTTGTAAAACTGATTGAGGTTATGTTCTTTTCTAGTTCCTGGGTATCGAGGTGAACAATAAAACAGACTATGACCCCTGCCCTTGGACCCTAGGGGGTATAGACATTAAACATGCTCAAATTTTATATTATAAACTGTACTATGAAAGGCAAAAGGGGAGTACTACTAAAGAATAATAGGGGCATCATTTAGATTTGGTGGTAGGAGGTTGGAGTGAATTGGAGTGGCCGCAATGCAATAATCCCTTATTGACTTCTCACTGTGGATATGACACTCTGAAAATGTTTGAAATACAAATGAAAGAAAATGACAGAGGCAAGTCTTAATCATATTAGGTTTATTTGCCAACATTAAGGACATGTGCCTGGGAGGCAGGTCTGTGCCTTTCTCCAAAGATGCTTTTGAGGGCTTCAGTATTTGAAAGGGAAAGGGCAGATGTTGAGGGAAGAAAAATCTTTAAAAACTGTGTTGATAGATAAAAAGACAAAAGGGTTGCATCCTTTTGAATCTTTGATCAGCCTTCACTGAATACACAATTTTCATATGAGTCTGGGTAGATAGAGGAAATAGCCACTCATACCTTCATCTGGCTCAGTGAATCTGCATTTTTACATAAGATAGTGTAGACAATAGGGTGGAGGAAGCAATCAGATACTCATTTGTCTTAGGTGAGCAGAAGGGTGACTTTGAGTTCTCTTTCCTTTGTCCAGCACCTGTGAAGATAAGCTATATATATAAGGAATTTCCTTGTGGGCAAATTGTGAGGGAGGTATGTTGCTTTTTATCTTCATAGCCATCTTATTTAGCAACCAAATGAGAAGCAGATCTGCATGACCCAGTTCCCAGCTTGACTTTTCCCTTGGGCTTAGTGAGTTTGGGGTCCCAAGATTTATTTTCCTTTCACAGGGAGCCAGCATTATTTTCCTCCGTAATCCTTTTATAGAAATAGTTGATTTTTTAGTAGAGCCGGATTTTTGTGGCTTGAAAAAGCTCTACCTCATGGACTTATTTCAGAAATTGCATCTATATTCGTCAAGTCAATTTTATGCTATTTTTTCTGCCTTGGAAATTAACTGTACATATGTAGAATTGGGTGAGAAATTTAGTTGTGATGCTCTGCTTCAGTAATGAAAGGACAAAAATACTTTGTATAGATGCTCAATTATTATTTGCTCTTAAGAAAACAATATTGATTCAACAGCTATTCATGTGAGGTTTCTTTTTAGTGGCTTGTTTGGAAATTAAGGTTGGTTAGTTTATATTTTCTTTACAGCAAAAGTAAAATAAAATGGCTCTTTCTCTTCTACCAAAATAATCATATATATGTGAATAAGGTAACTCAGAGATAAGTATTTTAAAGGTTTTAGATTCAAGACTACCATAAAGGGATAGGAGAATAAAGTAAACGTAACTTCACTTAGAAGAAATTGTCTCTTTAGATAAATAAAACAGTGCAACCCTGTAAGAGTGAGAAAAATGAACAAGTATCAAAGAATCAGTGTTACCCTAGTTTTCTCCTTTCCTTTTTCCCCCATGTTGAAGACAGATTTTATGATGTCTGTGGAACTAATTTATGAATGAAAGTGATTGTCATTTGTTCAAACTAATCTAGTATTCAAGATGTAAGCTGTTGAAGCCAACATGTAATAATAGCTACCATTTACTGAACAGTTACTTGGTGCTCTACTAGGTATTTTACAAGTGTTTTAACATTTAATTATTACATTTCTCTAAAATAAGTATGATTTCCCTCCTTTTGCAGATGAGGAAACAAACTCAGAGAATTGAAATAACTTGTCCAATGTCACATGCGTATTAAGGGAAAGAACCAGGTTTTAAATCTAGGTCCATTTGACAACAAAGCTTGTGCTCTTTTCTCTAAGATAAGCTGTAGGGTTGGAAAAGACACAAATACTGGGTTTGATGGTCAGGAGATCTGGTTCAAGTTATGACTCTCACTGATTAGTTATGTGACTTGTCTTGTTTTCCTCAACTGTGAAATGGGTCTAGTGCAAAACCTCATTTGAAGAGTCACTGTGAGGGTCCAGCGAGTTACCTGTAAAAAGTTGAAGTGTGGCTGCCAAGGCCTGATAATAAAATGTAGCAGGTTCCACAAAAACTTTTTTTTTTTTTTTTTTTTTTTTTTTAAGTAATAAGGAATGTTTTCACCCTTTACTTTGGAGGGCAGAATGGGAAAAATATTTAAAAGTAATTTATGTATTTGTATGGTCTTAAACCAAATGTCATTATATTTTTAGGTCACTGAAATCCGTATTGACATTTGCAAATTTCAGGAGCTTCATTTGCAAATGATATTATAGTTTTTACATGAGGAGAGAATTTTTTTCCCATAGAGCTCAAACAGAGGCTAGATTGAGACAGCTCTTAATGTAGAAATTGTGAAACATCAGCTTCTCTCTACATACTACTTTGACTTGTTTATTCAGTGGATTTGAATTAGGACAGCTTTTATATGACTAGAAAAATACAAGCAAAGATAATTGAAATGTACTGCTTCTACATACAACTCTCTTCTCCCCTTGAGCAATTTCTTTACTATCCTTCCTCTTTCAAAAATAAAGAGAAAGCTTTTTCTCTTATATTTTTCCTCCTTATTTTTTTGTTTGGTTTTAGTTTTATTGTTTTGTTGGCTTGCTTTGACTTTGAAATGGCAACTATCCCTACAACCATTGGGTGGGGGTGGTAGTTGAAGAATGTCAGTCAGTTTCACAGCTGAAAGTGTGCTCTGCAGCAATAAAGCTTTAAGCTTTTTTCTGACATTCTAATTTTGCTATTTTTCCTATTAATGAAAATAGAGTTTAATTTTCCCTTCCAAGACAAAGGAAGGGTTAAATTTAAGGAACCATGAATATTCTGAAGTAGAGGATAGGGAGAAAGGAAGAGGGAATCAGCAGTCCTTAACCCTTTGATCTGTCATTTCTGTCCTCTCATCTGTGTCCCCATTCTTGTTTCTGTTTGTCTTCTTCCTTCCCAGGGTTGTCAGTGAATGTAGCAATGCCTGACTGGCACTGGACTGTGTTAATTGCTTGCAGAAGTGTGCTGGCTGTGGGTACGTTCTTCTGTGTTCACATTTTGCAAGGAGCGGAGGATGGTGATGATGCTGTTGATAACTTACTATGTGCTAGGCATTGCTTCAAATACTTTCATTTCTATGTTACAGGTAAAGAAAATGAGTTTTAGAGTAACTTCTGTAAAATTACTGACTGAGGTCATGCTGCTAGTAAAAGGCACAACTACAATTTGAATCCAGATTTGTCTGGTGCCAAAGGCTTGATTAATATCATTGCATTAATCGTAATAATTCCCTTAGTTAACTATAATTATTATGCATTAAGGATTCAGAGATGACTAAGCTACTGTCCTTGCCCTTAAGTTGCTCTCAGTCTAGTCACAGGAAGCATTCATGTAATCTGATTATAAGACAGCATGACAAAACTCTAATGGAAGTATGTGCAAAGCTGTGGAAGCACAGGGATCGGTTCTTTTTGAAGAGTTGAAGGCTTCACAGAAGAGATGATACTGAATTTGAGTAGTTCTGTCTTTTTTTACTAGTTCCATCATTAGTTTTATGGTGGAATAGCATTTGGGGCATAGGCAATAGCACTAATAAAAGCAGAGAGATATGCAGGCCCTTGGCTCACTCAAACAATGTTGAGTGTGCAGTTGTGGCTGATGCATGGCAGAGAAAGGCAATGTCCAGAGATAAGACTGGGGAGTTAGGTTGGCACTAAGTTTTGAAGGGTCTTATAGCAATGCTAAGAATTTTGGACTCTACTATAGAAACATTAGTGAGCCATTAAACATCTTTAAGCCAGGAATGGCATAATACTGTTTGCCAACACCTGATCACAATGGCAGTAGTGTGAAGATTGAATTGGAAGGGGAAGAAACTACAGGCAGGGAAACCTTTGATAAGACTAATGCAATAGATAGATAAGAGGGAGTGAGGGCCTGAAATAATGCAGCAGTGGTAGGGATAGCAAGGATAGAAGGGGCTTAAGAAATTAACTAGAATGGATATGTGAGGAAGGAATGATGAATGAGTTTAAGATTTTTTTTTTCTCAGGATAGGAGGCTGTAAGGATGGTGTTGCCATTTATTGAGATAGGGAAACTGAATGGATGACCAAATTGGGGGTGTGGGACAGATAATAAATTTGTCTTTTGGACATGTAGAGATTAAAGTACATCTGGGACTTTTAGTGAAAGGAGGTGTCCAATAAGCTCATGAGTCATGATCTGTGTTTTCAACCAACTAGAAGTAGATTTGAGTCTGGAGCTCACCAGAGGGGCCCAGATTGGAGATACCAATTAGTGAGTCATCAACAGAGAAGTGATAATTGAATCAGTGAAAACAGATGAGATCACAGAGGGAAACAAAAATTGAGGGCAACCTTTGTGTATTATTTGTTCATCTACCTGCCTTGGTTGTCTATAAACGGATTTGAATGGGTGGACTAATGTGGAATGAGTAATAACTCAAACACAGGAAAATCTCTCTCCAGCCCTAATGACTGCGAACACGATCTGGTATTTCTTTCTGGCAGGCTGATCTGATTGCCAAAGCAACTTCTTGTAGATTCATAGGGCTCTCTTAAAACCAAGTAACATTTCAAAACAACATGTTGTACGTGAGAAATATATATACACTTTTTGCTTGTCAATTAATAAAAGCAAATAAGATCCTGGTCTTCCTCTCTGACATTAGAATTGCTTCTGCATACCTTGTCATAGAGGCCCACTTTCCTTGGTCTTGGAATGAGGAGATGGTGAAAGGAGCTCAGCTTTCTTGTGTAGCAAGTATGTGGAACTTACAGTAAATGAGAATTTGTGTAGGGAGTAAGTCCAGTATATTTTCTAGCCTATTCTATTATTTGTCACCAGGGAGATGTCATGACTCTTTGTAGTACTTCAACCAAATTTAAATGAAATAGAGCCTCTTTTAATGTCCATAGTATATTGTACTCAATAATATCTGGCAAATCAATACTAGTAGACATGCCAGACTATTATTTTCCTATTCTTATCATATGTGTGAAGATATTTGTGCACATTAAATGTGAGATAAGCAATAAAATTGGTTGTATTTTAGGTCCTAGAAATGAATAGTTTCCCCAGCTCTGACATTAGAGTAATCATAGCCATGGAATTATTATCCAGATGAATTGGGGTAACAAAATAAAAACTAGATTTCATTCCATCTGCTGTTTGTGAATAGATGCCACTGTCTTTACTTATAGTATGTCAGATTCCAGGATTTGTATTATATGCTTATGTTTATAATTTAAATATTCTAATCTTGTAAATTATAGGAGACAGTGTATTTAGTGGAAAGAGCAGAGGCTTTGGTGCCTGATTGTCCCTGGTCTTAAATCTGGGTTTTGCCATTTCCTAGCTGAGAGAGTTAGACAATATTCAGCTTCACAGTTGTTGTTGTTTTCTCCCTAATTGTAAAACGGGGATAATTGTAGCACCAGTCTCTGGATTCTTGTGAGAATAGTGAATATAAAATGCCAAACTCAACGTATTTAGTAACCTATTTTTGTTGTTCTACTTAACATGGATTAAGCCAGCGTTTCTCAACAGATGCTCTATTAAGCCCTAATCCTTTAATATACTTTAAAAAAAAAAACATGTTTGTTGGTTAACTGAATTTGAGAAATTCTGCCTACTGCTATAATTCCCTCTTGGAGAGCTATAACAGACATTAACATATTTAATCGTGCTGAGAAGCCATCATATAAACAAATCTTTTTTTGTTGGTGTTGTTTAAATTTTTCAACCTAGCATTTTCCAAGTTTATTTTGTCACTGTGCATTGTTTTTTCTTGGGAGACCTATTAATAATAGCTCATTTTGATGGGGTACATTTTAGAAAAGGTTAATTTAGTAATCAGGACCAGGCACTACTCAATTAAGTGTTTGACTTCATTGAACCACAGCTACCAATATATCTTGTGGACTAAATGGTGCTAGCCAGCTTAAAAGTTTGGGAATTTGTAGGTTGTAATGGACAGGATTAGAGTTCAGGAGAACTGAGTTTCAATTGCAGTTCTGCAAATTGTAACTGTGTGGCCCTGACTAGTGACTAAACTCTACACAGACAAGTCATAGTGTCCTCATCTATGAAATAACACCCTTTCTATCTGCCTCACAAGATTGCCAGAAGAATCTATGAGAGAATAGTTGTAAAAACAAGTTGGGAAATTAAAACTGCTGTCAATGGAAGATGGTATTACTACTACTCTAGGAAAAGGAATTGTAAGAGCAGTGAATGAATACTAGGACAGTCTGAGGTTGAGCTATGCTGCTCTTGTTCCCATCGAGCAACCTTGGATCCCATTAGCTACCTGCCTGAAAACATTTTCAACTCCTAATTTCTTAATAATTAGAATGGTTCCCAGATGAATATGCTTGAATGTCAGTAGCTTCATCTTTTGTTACTGTTCTTGGACTTGCTTACAGAAGCCATTTCACAATACAATATGTAGTTTAGTAGCATTTAGCTATGCCTGCTGCTGAATATTCAACACTGAATTGTAATTATGATGCACAATGGAAAAGAAGATTGTTAGGATTTAATTAATAAGCTCCAGTTAATGGGTTTAATGCTCAGCCTTCTCATATAGTTCAACTTTCTTTGAGTCTACCTGTAGTATTGCTTTTCTGTTAAGAGATGTTAAGCAAACTGATATTGCTTTAACATTAAACACCATATGAAGGATGAGAAAGATCTTGATTTAGTTTCAGTACTATTTTTTTCTATTATCTTCTTGATTAGTGTTAAGAGAGGGTTGTATAACTTATTTCCTTATTGTTTCTGGAAAACCTTAGGTGGCACTCTGAATAAGCTATGCGAAGCTTTCAAAAGATTACAACCATGTTTTCTACAATTTTTTTAAAACTTTTATGTCTGCAGGTACATGTGAAGGTTTGTTACATAGGTAAACTCGTGTGATGGGGGTTCGTTGTACTCATTATCTCAGCAACCAGGTATTAAGCGCAGTATCCAAAAGTTATATTTTCTGCTTCTCTTCCTCCTCTCACCCTCAAGTAGACTCCAGTGTTTGCTCTTGCCTTCTTTGTGTTCATAAGTTCTCATGATTTAGCTCCCACTTATAAGTGAAAACACTTGGTATTTGGTTTTCTGTTCCTGCGTTAGTTTGCTAAGGATAATAACCTCCAGCTCCATCTGTGTTCCCACAAAAGACACAATCTTGTTCTTTTTTATGGCTGCATAGTATTCCATGGTGTATATGCACCACATTTTCTTTATCCAGTCCGTCATTGATGCACATTTAAGTTGATTCTATGTCTTAGCTATTGGGAATAGTGCTACAGTGAACATTTGCATGCATGTGTCTTTATGGTAGAATTATTTATATTCCTTTGGGTATATACCCACTACTGGGATTGCTGGATTGGATGGTAGCTCTGCTTTTAGCTCTTTGAAGAATTGCCATAATGCTTTCCACAGTGGTTAAATTTACACTTCCACCAACAGTGTACAAGTGTTCCCTTTTCTCTGCAACCTTGCCAGCATCTGTTATTTTTTCACTTTTTAGTAATGGCCATTTTGACTAGTGTGAGATGGTATCTCATTGTGGTTTTGATTTTCATTTCTCTAATGATTAGTAATATTGAGTTTTTTTTCCATATGCTATTGACTACATGTATGTTTTCTTTTGAAAAGTGTTCATGTACTTTGTCCACTTTTTAATGGGATTGTTTTTCTCTTGTAAATTTGTTGAAGTTCTTTTTAGATGTTGGATATTAGACCCTTGTCAGATGCATGGTTTGCAAAAATTTTCTCCCATTCTGTAGGTTGTGTGTTTACTCTGTTGACAGTTTCTTTTGCTGTGCAGAAACTCTGAAGTTTAATTAGATTCCACTTGTCAATTTTTGCTTTTGTTGTGATTGCTTTTGGTATCTTTGTTATGAAATCTTTGCCCATTCCTATGTCCAGGATGGTATTGCCTAGGTAGTCTTCCAACAATTTAATAGTTTTGGGTTTTGCATTTAAGTCTTTAATCCATCTTGAGTTGATTTTTGTATATGGTGTAAGGAAGGGCTCCAGATACAGTCTTCTACATATGGCTAGCCTGTTATCCCAGCACCATTTATTGAATAGGGAGTCTTTTCCCCATTGCTTCTTTTTGTCAGCTTTGTCGAAGATCAGGTGGTCATAGGTGGGCAACCTTATTTCTGGGCTCTCTATTCAGTTCCATTGGTCTATGTACCTGGTTTTGTACCAGTACCATACTGTTTTGGTCACTGTAGCCTTGTAGTATAGTTTGAAATCTGGTAACGTGATGCCTCCAGCTTTGTTCTTTTTGCTTAGGATTGCCTTGGCTATTTGGGTATTTTTTGGTTACATATAAATTTTAAAGTAGTCTTTTCTAGTTCTGTAAACAGTGTTGTTGGTAGTTTGATAGGGATTGCATTTAATCTGTAAATCGCTTTGGGCAGTATGGCCATTTTAATAATTTTGATTCTTCCTATTCATGAGCATGGGATGTTTTTACATTTTATTTGTGTCTTTTGATTTCTCTGAGCAGTGGTTTCTAATTCTTATTGTAGAGAACTTTTACTTCCCTGGTTAGCTGTATTCCTAGGTGTTTTATTCTTTTTGTGGTAATTGTGAATGAGATTGGCTTTCTGATTTGGCTCTTAGCTTGCCTATTATCGATGCATGGGAATGGTAGGGATTTTTGAACATTGGTTTTGTATCCTGAAACTTTGCTGAAGTTGTTTATCAGCTGAAGGAGCTTTTGGGCCCAGACTGGGGTTTTCTAGATATAGAATCATGTAGTCTGCAAACCAAGACGGTTTGACTTCCTCTTTTTCTTTTGGATGCCCATTATCTCTTTCTCTTGCCTAATTGATCTGGCTAGGACTTCCAATACTACGTTGAATAGGAGTGGTGAGAGAGGGCATTCTTGTCTTGTGCCAGTTTTCAAGGTGAATCCTAGCTTTAGCCCATTCAGCATGATGTTGTCTGTGGGTTTGTCATAGATTGTTCTTATTATTTTGAGATGTATTCCTTTAATACTTAGTGTGCTGAGAGTTTTTAACATGAATGAGTGTTGAATTTTATCAAAAGTCTTTCCTGCATCTATTGAGATAAACATGGTTTTTGTCTTCAGTTCTGTTTATGTGATGAATCACATTTATTGATTTATGTATGTTGAAGTAACCTTGCATCCCGGGGATGAAGCCTTCTTGATCGTGGTGAATTAGCCTTTTGATTTGCTGCTGGATTCCGTTTGCAAGTATTTTGTTGAGGATTTTTGCATCAATATTCAATCAAGGATACTGGCCCGAAGTTTTCTTTTTCTGTTATATCCCTGCGAGGTTTTTGTTTCAGGATGATGCTGGCCTCATAGAATGAGTTGGGGAGGAGTCCCTCATTTTTTTGGAATAGTTTCAGTAGGAATGGTACCAGCTCTTCTTTTGTGCATCTGGTAGAATTCGGCTGTGAATCCATCTGGTCCTGGGCCTTTTTGGTTGATAGGCTATTTATTTCTGATTCCATTTCAAAGCTTGTTATTGGTCTGTTCAGAGAATCAGTTTATTCCTAGTTCAGTCTTGGGAGGGTGTATGTGTCCAGGAATTTATCCATTTCTTTTATGTTTTCTAGTTTGTATGCATAGTGGTGTTAATAGTAGCTTCTGATGGTTATTTATATTCCTGTGGGGTCAGTGGCAACATTCCCTTCGTCATTTGTAATTGTGTTTATTTGTGTCTTCTTTCTTCTCTTCTTTAAGTCTAGCTAACATCCTATCTATCTTATTAATTTTTTCAAAAAGCCAACTCCTGGATTCATGGATGTTTTGAATAGTTTTTCCTGTCTTCATTGACATTCTTGGTTGCAAATCTTTTTCTTTAAGAATGTTGAATATGGGTTCCCAATCTTTTGTTGCTTGGGTGGTTTCAGCTGAGAGGACCACTTTTAGCCTGATGGGGTGCCCTTTCTCTCTAGCTGCCCTTAATGTTGTTTCTTTCATTTTGCCCTTGGAACATCTGAAGATTATGTGTTTTGGGGATGATCTTCTTGTGTAGAATCTTGCAGGGGTTTTATGTATTTTCTGTATTTGACTGTTGGCCTCTCTAGCCAGGTTGGGAAAATTATCATGGAAGATATCCTGAAATATGTTTTCCAAGTTGTTTGCTTTTCCCCTGTCTCTTTCAGGGATGCCAGTGATTTATAGATTTTGCCTGTTTACAGAATCCCATACCTCTCAGTCATATTGTTTATATCTTTTTATTCTTTTTTATTTTTGTCTGTCTTATTTTAGAGAACCAGTGTGCAAGTTCTGAGATTCTTCCCTCAGGTTGGTTTATTCTGCTGTTAATACTTGTGATTGCATTGTGATATCCTTGTATTGTGTTATTCCACTTTGTCAGATTTGTTAGTTTTTTTTTTTTCCAGCTGTTTCATCCTTCAGCTCTTGTATTATTTTATTGTGATTCTTAGCTTCTTTGGGTTGGGTTTCTCCATCCTCCTGAATCTCAAAGATTTTCATTTCTTTCCATATTCTGAATTGCATTTCTGTCATTTCAGGCGGCTTAGCCTGGTCAAGAACTCTTGTTGGAGAACTGGTGTGGTTGTTTGAAGGACATACAACACTGGCCATTTGAGTTACCCGAGTTCGTGCATTGATTCTTTCCCATATCTGCCTGTGGGTATTCCTTTAACTAAAGTGTAGAGTGAGTACAGTCAGTAGACTTCTTTTCTGGTTATTTTCACAGGACCGAGGCTTCGTACAGGGTCTTTATTGGAAGCTGACTTCTTGTCTTTGGTTTAAGAGAGGTACGTATGTT
Source organism: Homo sapiens (assembly GCF_000001405.40). Taxonomy (NCBI): domain Eukaryota; kingdom Metazoa; phylum Chordata; class Mammalia; order Primates; family Hominidae; genus Homo; species Homo sapiens. The sequence continues at coordinate 85,986,564 of NC_000023.11, read as the reverse complement.
AGTGAGTATTTTTGGTCTTGAAGCTTTGGCGTGTCATCCAGTAGGTGGCATTTAAGTGTACTGGTTAGTTGATAGATTCTTGCTTGGTTGTGTGCCTCCGCTATGTTTCCTCACAGTTGCAGCCATGTTCCCTATCAATGCTCTGAAAGTGTGGGTTCCTCTCCCCTTTGAGTGCTGGCTGTAGACCATAGCTTGGTGCTCCTGGGCTGCCCACTGAAACTCTGGGGTGATCTCAGCATTTATGTTTTTTCCACAACTTGGAGGCAGCAGAGTAACGGACCTTAGTAGTGATTTTGGCCAAGGGTCTTTTACTTGTATCCTGGGGGCTCCACCCCAGAGAGATGCAGGTCAGCAGTTGCTCAGTGAGAGCAGTCCAGGATTCAGGATCTGTGCTCTGGGCCCAACCTGGGTGTTCTCTAGTGGCGAGCAGTCGGGGGTGGGTGTGACCTATGGGAAATGGACTGACCCCTTTTTCTGTTGACTACAGTTAGTTGGAGGTTTGGGTAAGGCACTTAGGGTCTTTGCTTCTTCGTTAGTCCAAGGGTAGCAAGGGAAGTCTGCTGCAGAGGCAGTGGCAGAGAGGCTTTCAGTTGCTCCTGGGGGCTCTGTCCAGGGAGTTGCCGAGCTGCTACTGGCTTAAATAGCTCTGGTGAGGGTAGCTGGTGACCCAGGACTGGAGGACCTGCCTGGTGTGGAGTTATGGGAACAGGCTCCCATGTAACAGTCTGGCTGCTTTTCTGTAGGGCTGCTATGGTATACTGGGTGCCTGCTCCAGTTGCTAATGACCTTGGATTTTCCAGTACCTCAAAGTATCAACATAGAAGGTTGTGAAGCAGCAAAGATGATGGCCTGCCCCTCCCTCTGGGAGATCCATCCGAGGAAGATGTGGACTTGTTGCCAGCCTTAAGGCACCTGTAGAATATGGCTGGAGACTTTGGTTGGGAGGTCCTGCCTCATGAGGAGGAATGGGATTGAGGTTCCACTTAAGAAATGCTGTCTGGCCATCTTTTTGTAGAGTAGCTGTGATGTGCTGGTGGACCGCTTCCGTCCCTGGTTGGCTTGGACTCTCCGAAGCCTGAAGGCTGGAATGGCTATGTCATCCAAAGAGCAAAGATGGTGGCCCACCCCTCCCTCTGGGAGCTTCCTTCCAGGGAGGTTTCAAATCTCTTTTGGCCAGAGAACACTGGCAGGGGCTGCTGGTCCCAGTTGGGACATCCCACCCAGTGAGGAGGAATGGAATCGGGGACCACTTATAAAAGCAGTCTGGTCACGTTTTTGTAGAGCCGCTGTGCTGGGCTTGGGGGACTGGGTCTGACCTGCGATGGCTTGGAGTCTCCAAAGTCCAAAGGCTGGAAAGACTAAGTTGCTCAAATAGCAAAAATGGCAGCCCACCTCTCCCGCTGGGAGCTCTGTCTCAGAGAGGTGTGCAATGCGGCTCCCTTTGGCTGGCTAGACTTCCAAGCCAGTGGTTCTTATCCTGTGAGGTGCCATGGAAGTGGGGCCTGCAGATTGTTGCTGCCCAGTCCTCTGAATTCAGCCCCTTTCCTAGGGGTATGTATGGGGGTCTAACCTCCCACTTCTTTGGAGTCGCAGCTTCTTTAGCCAGGTTGCCTGGAAAGTCACAGTCAAGTCCTGACCCCACTCCCAGTCTTGTGATATTTTTCATCATAGATTAACTTTTTCCATAATTTTATATAAATGGTATCATATAGTATGTACTCTTTGGCCAAGGCTTTCACTCAGCATAATGCTTTTGAGATGCATTTATGTTGTATATAGCAGGTGATTATTCCTTTCTATTGGTGAATAGTATCCCATTTTATGGATATACGACAGTTTGTTTATTCATTCTCCTGTTGATGGATACTTGGATTATTATCAGTTTGGGGCTATTAATAAAGCTGCTGTGGAAAGACTTGTACAAGTATTTTTGTCAGTATATGCTTTTCTCATGTGTAATTTCCTAGAAATTGAAATTACTCGATCATAAGGTGGGTATATATTTATTTATTAAAAAACTACCAGATATTAGAAAGTGCTTGTACCATTTTGTATGTTCACCAAAATATATGAGCATTCTGGCCATCCACATCAATACCAGGTATTGACAATCTTTTTAATTATTTTGGTGGCTACGTACTGGTATCTCATATGCTCATTTGTAATGCTATTATAATATGCACTTACCTAATGATATTGCGTACTTTTTCATGTGCTCATTAACCATGTTCTTTTGTGAAGTGTCTCTTCAAACCCTTTGCCCATTTTTACCTTTTAATATCTGTCTTATTAAGTTGAAAGAGTTCTTTATATATTCTGGATAACAAGTTTTATTTTTATTTTTTATTTTTTATTTTTTTTTGAGACAGAGTTTTGCTCTTGTCACCCAGGCTGGAGTGCAGTGGCACGATCTCGGTTCACTGCAGCCTCTGCCTCCTGGGTTCAAGCAATTCTTCTACCTCAGCCTCCTGAGTAGCTGGGACTACAGGTGTGTGCCACTACGCCCGGCTAATTTTTTTCTGTTTAGTAGAGACGGGGTTTCACCATTTTGGCCAGTCTAGTCTCGACCTCCTCACCTCAGGTGATCCGCCCACCTCGGCCTCCCAAAGTGCTAGGATTACAGGCATGAACCACCGTGCCCGATCAATACCAAGCCTTTATTAGATATGTTTTGTGAATATTTGTGTCTGGCCCATTCATTTATTAAAATAATTTATTTTTTAGGGAAGTTTTTCATTTTGAGGAAACCTAATTTATCAATAGTTTTAATTGCTTTTTGTGTCCGAAGAAACTTTTGTCTGTCCCCAATGTTAGATTTTTGATATATATTTATTACTTATATATTGGTATATCCATTCAAATAAATTTTACTTTGATCTTGAAGCTTTCACCCATTAGCCAGTGCTGCTCACTTAAGACTTTATGTTGATTGCAAATAAATCTAAATATCTCAACAAATAAATATAGTGTCAGTAGTTTCAGGTTTTTTTCCCCTCCTTCAAAACCTAGGATATTTTCTAGTTTTGTTGAGTATTATATTTGGAGGATGGGAAGAGATAGCAGAATTGTATTCTTCTCAGGCAAAAGGGATGGAAGTATAAATTGCTATGGGAAAACCTCAAATTCTAACATTCCTCTGTCTTCTCTATACCTGCCATCACCCACCTTCTCCTTCCTTTCACTGTTCTCTCTGATGCAAGGGGTCACTGCTTGTAGGTTTCCTGATTCCAACATTTTGGTAAAGGGTGACCATCTAGAATTGCTACTATAGCTGAAATTCTAGCTAAATTTTAAAGACCATTGGAGATTCTGGACAGTGCATGAATTTACATTATTTCCGAAGAGACCATCAGATGTAAGTACGATATGATCTATATTAATAAAGCTACTTTCACAGGCATTTTATTTAACCCTTTTCTCTGTTAGAGAAAAGCAGTATTTGTTTGGTAAAATGCTTGAGCCTAAAATCTGCTTACTTTTCAGACCTGTGTTGACAGTTGATTTAGGAAACATGAATCAGAATTGGGAGATGATCTCCAGTAGCATTATGGAAGAGTTATTTTATATTTTATTTCATTTCATTATTTTATTTTATGATAGGGTCTTGCTATTTTGCACAGGCTGGTATTGAACTTCTGGGCTCAAGGACTCCTCTCTCTTCAGCCTCCCAAGTAGCTGGGATTACAGGTGTGTGCCACTGTGCCTGGCTGGAAGAGTAATTTTAGATATCACATTATAGGTTTTATTTTTTGTTTAATTGTTTAAAAACCTTTCATGGATTTTTATTTTATTAGAGAAACAGAGAAGCAAAAATGAAAATGGAAACAAAACCAAGAATCCCTCCCAACCAGAACCAGAATGGGTGTTGTAGGTGGGATCAAGTGTACTTGGGGGCTCATCATACAGAGTCAGTAAGTGCAAATCGTTTTACAAGGATCCGGAGCCCCAATATGCAGTGAAGAATTAAAGAGTTCTGGTTGCAAAAAATCCCCACTTAATGATCTAATGTCTACAAGGTTTACCTGACCTATTTAGGAGACCTCTGGGTTGTCCAAAACAGCGATCTTCACAGGACTGAGTAATGAAGAATAATAGCTCACCCGGTTATTAGTGATAGTTTTGTTTCTATTATACTTATTGCAAATATCTTGATGTGATGTGAATAACTGTTTCCCAGTATCTCCTTTTATTTTTGGCCCTAAAGGCTAAGAATAGCACAGGGTCTTCCACTTTATCTAGAGTAGCCAATTGTGTGTCTGTGTGTATGTGTATGTTTTGTGTTGGAGATGGGTTTGGTGGTGGTGGTGGTGGAGGTGGCGGAGGTGGTGGTGGAGGAGGAGGAGATTTAAGTACTTACAGAAAACTTAGCAGTTTTTCAGTAGCTTTCTTTGAGATCTATCAAGGTTTTCTTCCTTGCCACATTTGTTAACCCAAGAGTCATATATATTCATGTTACCTGCTAAATGCCCATGTCAGGCGGTTCACATAATCAGTGGAGAAAGCTTTAAGGGAGCCAAAGATGTTTTTTAACTCCTTATGTGATGAAACATTTCTTTTGGGATCTGAGAGGCCTACTTTTAGCCTACCACTTCCACTTATGTGAGCCTTCCAATTATGTGTACTTTTGAACTCTTGAGGCAGTAATATTAAAAAGTGAAGTAAGTTTAAGGGTTAAAGATGGTTTGTTGATGAAGATCAGTGAATTGATTTTTATACCATTTTCTTTACTTTTTTTTTTTTTTTTAATTGTTACAGAAGAAGCTACTATGGAGGAAACTGGGCCAGTTTTAGCTTTTCAGGACTATTGTCCTGGCTAAAGGAATACCAGGTAAAGTTTGTATCTGACCTTTTAATTTGCTTTGTTTTATTGTATGTTACATAGTAACCCTGCACTGAAGAAAACCCTAAGCTTCACCTGTAACACAGGATTGATTCTTTATTTTTATTCACTTATTTTACAAAAAATATGTAAAGTCACCTTTTTAGCTAATATTTTCCCAATGTCTTTATCCCTTTTTAAATATAAATAGAGCTCGGGTGCGATGGCTCATGCCTGTAATTCCAGCGCTTTGGGAGGCCAAGGTGGGCGGATCACCTGATGTCAGGAGTTCGAGACCAGCCTGGCCAACATGGCGAAATCCCATTTCTACTAAAAATACAAAAATTAGCTGGGCATGGTGGCACGTGCCTGTAGTCCCAGCTACTCAGGAGGCTGAGGCAGGAGAATCACTTGAACCTGGGAGGTGGAGGTTGCAGTGAGCCGAGACTGCACCTTTGCACTCCAGCCTGGGCAACAGAGTGAGACTCTGTCTCAAAAAAAAAAAAAAAAAAAAATATGTGTGTCTATATATATATATAGAAATAGAAATGTTGGTTGAAGAGTAAACTGTTTGTACTTAATAACTATTTCCTAATTATTTATGTGCCCAAATATAAGATGATAATTTTTTCCCCAAAATCATCTTTAGAAAAAATATCCTAGTCCTTATAAAATCTCACATTTACTGGTTGCTCTTAGAGTCAGTATATTTTGAACAAAAACCTTTTTTGAAAAAAAAGAAAAAACCTAACAATTTGGGGAATATACATTAATTTGAAATGATCTCAGTGGTGATTTTGTATTTTATAGAGGTCACCTGACACAATCAGCCAAAAGAAAAAATCAAAGAAATTTAGTATGAATTAAGTAATTTTTTTTCTAAGAGTAGGATCTCAATACTAAGCTGTTGAATACCATTATAAAGAAACTGTTTAGGGATCACGTATAGCATAATATGGAGAGTCAGTTATGGAGCTTGCCAACTTTTATAAGACAGATTTAAAAAAATCTGTCCTACTCTTATGCAGATTGGTACATGTGGCTTGAAATGAAATTTCTGCTGAGAGCATCATACAGAAGATCAGAAACTGCTGTATCGCAAAAGAATTTAGATGTTTGGAAAGGAGGATGATGTAGTCCAGAAAATTGTATTCAGTTAGCTAAGACTTGTTAAGCATTTATCATGTGCCAAGCACCATTGCATTGATTGATTGATTTAATCAATGTACATGACTTAATCAGTATACATGACTCAAAAAGTGCCTCTCATGATGACAAAGACACTGATATTGAAGATGCAGTGAAAATTCAGTTTGAATATTGTTGCATGAAATGAGTATAGAGAAACAAGCAGTATTTGTAAAGTAGCATTTCATATAATAATTCAAACTGTGTAAGTCAAGAGAGTAAATAAGTAGATATTTAACTGTTTAGTCTGTGCTTAAATATTCATGTATTTACTTTGATCAGAAACTCTTTTTTGCACCTCATTTTTGGGAAGTGTATGTGAGGGTCACCTTATATTTAGGCATATTTAGTACTTCCATGAGAAAATGTAGTGTAGATTCTCAAAACAACAATAACAAAATATACCCCAATAGTCTGAATGGAAATTAAAAAAAATACATTTGGTAATGTTTATTATTTATTCAAATAAAAATGTTTTTCTTGAAGTTTAGTTTATTTTAATGATTGTTTTACTCCAGAATCTTGACCCTGCCACTGTCTTTGTCTCTCCATTCCCTTTCCCTGGTCCACAGTTCTTTTCTTAGGCTGGTAACCTCATGTCTACACATTCAAAAATCTTGTATTTCACCTTCTCTTCTACTTATGTTTGGATGTTTAGTACTATCTAATATTATACTTGATAATAAGAGCTGTATGTCACTACTTTTCTTCAGTTTAAAATGTTAAACTCAGGACAACAAAGCCTTTTAAAAATATTTATTGCCTTTATGACATTTGTAAGTTTAAAAGTTTTCTGAGATGAATTTACTTAAAAGATATTGTAATTCTATTTTCCTACTAGTTCCTTCAGTATGTATAATACAGTTTCAAAAAGTTTTCTCTGAGAAAGATGTGTATTAAACAGCTTAAAATTTTAAACAGATTAAAAATTGATCCTTGACATTTGAAAAAGGTATATCTTGACACCTTCAAAAATACTGTGTATTCAAATACTCCATAAAATATAATTAGGAATTACTGAACATTTTAACGGACCACTTTCAACCCTTAGTGAGAGTTTACATGCTTTAGTACACATTCTTGTTTTTTATTGTCTTTCTTGTTTTTTAAGGTATTCAGGGACTAATTATTATAAAGCCCTTAGTTATACTGGGCTGAATATTTTTCAGAAGTACTTTTATATGTAATCAAAATTTGATATGACTAGCGACCAACCTTCAAAGATCTGAAAATAAATAGAACGAAGTTATTTTGACTCTGCTGTTTTGACCAAAAAATGTTAAAAAAAAGGCCCTGTTTTTATTAATAAGTAATGTATATAACAGATATACTTGATTCTCAGCAGATAGAGGGTTAGTTGTCCTAGTTCTTAAGCAATGTCCAAACAGCCATGTCCGAATGACTTTTTCAAAATTTCATATACCCTGACAGAAATCTGTAAATCAGATCTAGTTTTTGATAGTACAGATTTTACACATTGTTTTTCTCCCCTTCCTTTGAAGTTGAAACACTTGTTGGACTTTCTTTGGTGACTCTGAGGTGATATCCTTTGAGTTTTGGTAAGATGAAATAAGCATGAATTTAGACAAGAGGTAAATTTTCTCAGAAAATTGCATGTTTCACACTGCCCACTTTGATTAAAACTTCTTATCTGTGTTTTGTTTAGGAAAACAGTGACATTGTAAGTGACAGTCCAGTGTGGCAAGACCAGATCCTTGAAAATGAAGAAGCCATTGCTCTTAGCAGGAAGGACAAAACTATTCAACATGTGGAAGTATTTTGTTATGCCAGGTATGAAAAGTATTTACTGCAGGTAAACTAAATTAATGACTTTTTCACTCTTCTTTAGAAGAAGCCAACAATAAAGATTTATGTGGCATTGGTTGCTACAAGTCACGTTAATATGCTGGTTTTGCCTGTTTTTAAATGGAACTTTCAGTTGTCTCTGTTTAGGTAATAATGATAACATTTTACCTTAACGCCTCCGAATTTACCAAGCCGTTTTAAATATATTATCTCATTTGATCATTAAAACAATTCTTTGCTAGGGTAGGGCAGATAGTAGTATTAATAGTTGGATTTTTTTTACAGAATCCTCAATGGAACTTAAGGAGATTAAGTAGTTGCAGAAGGTCACGTGGCTTGGTAAACGGCAGGGCCACACTTAAGCTCCAGAGTGGTAGAGCTCAAGATTAAATTCCAGAGTTTTTCCTAGTGCTCCAGTGTTCTTCCAACTATATCATCTTTCTTAGATAATACTCAGTGTAGCAAAATGGAAGATTATCATTTTTGAATACGTAAATTTTGTGGGCATAATATTTGGGTACATATTTTGGTAAATTAGGATAGAACAGTTGGAAGTAATGTTTTAAGTATCTCCCTCTGAGTGAGAGATTCACTGTTTAAAAACAATTGGATTAGTATACTTTTTCAAATGATATATGATTGACAGGTTAAAAGGTAATAATCACATAGTTAAGCCATTCAAGTAGTTATAGAGTCCAGAGGCTTAGAACATCAGTCTGTCAGGCACTTTAATAGTAATTAAAACTTAAAATTCAATACACCAGAGATTCTTCAGGATACGCTTTGTCATCTTACATATCATTGTTGTGGCAGAGTGTTAAGCATGAGCCTGTGAAAAGTTTGGTAACATGTGCTTGACTTCTTAACCTATGTTCATATCTTCCATGTAAGTAGCATTCTTTCCCCATAATATACTGTTTGTGTTCTGTGATTTTCTGTAAAAGCACAGCCTTTGAAATGTCTGGTATAGATTATAATTTGTATAATGCTAAATACCATTTGGTATGAAAAGGTACAGCTCACTAGATATTCTTCAGAGCCAGTGCTGAAAGATTTAAAACGGAAGATGATTTCAACTGAAAAGACATATGCTTTAACGAAATGAGGAATAAATATTTGGTAACTTTCTTACGTGCTTTTGTGTGCCCATGAATATTATATTACTTGACTACAATATAGTGACAGTCACACTGGCCTTCTGAGAGGTATTATACTTTTGTTACTTCAAGGCCACTGATTACTTTTTATGATAATTGAGGTTAATAGTTTCTAATGGCTGAGTTGATACATTTTGAGTGCAAAGAAAATTATCTCATTTTCAGTTCCTGATCTCTTCAGTTTCGTTTGTATAACTTCTCAAAGTGAGAAACTAAATGGTTGTTGGTGGAAGGTTTGTTTGAAGACAACGAAATAGAACTCTGTTATATGTTCCTCTTGCCAGTTAGAGCGTGGAGCATAAAGTGAACTGGGATAATGTTTTATATGTCTTAATTCACTTGGAAAAGTTAGCTGGTTATTAATGTCATAGTAGTAAGCAGGAAAAGCCTTGAGAACATCAGGAAAGTAGAGAAAGTACAGAAAATCCATTTGTAAGGGCTATCTATAGTAAGTGCTGGCAACATGGGTAAATAGGACTAACAATATCTCACTTAGCCCCAGCAAGACTGGCATCCTTAATCTTTTGGATCATGTTCACAAACTTGAAATTATATGAAAGGGGCTAGGGCCAAAATAGTTGTCACAAAGTTTTACATTATACAGGAGGTTATCATCAGCACTCACTGACTTAAAAGCCTTATTTATTTAATACATATTTCTGACAACCTCATTTTCTTTCTGTGTGTGTGTGTGTGTGTGTGTGTGTGTGTGTGTGTGTTTGTGTGTGTTTTCCCCCTAGCATTGTAGTTTAAAGCAGCAAATAGGAAAGGGGTATCTGCTAGAGGCAAGCAAACTGAGAACCACATGGAGACTAGGGTTATAGTCCTTGACTTGCTATGTGATACTGAGCAAGGGATGTCTCTATTTTGAGTCTATGTTTTGCCATTAATGAAACGTGTTTGGAAGGGTTTGGACTAGGCGATCTCAGAAGTCTCTCTGGGCTCTAACATGCTACTATTTTTTTTTTTTTGAGACGGAGTCTCACTCTGCTACCCAAGCTGGAGTGCAGTGGTGCGTGGTCTCTGCTCACTGCAAGCTCCGCCTCCCAGGTTCATGCCATTCTCCTGCCTCAGCCTCCCGAGTAGCTGGGACTGCAGGCGCCTGCCACCACACCCGGCTAATTTTTTGTATTTTTAGTAGAGACAGGGTTTCACCGTGTTAGGCAGGATGGTCTCGATCTCCTGACCTCGTGATCCACCTGCCTCGGCCTCCCAAAGTGCTGGGATTACAGGCGTGAGCCACTGCGCCCGGCTCTAACATGCTACTATTTTAAGTGCTGCTTGGTAGAATAATAAAGGAGAAGACAGCATCGGCAAGCTGAAAGCAGACTTTGGGCCATTTAGTGTATGGGTAAGTGGCTTTTCATATCAGAAGATCCCTCAAGGCCGTCACTATATTATAGTACAGTGTAACAGCTGATGATCACAGTTGTATTCCAGTGTCTTCAGGCAAAAGTTAAATAATGTTCTTTATCCTCCACTTGAAAAAGTAGAGGATTTGAAGTACGTTTTAGAAAGATGAGTATTAAAAATGATTAGAATAAAAATTGTACCCTTTTAAGAGACGAGGTTTTGTTATCTAGAAAATTCTCTTATTTCCTCTTGAGTAAGTAAGAGTATCACTATATAGTAGATCTTTAACATTCTTAAAGGATACATTGCAAAATCTTCATGCATACCCTTTTGTAAATAATGAAAAATATGGTACAGGTTTCTGGCTTTTTGTCGTTGCTTTTTGAAACATATGTGTTAGTGATGCTAATGTTACATTTTGCAGATATGGAGTTTGTGTGTATTTAGTTCCATACAATTTTATCACATTTGTGGGTTCATGTATTCACTGTCACAGTCAAGTTACAGAGCAGAACAGTTCTATCACCACAAGGACCCCTACTATTATTTTTCTGTAAGCACATCTGATCTACTTCTTACTCACCCCTACCATTCATAACTCCTGACAATCACTAATCTGTTTTCCAGCTCTATAATCTTGTCATTTTAAGAATATTATGTAAATGGAACTGTATAGTATGTAATGTTTTGGCATGGGCTTTTTTTTACTCAGCATAATTCCCTGGAGATTCATCCAGGTTGTTGTGTACATCAGTAGTTTGTTCATTTTTCATCACTGAATAGTATTCCACAGTAATGGGTTTACCACAGTTTGTTTAATCATTCACCCATTGAGAAACATCTTACTGTTTCTAGTTTTTGCTATTACAAATAAAGCTGTTATGCAATTTTGTGCATTGGTTTTCATGTGACTTTCTCTGGGATAAAAGTTTTCATTTCTCTGGGATAAATACCCAAGTGTATAATTGCTGGGTCATATGGTAATTGCATATTTAGTTTTAAAAGAAACTGCAGAGCTGTTTCAGAGGAGCTGTACTATTTTACATTCCCACCAGAAATGTGTAAGTAATCCAATTTCTCCACATACTTACCTTAATTTGGTGTTGTCACTTTCTTATTTTAGCCATTTTGATGGCTCATTTTGAATATTTTTTCATGTTCTCTTATTTGCCATCCATATACCATTTTTGGTGAAGTGTCTGTTCATGTCTTTTGCTTGTTTTTAAAATTGGAGTAGTTTTTTACTGTTGAGTTTTCAGAGTTAAAAAAAATCCATTCTAAATATGTGTCCTTTGTCAGATATGTGGTTGGAGAATATTTTCCCCATGACTCTAGCTTGTCTTTTCATCCTCTTTAAATAGGATATTTTGCAGAGCAAATATTTTTAATCTTGATGAGGTCTAATTTATCAATTATTATTATTTTGATTATTTTGATTATTTTGGTGTGAAGTCTAAGAACTTTTTGCCTACCTATAGGTATAGATTTTCTCTTTTTTTTTTAATTATAGTTTTATGTTGTACGTTTAGATCAGTGTTCTTTTTTGTTTTTCGATCTAAGGATATCCAATTGCTTCAACACCATTTATTGAAAAGGCTATTCTTCCTCCATTGAATTACTTTTATACCTTGGTCAAAAATCAGTTGATTGTACTTGGATGGGTCTATTTTGAGGTTCTTTATTCTGTTCGATCTATATGTTTTTTCCTCCACCAATACCACATTATCTTTATTACTGAAGCTATGTGATAGGCTTTACTATCAGATAAATTCCTCCCAATTTATTTTTCCTTGTCAAGATTGTTTTAGATATTCTAGAGTTTGTGCCTTTCCATATAAATGTTTAAATAAGCTTGTCTATGTCTAAAGAAAAATCTTGCTGAGATTTTGATAACAATTACTTTAATACTATAGTTTGGGAGGATTGACCTCTTTATTATTTTGAGTCTTCCAATCTATGAACATGGTATGTCTCTCTACTTATGAAGCTCATCTTTGATTTTCTTCAATAGAATTTTGTAATTTTCAGCATACTGATCCTGTACATGTTTTACTAATTGCATACCTAAATATTTAATTTTCTTTGGAACAATTATAAATGGTATTGTCTTTTTAATTTTGGTTTTCACATATTCATTGCTACTATCTAGCAATGCACTTGCCTTTTATGTTTTGATTTTGGATATTTCTTGAAATCTTGCTGAATTTACTTCCCAGTTCTGGAAGCTTTTTTGTAGATTGCTTGGGATTTTCTACCTAGATAATTATGTGTACAGTAAAGAGGAAAAGTTTTATGCCTTTCTTTTCACTGGCTGCTTTTTTGTTTGTTGGTTTGGTTTTGTTTTTAAGAATCTATTTTCTCTTGTGAGTCATGTGTTTTCCATCCACAGCCATATGGCAACAGGTTAATTGTGTTTTCTACTTATCCTTAGGCTCACTTAATAAGCCCTACTTTGTTCTTTTTTCCCAGAAAGGAAGTTCTCATCACTTCCTGAGGACATTTTAATTATATGCTAATGCTGGGCAATCATGTCTCTCATTTGCTGAATATATTGTTCTTGCACATGGTGTCTCAGCATATGCAATTCAAATCCATAATCTGGCCAAATGACAAATTACCAAAAGTATTACCCTTAAATGATCATTCATGCCAAGAGTTTACTGTATTTGCTTGTATCAAGCAAGTAAATAGATATAAGTCAAACTTGAATCATTGGTGCACTATATATGTGGGATATTGTTTTAAATGTTTTTGTAAATTTCCAAAACATCATGTAAAAATTACTTTATAATGATATGAAGGCTAAAATATTATGACATGTCTTGTCACTTTAGACCAGATGACTTAGCTTATTTATAGAGTTGGTGTATATTAGGGTAGAATCTATGGTTTGATTTCTTTCTTTCTTTCTTTTTTTTTTTTTTTTTTTTTTTTTTTTTTTGTCGAGACAGAGTCTCACTGTGTCACCACACTGGAGTGCAGTGGCGTGATCTCGGTTCATTGCAACCTCTGCCTCCCGGGTTCAGGTGATTCTCCTGCCTCAGCCTCCCGAGTAGCTGGGACTACAGGCACGTGCCACCATGCGCAGCTAATTTTTGTATTTTTAGTAGAGACTGGGTTTCACCATGTTGGCCAAGATGGTTTCGATCTCTTGACCTCATGATCTGCACGTCTTGGCCTCCCAAAGTGCTGGGATTACAGGCATGAGCCACCGCGCCCGGCCTATGGTTTGATTTTCATATATGCCACTTGATTATTTAACATTAAGGAAGAGTAAAATGTGTATTTCTTGGTTATAAACAATGTCATAGCCATACCGATGAGAGGTGACAGCGTGCTGGCAGTCCTCAGAGCCCTCGCTTGCTCTCGGCGCCTCCTCTGCCTGGGTTCCCACTTTGGCGGCACTTGAGGAGCCCTTCGGCCCGCCGCTGCACTGTGGGAGCCCCTTTCTGGGCTGGCAAGGCCAGAGCTGGCTCCCTCAGCTTGCAGGGAGGTGTCGAGGGAGAGGCACGAGCGGGAACTGGGGCTGCGCGTGGCGCTTGCGGGCCAGCTGGAGTTCCGGGTGGGCGTGGGCTTGGCGGGCCCCGCACTCGGAGCGGCCGGCCAGCCCTGCCGGCCCCGGGCAGTGAGGGGCTTAGCACCCGGGCCAGTGGCTGCGGAGGGTGTACTGGGTCCCCCAGCAGTGCCAGCCCACCGGCGCTGTGGTCAATTTCTCACCGGGCCTTAGCTGCCTTCCCACGGGGCAGGCCTCGGGACTGCAGCCCGCCATGCCTGAGCCTTCCCCCGCCACCGTGGGTTCCTGTGCAGCCCGAGCCTCCCCGACAAATGCCGCCCCCTGCTCCACGGCGCCCAGTCCCATCAACCGCCCAAGGGCTGAGGAGTGTGAGCGCATGGCGCGGGACTGGCAGGCAGCTCCACCTGCAGCCCTGGTGCGGGATCCACTGGGTGAAGCCAGCTGGGCTCCTGAGTCTGGTGGGGACGTGGAGAGTCTTTATATCTAGCTCAGGGATTGTAAATACACCAATCAGCACCCTGTGTCTAGCTCAGGGTTTGTGAGTGCACCAATCGACACTCTGTATCTAGCTGCTGTGGTGGGGCCTTGGAGAACCTTTATGTCTAGCTCAGGGATTGTAAACACACCAGTCAGCACCCTGTGTTTAGCTCAAGGTTTGTGAGTGCACCAATCGACACTCTGTATCTAGCTGCTCTGGTGGGGCCTTGGAGAACCTTTGTGTCTAGCTCAGGGATTGTAAATACACCAATTGGCACTCTGTATCTAGCTCAAGGTTTGTAAACACACCAATCAGCACCCTGTGTTTCGCTCAAGGTTTGTGAATGCACCAATCGACACTCTGTATCTAGCTGCTCTGGTGGGGCCTTGGAGAACCTTTGTATCTATACTCTGTATCTAACTAATCTGATGGGGATGTGGAGAACCTTTATATCTAGCTCAGGGATTGTAAACGCACCAATCAGCACCCTGTCAAAACAGACCACTTGGCTCTACCAATCAGCGGGATGTGGGTGGGGCCAGATAAGACAATAAAAGCAGGCTGCCCAGCCAGCAGTGGCAACCAGCTCCGGTCCCCTTCCACACTGTGGAGGCTTTGCTCTTTTGCTCTTTGCAATAAATCTTGCTGCTGCTCGGTCTTTAGGTCCACGCTGCTTTTATGAGCTGTAACACTCACCGCGAAGATCTGCAGCTTCACTCCTGCGCCCACCGAGACCACAAGCCCACCGGGAGGAACGAACAACTCCAGACGCTCTGCCTTAAGAGCTGTAACATTCACCGCGAAGGTCTGCAGCTTCACTCCTGAGCCAGCGAGACCACGAACCCACCAGAAGGAAGAAACTCCGAACACATCTGAACATCAGAAGGAACAAACTCCAGACGTGCCACCTTAAGAGCTGTAACACTCACCGCGCGGGTCCGCGGCTTCATTCTTTAAGTCAGTGAGACCAAGAACCCACCAATTCCGGACACACCGATAGCATTCTAATATTTTACATTTGATTGCAAGGAGGACTAGGCGAGAATTCAAATGGATTAGTGCAAACCCATTACCACTGCTTGGAAAATACGTCAAAGTATTTGGGCAATATAATTCTAATATATGTATTCTAATATAAATATATAGGGTGTATTTATATATTATGTATTCTAATATAAATATATAGGATAGTTATTTTTTGATTACCATGACTTATTTAAAAAGTATTCTGAAGTATTATTCAACTTAAAGGTTTTCATGATCATTTCAACATTAAATTTAATACGTTGGGTATTGCAAAACAGGCTAAAGACTAAAATGTAAATTGTAGTAATTATTCTATCATAGGCTAGGTTCAAACATCATAGACTGTAAAGAACTATCCAGATTGTTTTATCAGAGCTTTGTTTTCCTGATTCTTCCTTACAATAAGTGGGCTACTTAATATTTTGGACCTAAAATATTTTTGCTACACAAAGATTGTTTTTCATTGAAGTGATTTTTTGTGATTACACAATCGAGTTATGGAAGGGAAATGAAAAAGGACTAGTGTTTATTGGATATTATCTTTGTGGCAACTGCTGTAACCTGTTGCTTTACATATTAATTTCATTTATTCTGTGCAGCAGTCATGTGCATGAGCTATAGGTACATCTTACTGACAAACAGAAGCTCAAGGAATGCTAGAGATAGCAGAGCCAAATTTGAACTTGTGTTTTTCTAACTCAAAAACGTGTGCTATTTCCAGTGTATCATGTTGTATTTCAGTCATCAGGTAAACACATGTATGCACATCAAGGGAACCAACCGTTCCACCAAGTGAATTAAGTATTTCCTTTGTGAAGACTAGCACCTAAGAAAGTGCATTTACTTCTTTAATTTACTGGAATACTATATAGTATTGTAATGTAGTTATATCTGTAATGAGAAATTAAAGTGCCTAACTCCCAGTGTTAGGAAGCTATGGGAAGAATCCAATATTCTTTAGTTGTTGAGACCAGTTTATATGCCATGGGATTTTTTAAATTGATACATAATAATTGTATATATTCATGGGATACAATATGTTTTGGTACATATAAACATTGTAGAATGATCAAATTAGGCTAATTAGCATATCCATCACCTTAAACCTTTATTATTTTTTGTGAGAACATTCAGAATCATCTCTTTTAGCTATTTGAAATATGCAATGCATTATTGTTAGCTATACTCACCTTACTGTGTGATAGAGTACCAGAATGTATTCCTCCTACCTAACTGTAACATTATACCCATTGACCAACCTCTCCTCATCTTCCCCTCCCTCCTGTTCTCCCCAGTCTCTGGTAACCACTATCAAGTTTTTTAGATTTCACATATGAGTGAGATCATTCAGTATTTTTCTTTCTGTTCTCAGCTTATTTCACTTAATATAATGTTCTCCAGGCTCATCCATGTTGTCACAAATGACAGGATTTAATTTTTTTTATGGCTGTGCAGTATTCTATTGTGTATATATGCCACATTTTCCTTGTTAATTCATTTGTTGATGGGCATTTAAGTTGATTCCATATTTTCGCAATTGTGAATAGTGCTCCAATAAACATGGG
Organism: Homo sapiens; assembly: GCF_000001405.40. Lineage (NCBI taxonomy): Eukaryota > Metazoa > Chordata > Mammalia > Primates > Hominidae > Homo > Homo sapiens. The sequence continues at coordinate 85,969,658 of NC_000023.11, read as the reverse complement.
AGTGCAGATGTCTCTTCAACCTACTGATTTCATTTCCTTTGGCTATATACCCAGTAGTGAGGGTGAAGATTGCTGGATCATATGATAGATTTATTTTTAATTTTTTGAGGAACTTCTGTACTGTTTTCCATAATGGCTGTACTGATTTGCATTCCTACCAACAGTGTGTGAGAGTTCTTCTTTCTTACCATGTAATAGTTTCATAGTTTATGTGGGGAAATAAAAGTAGCTATTGTTTCTAGTTTTAGATCTTGAACAGACTATAAAAAGGTGCAATATATTAATTCACACTTAAATCACACAAACTCAAGTTATTCTTAGGTAAAATATCGTTGCTTGTTAATTGCATAAAGTCATCTAGTTTCTTTAGTGAGAAGAGATTTTATCTTTCTAAAATATTAACAATAGCTTTATACATTTTCTGTCCTATTTTCTGCATTGTACTGAACGTTGTTTCCCTTTTTCTGGTATAATATTAAAGCAGGATGAAAACTTATTTGTTACCTTCAAATGAACCAACTCTAATGTATTCATACCAAAAATAAAGATTTTTTTGCAATAGGAATCTAAAATTCTACTGATTTATTTTGAATTCTTAAATTTCCACTTAAAAATTATACAAGCAACAGGAGCTTCTCGAACACTAATACTTCTAATTTAGATGAAGCGAATACAAATAAAATGTAAAATCACCTGTAATTTTTACAGTTTAGAGGAAATTACTCATCACTGTCTACAGTTAAGTGTGTTTTAGGCCAGAATTGAAACACTGCCCAACTAAATGTGGTTTAAACAAGTCCATAGGTAAGTGGGTGGGTGGGTAGGTAGAGGATTTGTAATTGTGCTGCTTCAGCCCATCAGAGCCCTGGGGCAGCACTCCACACTTCTCTTAGCCTTCCATTTGGAGTTACAAGATGTTTGCCAGGATTTCAAAGAGGTTCTCACATAAGAAAAAAACTTCTAAACATGAGGAAAAGGGGAAGAGGTTTTCTTAACATGTTTATGCTTTTTTATTTTACTGGAAAGTCTTCAACAAGGGCCCCCAGCAGACTCATCATTATCTTATTGGCTGAAACTGGATAATGTACTCACTTCTAAATCAAACACCAGCAAAGGGAGGTAAAATTATCATAATTGGTTTTGATCTGTCATGATCCATCCCCAAGGACTGAGCAGCTTCTCTCTAATATTGGAACAAAATTGGAGCTCTTAAAGCAAAGAGAAAAAGGGTATTTGTTGTTGAGTAGACAACCAACAGTCCTGCTGCACACCATTTTATGAAGTTTTGTTCTTGGGTAAACATGACAAGAGGTTGACATTTCACCTGTATTCTATAGTATGTGTTAACGTTTTAGGTTGGTAACAAACTGGGAAATATATATCTACCAATGTATCATATTGCAGCAATTCAAAATTGATTTCACTTTTTATATTGCTATTTTGTAGAACAACAATTTCTGAATAGTCTGATTTTTGTAATTCTTATGAATAGCCATTAAACATTTATTTTAGGAATAAACAGCTGGGTAGCAGTATAATATATACTGTGAAAATCAGAAATAAATGGCCTTAGAACAAAGTATAAACATCAAAGTAAAAGAATACAATGTCTGCAGCAAGTCGTATTGGGTAAGAGAAGGTGCAAATGGCTGAAAAATAAATGGTGAACACCTGTGCTGAATAAATTAAACACCTGTTCCTCAGTTTTTCATTTGATTCCTCTAAAAGGCTGTTACAAGGTATTCATAAGACACATTTACTTTGAGGTGTTTCTTTGTTATTACTATTAATTGGGAAGCAGTACTAGATGATATCAGAATATATACCTCCAAACTCTCAGAGTAGTATATGAATTTTGGCAATTAGTGAAAAATGCATTTACAAAAAGCAGTGTTAAGCAGTTTTTATTAAGAAAAATTATCTAAAAAATATTGTTACATTATAAATGACCTTTGGAATTAAAGCTAGCAATGTAAATGACACTAAATTTAATTTGTGAAATCAATTTTGATAGTGAACATTTTTATAAGAACTAATGATGCAGATTGTTTTCCTTTAGATAAACAGTCTGCAGCTTAAGATGGTTCGACTTAATGATTTTTCAACTTTGTAATGGTTTTATTGGGGTATTAAATGCACTTTGTCTTACTATATTGGGTTTATCAGGACGTAACCCCATCATAAGTCGAGGAGCACCTGTGTATGTTAAAATCATTGTAATATCTTAGAACTCCAAGGTTCATTTGAAGGCTTATAATGCAGCTACATTGTTTTGTAATTGGTAAATGTGTTTTTATAGTTTTCAAACACTTTTAAATTAGTAGAATTGAACTATTACTGGATTCTGAGGTTTTCTCTGAAAGGTTGAATATCTTTTTAAGAAAATGTCTTTTACCACAGTATAAAGTTTTAAATTTGGGGAAAGATAACCCTTTTAGATGAACAGAATTTTGCTTTCTGAGGATGTCAGTGGAGTTTTAGGAGCTTTTGGGTGTCTTTATATTTTCTCATTAGGTATTAACTTCAACCTTGGCAGAACTCCAAAAATACTGTGGTTGTTTTTAATGGAAAGTGAGGACAGTGTTGTGTTTTTATTGCTTGTGTTTTCCGTAGTGCTAGGAATCTCACCAAATTATAATGTTGAGAACAGTAAAACGATAGTTTATTGATGTAGAAAAAATTTCCGAAGAATAATTTCTTCTCTTCGCTTATACCTTTAATTAAGTATTTTGACTTATATCTTCCAGGTTGTCCAGTACTGGTTAATGTATTTCATTCACTCTATAGGGCCCCCATCACAGAATGTAATAGAGAACCACTGACTAGATCATTTGCTATGCTCAGTTTTCACAGTGTCATCATCATAGTCTGTAATAAGAGAAGTTGCCATATTTTGTCTTATCTGTAAAGTGTAATTAATTATCCTTTCTTAAAATTAAAGGCATGGAACTTTTGCTTTAAGAGTTAGGCATGGAACTTTTACTGAAAAACAAAAAATTAGGTGTGGAACTTTTGCTGAAAATTGTCCCCTTAGATCCCTCATGTAACACACTTTAGTTTTGTTGGTTTTCAAGATAATAAAAGTGAATAAGAGTGTGAACAATTCTGTAGAAAATATATAAATCACCTTTCATATTATGACTCTTCATTCTTAATGCTGTTAATAGCGATGCTATTATGTGCTTATATGGCCAATGGGCTTTTGTCATGTGAATGCAGAAAACCTAGGTATACAGGTTTTGAGTTGACTGTTGAGCTGTGGGCAGTTTAACAATATCTTATTTTTGAGTAGTTTTTTTTTTTTTTTTTTAGACGGAGTTTTGCTCTTGTTGCCCAGGCTGGAGTGCAATGGGACGATCTTGGCTCACTGCTACCTCCGCCTCCTGGGTTCAAGTGATTCTCTGGCCTCAGCCTCCCAAGTAGCTGAGATTACAGGTGCCCATCACCACGCCCAGCTAATTTTTGCATTTTAGTAGAGACTAGGTTTCACCATGTTGGTCAGGCTGGTCTTGAACTCTTGACCTCAAGTGATCCACCCACCTCGGCCTACCACAGTGCTGGGATTACAGGTGTAAGCCACCGTGCCCGGCCTGATTAGTATCTTATCTTTGATTAACCTTTTAGAGTTTATAAACTACTTTTCATATATGTTAGCTTCCTTATCTCACAACAGTTTCATAAAAGGTAAGGCAAATGGACTGATCCCCATTTTATATGTGGTGAATCAGAGAGATTAAATGACTTGCCAAGTGTTTCCTAAGTGATAAATCTAGGATAGAACAAAGTGGGTGTTTTCCTCACTTTGGTTTCCTAGATCTCAAAAATATTCATGTAACATTAATGATATCAATTTGTTTCTTCACTAGATTTTATTAGAATTACTATAACAGTAAATATGGCATTTTATTTCTTGACATTTGAGTGTTATTCTATCATTGTCCCTCATTTTTTTTTGTAGTGTTCATTGTGTTATTTTTAATAAGGCACTTCTTTTTTTCACTTAACTCGGACTTTCTAATTTACAATACCGTGTTTTTTTCTTGGCCTTATTTTTTGTGTTTTTTGCAACAAGTTTGTTTCGCATTTGAAACAAAAATAGTCTGCACGTATAAACCATTATTAATTAAGCATTTATTGGATACCACATCTATGGAGCAGTGTGGTAGGTGTCGTGAGGGGCACAGAAGGAGCGGTGCTAAGGTATTCCCTCAAGGAATTACAGTCTGATTTGGAAGATAAAGGATATACTGGAAAACTAAAGGACTATTAAAAAGGAATGGATAAATACATGCAAGGTAAACTGCATATGTGTATTATGGGAGCATGGTATAATAGAGTGATGAGTGTAATTGGAGTAAGGAAGACTAATTGGAAGTTAAATTTAAACTTTTTCTTAAAGTAGTTTGCTAAAGTATGTGATTATGTTTGAGAATGGAAGAATTGTGATATTATGCAGAGTGGGAAGAAAAGGACAGAAGAAACAAATGATATGAACCAAACTGTCATGATTTGACAATTAGAATTGATAAATTCGGAGTTAGAGATGCCATGTTGGAAAGTAGGTGGAGATGAAACCAGAAGATTAGTAAATAAGGAAGGTGGTTTGGTTTAGAGACAGGAAAAGGAAGATTTTTTTGTGGGGTATTTGATATAAGGAAGGGCTACTGTTAGGGCTACTGTTAGTCAACTAGCAGATTTTTACTTGCCAAGACCAATCACATACAAGGCATTCTGCCAGGTATTGAGCAGTGTGGCAACTCAGTGAAAATAGTGGGTTCTGTGGAGGATAAAATATCACAGAAATTCATAAAGCAGGCAGACTGAATGGGAGCCTGTTCTATAAATCAAGACAATGGTGGACTGAGAATGTTAGCTCCAATAATAAATTTGGAAATGGGGCTTCGACTAGAGTAATAGACATCAGTACTAAAATAGGCAGGAAATTATACAGAAAGGTCCTATTAGATACCACATTGTGATAGGCCAACTTAATCTTTTCAAGGCAGATATTTTTCCCTTTATTGAAGGTCTTCTGTCGTATCACCAAGTCAGGAATTCCTCAGTAATAATCATCTTTGATAACTACCACTGTTGAGTATTTACTATGTCCCAGGCACTGTGTCAGGCTCTTTGCATGCAGTACTTAATTTAATCTTCAAAACAACCTTGTGGTAGGTGGTATTATCTCTGTGTCATAGATGGGTAATTTAGGTGGTCTCAGAGAGGGTAATTTAGGTAATTACCTAAATTGAGGGTAATTTAGGTGGTCTCAGAGAGGATACATAAGTATCTAAGTTCGCAGAGCTTACTAGTCATATGGTCAGGGTTTGAACCAAGATCTGTTATTCTGAAGACTGTGTTCTTCATCACTGTGGTAATTTGCTTCCAATACAGTTCCCCTGTCTGTCTTAAATTCTCAAAAATGTGCATGTGACATGAAATCTTTATATCTTTCAAATCTTAATTTTGTTTCATATTTTACTGAAACATTAACAGATGAATGTTTAATGTCTGAGTCACATAAGCAAAACGTACACTGAACTTGATAAAAGGGGTAAGGGAATATATATATAAAGCCTGGTGTTTATTATTATATTTCTTATTAGTCAGGATTTGCATGAAGATGTCGAAGAAGCTGGTGCACTGCAGAAAAATCATGCTCTTGTGACATCTGCAAACTCCACAGAAGCTGCAGATTCTGCCTTCCTGCCTACGGAGGATGAGTCATTAAGCACTATGAGCTGTGAAATGCTCACAGAACAAACTCCAAGCAGCGATCCAGAGAATGCGCTAGAAGTAAATGGTGCTGAAGTGACAGGGGAAAAAGAAAACCATTGTGATGATAAAACTTGTGTGCCATCAACTTCAGCAGAAGACATGAGTGAAAATGTGCCTATAGCAGAAGATACCACAGAGCAACCAAAGAAAAACAGAATTACTTACTCACAAATTATTAAAGAAGGCAGGAGATTTAATATTGATTTAGTATCAAAGGTAAGTACTAATTTTACCCATCTTTGCATTGAAAACAGTATCTGGGCCCATAAACCCAGTTTTTGTAATTCTCTGAGATGCAGAACATTTGTTTTGTAAAGAGATAGTAGCCAGATGTTTGTAATTCATTTAAAATATTCCTTAAGTACAAATTAAAAACATATTTAAAGTGCTCACATGAAAATGCTTTAATTATGTTTTTAATCTATACCTGAAGAATACTTTTGTGCTTGAGCACATACTACAACCTAATATTCTCTGGACACTATGAATTCTATCAAAAGAAAAATTCTAATGAACCTGTTTAGAAATCCATGTTATTTACAGTCAATTTCCATCGATTCTTTTAGCCTTTATGTATAGTAACTATTTTCACAACTGTATGATGATGAATACTCAGAATAAACCAATGAATTTTTAAAAATCGTGTTCACATGGACACAGCGAGGGGAACATCACACACCAGGGCCTGTCGGGGTTGGGGGTTAGGGAAGGGATAGCATTAGGAGAAATACTTATGTAGATGATGGGTATGTAGATGACGGGTATGTAGATGACGGGTTGATGGGTGCAGCAAAACACCATGGCGTGTGTATACCTATGTAACAAATCTGCACTTTCTGCACATGTATCCCAGAACTTAAAGTATAATTTAAGAAAAAAGTCTCAAAAAAATCATGTGTTCAGGTTTGAAAGCTTCAGAGGAAAATTTAATAGTGATGGAGGCAGGAAGGCTGGGAAGAAAGCTATTGTCTTCGGTTATGTTCCTGAACATAACTAACTTGAATGTTAGTTCACTGTAACTTCACAGGAGGTCCCTCCATCTTAGAAGCGTACAATATTGCATTTGGTTTATAGGAAGCAAGACTATTTTTAGTGCAAAAGAATAGAAAATCAGTAAGATAAAGGATTATGGCCTTAAAGGGTCATGATACAGGACAGGGTAAAAGTAGAGAAAAACAGACTAAATCCTATAAGTTGAGAGCTAACAATAAGTAATTGAAAAGAAGTAGGAGAGGATAGTGAATAGCACAAGACTTGCCACAGAACTAGCACAGAACTAGGCTTTTCAATTTAATGTACTTTCTTCAAGTTCCAAGTGATAGGGGACAGAGAGGGACCAAAACATTTCCCTTGACAAGTTGTTTCTGCAAATCCCATATCCTCATACTCTTGCTCCCTTTGAACTTGATGCCTGAAAATATAAATATCTTTTTACTACCCATTTTTCTTTCTGTCTGTCATGTAGCACTCTGTGTCTGATTTTGCATAGTTGGCTATTGCATTGGTTCTACTTCATACTTCCGTACTATCTCTCCCACCTCCATCTACTTTGACCCTGTCATGATTTGAAATCTAGCATTTTTTCCACATTACCTTGGCTGTTCATCTGTGGATGGAAGTTTAATCCTAGCTCACTAATAACCTTCCTGGTCCCATGAGCAGTACTCTATGAAATAGGTTAAACAAAACATAAAAACTGAACAAGTCAAATAACAAATGGGCTTTGTGTGACAATTCCATTTTGAAGTAATTACTTGGAATTTGGAATGTTTTACCTAAATAAATGATGATATAAATGTGGTTAAGAATCAAGGCTATTTCATAAAAGTCTGTAACTTTTATGTTAGCTGAAATTTAGTATATATCTTGCAAAGGGAAATGGTAGAAGACGGTGCTGTTTCAATTGTAGGAATTGGTGTAGAAAATTATTCAGTTGTATAAGAAAATGAATGCTGGTTGTGGGAGGAAAAAGACAATTGAATTAGAAGTTGACACATTTGAAGATACCCTGAAGGAGACTTCTGGGTATTTTCATCGGTTTGAATGGTTAGTAATAACCAGTTCTCTTATGGTAAGTAAAAACCAAACATGTCTAGAGGCAGTGGACTAGGCAGTTGGGACTGCGTCCTGCAGAGTTTCATGGGTTCATACGTTCTACAAAATAACTAATAAACATTTAATGTACTCATTTTCAAAACCAGAAGTATCTTAATCACATATAACCATAGTAATACAGGAGATTAATTTTCCGTTTTTAAAATGTTAAGTCATTTAATACATATTCAGTGCATGCTAGATGGAAAGCAATGTATTCCATGTTATTGGGGCAATTGGTCACTCCTTAGAAATTTTATCTGTTCTAATAATTGCAGTTAATAAACGTCTAAGTTTAGGATGATTGCCAAATATCTATCTTAAAGCCCTAAAGCCCTACCTCCTTTTTTTTTTTTTTTTTTTTTTTTGAGACAGAGTCTTGCTCTGTTGCCAGGCTGGAGTGCAGTGGCGCCATCTCTGCTCACTGCAACCTCCGTCTCCTGGGTTCAAGTGATTCTCCTGCCTCAGCCCCCTGAGTAGCTAGGACTACAGGCGCGTGCCACTATGCCTGGCTAATTTTTGTATTTTTAGTAGAGATGGGGTTTCACCATGTTGGCCAGGATGGTCTCGATCTCTTGACCCCGTGACCTGCCTGCCTTGGCCCTCCAAAGTACTGGGATTACAGGCGTGAGCCACCGTGCTCGTCCAAAGACCTACCTCTTTTCTAAAGTCCAACTCAGTATCTCCAAACTAGTTGACATTTCTATATGCGTTCAACCTCAAAGACATCATGATATAATTAAATACTGTGGGGCTTTACAGTTGACAATACACATTCATGTATATAGCCTTTTAAAAAGTAATAGCTCAAGGTAGGTTAGTTAAATAAAATACGTATAGTGTCATACTGCTCAGACTAATAGAGAAGGTCAAAGATGAAATTCTTAAAATGAAAGCTCATTTCTAAGTAAGTCCATACTCTTAATAATTATGGAACCAACATGCTAAGGAAAAATTGTTAATTAATAAATCTAATTTCCATTATTGTAATCAAATTGCACTGCTCTTTAGCCCCTCATCACTGTGGTAGATCGCTTAGAGGGTAGTGAAAAAGAGGCTTAGGCTGAGCGTGGTGGCTCAGTCCTGTAATCCCAGCACTTTGGGAGGCTGAAGCGGGCGGATCACCTAAGGTCAGGAGTTCGAGACCAGCCTGACCAACATGGTGAAACCCTGTGTGCTACTAAAAATACAAAAAATTAGCTGGGCGTGGCATTGCATTCCTGTAATGCCAGCTACTCGGGAGGCTGAGGCAGGAGAATCGCTTGAACCTAGGAGACAGAGGTTGCAGTGAGCTGAGATTGAGCCACTGCACTCCAGCCTGAGCAGCAGAGAGACTCTGTCTCAATAAAAAAAAAAGAAAAAGAGGCTTAGATTCTGATATGTACACATTTATTATTTGTGAGCTTCAGAAACAAAAATCTAGTATAATTTTAATTGAAATTTGTTTTTGTTCTTGTGATATCTTAAATGCATTATTTTTCAAGCTGGCATTAAACCTTAAGGTTTATTGGATCTTATTAAATAAAAATGCAGTTTCATATTTTATATCTTAATGTTTGTGACATTATTATGGCTATGCAGGGATCCTTGAGTCTCAAATGTGTATCTTTTTAAACAAGTGATTTTTGAAGTAACTATTTTTTATCATTATTATAGAGTTAAGAATTGGCAATATATTCTTTAAAACATGGTCTCTTTCAGTAATGTAGTGTGTTAGGAAGAGGGTAATGAAGTAACGTGCCATATTTAATCAGGATGATCAGATTAGCTTCAAAAAAGTGATGTCAATTTTGTTTTGCAGAATGCTGAACTATTAGTTTATAAAATTTTACTTGAATGGTATTGATTTACTGATAGTCTTTACTGACTTATTAGTTGCTCAGACTAATGGTTTAGATTGATTTTTGAGATTCCTTTTTCTTTGTATAGTAAAGCTAATTTTCCCATTTATTTATTATAGATGTAACATTCATTTTTAATATTTATTGAGTTATAGGCATTAAGAGTATCTTAATATAGGAAATAGTCAAATCTGTTGCATTTAACCATACGGTTAACATGCTAGATAATACTGTTTACATTATTGATTTTATCTCTCTGATATTACTTATGAGATGTTGAAAGATTAAATCAATTTCTCCCATACATGCCAGCAATAATCATCATCTTCACTTTTTGAGAAAGACATATCTCATATAAACCCAGACTTCTAGAATTACAGAAGTACCTTATAATTTGACTTTTTCAGTGTAAATGCATCACAAATATTTTTTTCTTTTTTTGATGGGGTAGGGAGGTTCACTGGACTGATTTCTTCTTATAACTACCTGGCTTTGTGTAAGACTATAGATTCTTATCCAAAACCCTCAGGGCCTGGTGTATTCTATCATTAAGATTAAAAAAATATATTTTAGAAAGTAATGAAGTACATATACTGATATGTTATATGTTAGGTTAAATTATTAGCAGGGTCTGAGGAGGAACTCTAACTAAACACATTATTTCTGCAGTGAAATATATGAATATTTATGTTAATTTGGACAAACAAAGCCAGAGTGCCTTATCAGTATGGATCAGGTTTTGCTGCTAAACATGTTTTGTAAAAACTTATGGATTGCAAAGTTTTTTGAATTTTGAATTTCAGCTAATCAATTCTGAGCCTGTAATAGATTGTGTTATGTATTATAATATTTATAGGTATGATTGTTTCTACAAATAATAAAAAATATAGCAAAATTATGTATCTTTATTGTTTTCCAATTTTTCTACTATTTCAACTTTTATCTTGTAAAATATTTTCTTTGTACAGCTGCTGTATTCTCGAGGATTACTAATTGATCTTCTAATCAAATCTAATGTTAGTCGATATGCAGAGTTTAAAAATATTACCAGGATTCTTGCATTTCGAGAAGGACGAGTGGAACAGGTACTGTGCTGATCAAGAATTGTAACTGGGCATCAGCTTAAGTTATTATGGTTTGTTTTGGAAAGATAAGCAAATAAGATTGTTATTTTCCTCATAAAGCAGTAAATTCCAGTCCTCCGTGGTGATTTACAAATGTAAATGCTTAATTAAAATTTCTAGTGCTAATTTTCTCATGGCTTACTCTGCAGCTTGGTGTTGGTACCAAGCAGCACACAAAAAACCAAAAAGCACACCAGAGTTACTATACCCAAGACTAGTCACACAAATCCTTTTCTCCCATTAATCAAGATTTTGGAGAGGGAAAAGAAAGAAACGGTGATTTTTGCTGTCCACTTGATCAGATTCCACACAGAGGAGGAGGCCCGGAGCCTGGTTGGGAAAAAATTCTTACCCTTATGACAGCTGATCAGATCCTGGGTTCTTCACTGCAGCTTCCAGAAGAGCAGAGCTTTGCTATCCTGCTCACAGCACCAAAACTGTAGGGGCCAAGGGAAACACTCCCTCTTAAGCCTCTGAAGTTTCACTGAAAAATCAACTCACAAAGGCAGATTAATTGGAGAAAAGGCATAAAAATGTACTAACATGTACATAGGGAGAACCACAGTGTTTGTTTTAGATAGCACTGCTAAATTTTTCTCTGTTAGGATGACATGCCGTTGGCCTTTTAATGGCATGGGGAGTAACTTGGCAGAATTAAGTAAGAAAGCTCACAATTAGCTCTGAAGTTAGCAGAGATGCCATTAGTACTGATGGACGGTGATGTGAAAAAGCCTGGCTAGAGTGGAAACGATAATCCTGTTATATGTAAAGGGGAAAAAAGTGTAATTTGGAATAGTTATATCATTAGGAAGCAGTTTCTTAACTTAAAATCATAATATTTTTCAGGTTCCGTGTTCCAGAGCAGATGTCTTTAATAGCAAACAACTTACTATGGTAGAAAAGCGAATGCTAATGAAATTTCTTACATTTTGTATGGAATATGAGAAATATCCTGATGAATATAAAGGTATTTTTTTCATTAAGTAGTGCTCTCCAATTATTTGACATTTCTTACTATTTTAATATGCTTGCTCTGATTTAGTGAGCCACTTATTACTGTTTTAAAATGCATTCTAACTCTGCACTATCAATAGGTTAGCCATTAGTAACATTTAGCTATTTAAATTTAAATTAATTAAAGTGAAATAAAATAAAATAAATTCAGTTTCTCAGTCTTATTAGCTGTATTTCAAGGGCTCCCATAGCCCCATGTGGCTACAGTGCAGATATTTTCATTGCTGAAGTGGCATGCTAGATTTTAATTTTTATTCTTATTATTTAAATACTACTGTCAACTGGCTCTTCATAGATGATAATCTGTTTTCATGATTCCATTATTTTTTCTCATAAGTAAAAATACTATATATTTTATCATTTTCCAGGATTGCTTTTGCATAGAATCTTGAACTATTTCGTTTGAAAAAAAAAGGCTAGATGGTATATGGGGAAAAATACTGGATTCAGAAAAGGCATGGTTTCTATTCTTGGCTTTGACCTATTTCATTATGTGATCTGGGGCCAGTTACTTCATTGTCTGTTAAAAATTGAATATGCCATTTTAGTGTCAGAGCTATATACTTTAAGTCCATTGGTCTGAAAATGTTATCCAAAATTGGAATATACTATTGATAATTTATTTATAAAGTTACAATGAGAAGTGCAGCGATATTTTTTTTCCTCTGTGAAATAATGAAAGTCTAATCCTTGCTCTTAAAGCTTCAAGTCTACTAGGTACTGTCATGTTGTTATCCACAGTGGCTGTGTAAAATTCAATTCTCTCAGTAAATTTTCATAATTTTTATTTATGTAAATTATTTCTGTAAAGTTTTTGTCTTTTATCATGGGATTTATTTCCCACCACTAACAGTCCAATTACATTATATTCTGTTCTTGGTTTAAAGGAGTAACTTCTGGGGGTCCCGTATGTTTTGATGTGATTATGTGGCCATAAGACTGATTCCAGTAGCCACATGGAAATTCATTTCATTATTTTTTAGTTTATTTTCTGAGTATCAGTGAGAAGTATACGTTTTACAAAACTCACATATTTATCATTTTAAATCAATACATTCCCATGTTGTCATAGTTGTTTAATATTTTCAGTACCATTATTGGCATTATCCTGCAGGTTTCATGATAATAAAGTGAGATTATTGCCAACTATGACAACCCATTGAGTTATTTAATATTTTCTAGTTTTTTTTAAATCCATGAAATGCTCAATCATAATTCATCATTTAAAGCTAAAAATTGTGCCATTACTCCAAATAAGAGAGAGAGATTGTTTCCATTTTTTCCTAAGATCAACCATCAGTGTCCAAAATGTAATACCACCTATGTCCTTTGTGAGGTCTGTGAAACACACTTCATCTCCTTTTTGTGGGGTGGTTTTAAATAGAAGTTTAGTTCTGATTTTAAGTGATAAAATTTCATCTTTTCATAGGATATGAAGAGATCACATTTTATGAATATTTAAAGACTCAAAAATTAACCCCCAACCTCCAATATATTGTCATGCATTCAATTGCAATGACATCAGAGACAGCCAGCAGCACCATAGATGGTCTCAAAGCTACCAAAAACTTTCTTCACTGTCTTGGGCGGTATGGCAACACTCCATTTTTGTTTCCTTTATATGGCCAAGGAGAACTCCCCCAGTGTTTCTGCAGGTAAGTTTGCCATTGATTTTCTTGTCCCTTCTAAAAGTGATACTTGAATAACAGATGAAAATTAGGCAGGCAAAAATGAGATTTATTCAAGATTTAGTATATGCAAATATATACTTTATTCTATTTATTTTTTATAATCTATTTACCTACCTATCTACCCACCTAAGTGATATATTCAGTGTGGCCTCTTTTTGAGCTTGATAAAAATACTATAAATTCCTTTTTCCACTCAATAGCATGATGGAAAGTATTGTCATTGCATATAATTTTAGTTAATTTTTTATTACTATATAGTATGTTATTGTGAATACACCACAATCTATTTTTTCATTTTTCTGTTGATGAACACAGGATGTTTCCAGTTTTTTGAGGTTAACACCCTTGTGTATGTTTCAAGTTGTGTATGTTCAAGAATTTCTCTCGGAAACATATCTAGGGGTGGAATTCCCCAGTCCTGAGATACATGAATGTTAACACTTTACAACATCGTGTTCAGTTATTTCTCTAGAGGGCTGTACCAATTATAACCTTTTAGCCGTACATAAGAATACCCAAAGCTTTACATGTTTGCCAACATTTAAAATTTTTTTGTCAACCTAACTCACATAAATTATCATTGCATTGGATTTTTATTTTTCATTTCCCTAATTACCTATGAAGTTGAACCTTTTCTCATATGTTTACTGGCCATTCATGTTTTATCTTCAGGGAATACTTGTTTGTGTCTTTTTTTGTTTGTTTTACACATTTTTAAAAATTTTTATTTTTTGTGGGTACATAGGAGGCATATGTGTTTGTGGGGTACATGAGATAGTTTAATACAGGCATGCAAAGTGTAATCCATCATGGTAAATGGAGTATCCATCCCTTCACACATTTATCCTTTGTGTTGAAAACAATCCAATTATACTCTTCATTTTAACATGTACAATTAAATCATTATTGACTGTAGTCACTCTGTTGTAATATCAAACACTAGATTTTATTCATTCTTTCTAACTACGTTTTGTACCTATTAACCATTCCTACTTATCCGCTGCCCCCTCAAAACCCGCCCCAGGCTCTGATAACCATCCTTTTACTCTCTGTCTCCATATGTTTAATTGTTTTAATTTTTAGCTCCCGCAAGTAAGTGAGGATATGCATTGTTTGTCTTTCTGTGGCTGGCTTATTTCACTTAATATAATGACCTCCAGTTTCATCCATGTTGTCATGTTGTTGCAAATGTCAGGGTCTCATTCTTTTGTTTTTTTTTTTTTGGGAGATGGAGTCTTGCTCTGTCACCCAGGGTGGAGTGCAGTGGTGTGATCTCGGCTCACTGCAACCTCTGCCACCCAGGTTCAAGTGATTCTCCTGCCTCAGTCTCCTGAGTAGCTGGGATTACAGGCACGTGCCACCACACCTGGCTAATTTTTGTATTTTTAGTAGTGATGGAGTTTCAGCATCTTGGCCAGGCTAGTCTTGAACTCCCGACTTTGTGATCCACCCATCTCAGCCTCCCAAAGTGCTGGTATTACAGGCGTGAGCCACCATGCCCAGCCAGGATCTCGTTCTTTTTATGGCTGAGTATTACTCCAAGGTGTAACTGTACTACATTTTCTTTATCCATTTATCTGTTGCTGGGCACTTAGGTTGCTTCCAAATCTTGGTTATTGTGAACAGTGCTGCGACAAATGTGGTATGTAGATATCCCTTTGATACACTGATTTCCTTTCTTTTGGGTATATACCTAGCAGTGGGATTGCTAGATCGTATGGTAGCTCTATTTTTACTTTTCTGAGGAACTTCCAAACTGTTCTCCACAGTGGTTGTACTAATTAACACTCCCACCCACAGTGTTCAAGGGTTCCCTTTTCTCCGTATCTTTGCCAGCATTTGCTAGTGTCTTTCTTTTGAATAAAAGTTATTTTAACTGGGGTAATAAAATATCTCATTGTAATTTTGATGTGCATTTCTCTGATGATCAGTGATGTTGAACACCTTTTTATATGTCTCCTTGTCATTTGTATGTCTTCTTTTGAAAAATGTCTATTCAGATCTTTTGCCCAATTTTTAGTCATATCATTAGATTTTTTTCCTGTAGAGTTGTTTGAGCTACTTATATATTCTGGTCATTAATTCCTTGTTAGACGGGTAGTTTGCAGATATTCTCTTTCATTCTGTGGGTTGTCTTTTCACTTTGTTTATGGTTTCTTTTGCTGTGCAGAAACTTTTTAACTTCATGTGTTCCCGTTTGTCCATTTTTGCTTTAGTCGCCTGTGCTTGTGGGGCATTGCTTAAGAAATCTTTGCCCAGACCAGTGTCTTGGAGGTTTTCTCCGATGTTTTCTTGTAGTAGTTTCAAAGTTTGAGGCATTAGATTTAATTCTTTAATCCATTTTGATTTGCTTTTTATATACTGCAAAAGATAGGGGTCTAGTTTCATTTTTCTGCATACAGATATCCAGTTACCCCAACACCCTTTATGGAAAAGACTGTCTTTTACCCAGTGTATATTCTTGGCACCTTTGTCAAAAATGAGTTCACTGTAGGTGTGTGGATTTGTTTCTGGGTTCTCTATTCTGTTTTTTTGGTTTATGTGTCTGTTTTTATGCCAGTACCATGCTGTTTTGGTGACTATAGTTCTGTAGTATAATTTGAAATAAGGTAATGTGATTCCTCCAGTTTTATTATTTTTGCTCAGGATAGCTTTGGCTATTCTGGGTCTTTTGTGTCTCTATATACATTTTAGGATTTTTTTTATTTCTCTGAAGAATGCCATAGATATTTTGATATAGATTGCATTAAATCTGTAGATTGCTTAGCATAGTATGGACATTTTAACAATATTGATTCTTCCAGTTCATGAACATGGAATAGTTTTCCATTTCTTTGTGTCCTCTTCAATATCTTTCATCAGTGTTTTATAGATTTCATTGTAGGAATCGTACACTTCTTTGATTAAGCTAATTCCTAGGTATTTAATTGCATTTGTGGGTATTCTAATTGAGATTACTTTTTAAAATTTCTCTTTTGGATTCTTCAGTGTTGACATATAGAAATGCTATTAATTTTGTATGTTGATTTTATACCCTGCAACTTTACTAAATTTGTCAGTCTAATAGGTTTTTGATGGGGTCTTTAGGATTCTCCAAATATAAAATTATATCATCTGCAAACAAGGATAATTTGACTTCTCTCAGCCTCTCCCAGTGGCCACCACAGCCACTGGTCAACTGGGAGTTCTGCCAGGCCACCCCTGATGTTCACTTAAACCCCAAGTACCCTTCAGTAAGCTTGTGTTGAATGCTTCCAGGCCTGGGCCTTACCCTTCATGGCAGTGGGCTCCCCTCTGGCCGAGGGTAGGTCCAGAAAGGCTTTCTAAGAGCCTAGGCCTCGACTTGAGTTCCCAAGAGCCTGCTTGGTGCTCTGCACCCCTGTGTCTGAGTTGGTGTTTAACACACAACACAAAGTCCCCTTTACTTTTCTCTCTGCTTTTCTCAAACAGAAGTCTTTTGCCATAGATACCACAGCTGGGAATGTACTGGGTCTCACCTGAAGCCAGCATGTCTCAGAATCTCACCCAAGGCTCACGGCATACTACCTGGGTATTACTGTTGATTATTTTGTAGCCAAGGGCTTTTAACTAGCAAGTGATGAGCCCTGCCAGGATTGGGTCCTTCCTTTGAAGGCAATGGGTTCCCTTATCGTCCATGGTATGTCTAGAAATGTTTTCTGGGAGTTAGGGTCTAGAATGGTGGCCTCATGACTCTGCCTGGTGTCCTATCTTATTGTGGCTGAGCTGCTATCCAAGATGAAAGACAAAGTCCTTTTACTCTTTGCTCTCCTCTTCTCAAGCAGAAGGAATTAGACACCTTCGTTGCTGTGAGCTGCATGGCCTAGGGTTTGGGGAGGGGTGGCACAAGCACTCCCTTAGCTGCCCAGGCTGTTTCTCCCTAGGTCATGTGCTGCCCTAGTCCATGGGCTCTAAGCCCAGCCTAGCATTAGCACTTGCCTGGGAATTACAGTCCTTGTGTCCTAGATTGCCTTTCAAGTTTACCTAGAACTCCAGAGCACTTTAGCCCATTGTGACAAGGCTTGCTGAGACACTCGAGTTCCAGCTGCTGGGATGGGCCATTCCTTTCTTGCTAGGGCTGGTCCAAATGTTCTCTCAGTGCCACCTGAGCCTAGCATAGCTTTGCTCTCCACTGACAGGGCAGCACCAAGTTCAATGCTACATCCCCCAGTTGCTATGCTCTCACTCCCTCAAATGCATAGATTTCTCTTTCCACACCATGTGGCCACTGCCGTGGAATTGGGGAGGGTTGGCATTGACCATTCAAGACTGTCTTCAGTGCCTCCTTCAGTGATAGGAAGTTGCAGCCTGGTACTGTGATTGCTTACCTGATTTTTGCTTCTTATGATGGTTCTTTTTTTGTGTGTAGTTAGTTGTTAAAATTCCGCATTCCTGTGGGAGGGATGATCACTAGAGGCATCTATTTGACCATCTTGCTCCACCCTCTCATTGTTGACTTTTGCCCATTTGTCTATTGGGTTGTTGTCTTATTGATTTGTAGGAGTTTTAAAATATATTCTGATTAGTGATCTTTTTTCAGTTATATGTGTTGGATGTATTTTGTCTTATGGTTTTTATGATACATAAAGGTCATGAAGATTAATATAGTCAAATAGAGCAATCTTTTTTTTTTATGCTTAGCTTTTTTTGGGAGGTCATTTAGTATACCTGAAGTATAGAGACAAGACTGCTTAGATTTAAGTCCTGACTTTTCTGTTTATTATCCATGTAACTTTGGGCAAGTTTTACGACCTCTCTCTGTTTTTCAGGAATCAAATTTGGGATTTTTTTATTCAGTTGTAGCTTTGTGTCCTAATTCATTATTTTCTGCTCTTTATTATCTCCTTTGTTTTGCTTTCTCTGGATTATATTTAGATCATCTCTCCCCTCCCCTGCCCTTGGCAATTATTAGGCTGAAGTTCCGTGAATTAAGTATTCATCTTTTAAATATTTTTTAATATAAGCATTTAAGAATAGTTCCTCTAGTTTACATCTACTGGTGGCAAATGCTTTCTAGTTGTGTGTATCTGAAAATAACTTTTTCTTCTTTTTTCTCTTGAGTGGAAGTTTACTGAGTAAACAATGCTAGGCTGACAATTTTTGTTAATACTTTAAAATTTTATTCCATTGTCATTTGTGTTCCATTTTTGCCACTGAAAAGTTCAGTGTCAGCCTACTTTGTCATTTTTTATTATGACAAGTTACAAAGATATCTTTTTTTCTCTCACATTGTTTTTAATATAGTTTGTCTTTTGTATTCTATATTTTTACTACAGTGAATCTTAGGTGTTAATTTCTTTGTCTTTATCTTGCTTAGTATAGGTTGAACCATATGAAATTAACATTATTCAACCATTTTAGACCTACATTATCCTATGGTTCAACTAAATACATTGTGCTTTTTCTGTCTGTAAATTTATGTTTATTGTTTTGGAAATTTATCAGCCAATATCTTTATAAGTATTGTTTTTTCTTCCTTTTCTCTTCTCGCCTTTTTGGAACCCTAAGTAGGTAAGTTTTAGAACTTAGCATTCTCTCTTCTGTATCTCTCAATATCTTTTTCATATTTGCTATCTTCTTGTCTTTCTGGCTGCATTCTGGGTACCTAATTAAGATCTGTATTCCAGCATATTGATTCTCTTCACCTGTAACCCATTCATTTTCTTTCTTCAATATTATCTTTCATTTTTAGAAATTCTACTCACCATCTTCTCTGTCATTCTTGATTTTTTTTACTTGTTCATTTTTGAAATTATTTATTCATTTCATATATAGATATTTTACATTCTCTTTCTGATAACTCTAATATTTAAACTTCATAACGATATAATATTGCCGTGTATTGTTTCTACTGATTCATCTCAGTGATTTGTGTGTGTGTGTGTGTGTGTGCAATGCTTTTCCTTAGCTGAGAGTTTATATTTGATTGATTTTAATCTGGGGACCCAAATTGGGAGTGCCTTTCTTCAGGGATTATTTGTGTTTGCTTCATCCTCACGGCACTACAGAATTAGGATCATTTTAGTTCCCTTTGGGGGTCGTCACTTAATAATGCAATACAACCTCCACATAGTGATACCATTACAAGATATATATATATATATATATATATATATATATTTAATTTCAGTGTTTATTGCTCAAAGCTTTTATTTCAGGTTAGGGTTTGTATTGTATGTACATGGGGATCAGTGTTTCCCATGGACATTCCCCTTCCTTCAGTGTCATTGGTTCAATAACAATTATTTCATCCAAGACCTAGTTTTGGTATTAACTGGAAGTGTCTTCACAGTATCTAGTTCAGTTTACTACTGGAAGTAGGTATTCTCAAATTTACATTACCTAAATATGTGATTTTATGACTTTAGGTGGGAACGTTATAAATTTGGAAGTCACTTATTTCCGAATATGATGGATCTGTGTATTTCTAGACAAGCTCTTCCTCTTCTGATTACTTGTCAAAGTAGGAATAAATGGGGAGTGCCATGTCCCCCAGGAACCAAAGGTCCTTCTATCAACTTAATACAAGCGGGGGAGTTCTATGGTTTTCTTAGTTACTCTTTCCCTCTTCCTGTGTCATTGCCTGATTCAAAGGAGACACACCATGTTTCCTCTTATGTTGCCACTTGCTACTCACTCCTGTGGAGCTTAGGGTAAGGAACAGAAACAGAATGAACAGATCACTGGGAAGTGATCTAAAGCTCACTGGCCTCCTTACTAGTGTTTTACAAAAATGGAATGTTTAGCCCTATTTCTCTTTTTTCCACTAAATCCCTCTATTTCTAATTCATACATTAAAAAATGCATTTTGTTTTTATTTCTTTTGAAGGGAAAAGACATTTACAAGTTTTGTTTGTCATGTACAGATATAAAATTTCAGAATGTGATCTTATGTATTGAATCTTAGACAAAGAAAACATTTTTCTCCAAAGATGGTTGTAACCTTAAGGCTGAGATTTGTCAGCCTTACATATATTTTTATTATCTGCAGAGCCTACATGTGGCTCAGATTGAATGTTTTTTATAAAAATTATACCTCATCCTGCCGGGTGCGGTGGCTCATGCCTGTAATCCCAGCACTTTGGGGTTAAATATATTAAACTTCTGGGTAATTCTCTTGAGTTCTTACATTTTATATACAAGAGTCTGTCTGTGAATTATAATAAACATGCATTTCCTTGACCTACAGATATTAACTTTTAGTTTTATATTAGATTCTCTTCATAATGCTTTATAATTCCATATAAATATTGTTTTATTTTTATCCTAAAGTAGTAACACTATTACCATCTATACATCATAGCCTACACTTTTTATCACCAGGTTATCAGAATAAGGTATCACCTGTTCTGTGATTTCTAACCACCATTCTATATTCTGTTTTAATATAAGCCTCTTAAGCATTTCTCACAGCCAGTTACAGCATGTTCTCATCAAGGCTACTATTATAAATGGTATGCATGCATATTTATGTGAAGGATTCAAAGACACTTGGAAGTCATATCCTTGCATTCTAAATGATTTCTGCATGTGACATTTTAACTACTAGAGATAACTTTCATGAATAAATGTCCTTTGAGGCTTTTATCAATTTAAATAGGTAGATTTTTTTTTGGTAAAGAAAATGAAACATATTTATGTTGCTACCTAGTATCCATTAATATGTCAAGATACAATAATTGGAGCATATTGGAAGAAAAGTCATTAAAACCTATATATTTTTCTAGTCTAGCAAGCTTTACAGTTTTCCCTAATGTAAATTAATTGGTTGATACATTTTCTGGCACATTGCACAGGATATATATGCAGTTTATAGACTTTAAAACGCTCACAATATATTTTCCAAACAGAAGTCCTTTTTAAGCCTTAACTGACCTATTTGTTTATTTGTGTGGTTGGTAACATAGTAGCCTTTATAACTACATTCTAGTTTGGAATAAGTTTTATATACTACGTCAGGTATTTATAACCTGTTAATTGGAGCAGTATCAGTGGGAACAAACTTCACATTTTTTTTTTATGTGTAGATGTGAACTGCCCAGAGATTGTTACTTAATTTTGTTAAAGGAGGGCATTTAACTGTCAACCTTCTAGATAATTCAGCCTTTCATTATTCTGTGGCCTAGATTTGATCTAATTTTTTCCTTTAATGTGGTAGAATTGCTAAAAGATGAAGGATGAATATGTTTCACTTGTAGCTTGTGGTATAAATTTATGTATGTAAATAAATCATGTAAATTATCACCACCAAACACGTTTTTACCAATTGTTGAACCTCAGATGAAATTTTCCTGACTGTTGTATGTGGAAAATTGAAGATGTGAGATTTATAGGAAATTGTGTAACACAAGCTGATCTCTAGCTTATAGCTTTCATTTATTTATTTATTTTTAACTTTTAGTTTCAGGGGTAGATGTGCAGGCTCTTTGTTCTATAGATAAATTGCTGTGTGTAGTAGGCCATTCTTGCATTTCTATAAAGAAATACCTGAGACTGGGTAATTTATAATGAAAAGAGGCGTAATTGGCTCATGGTTCTGCAGGATTTACAGGGAGCATGGTACTGGCATCTGCTCAACTTCTGGGAAGGCCTCAAGAAGCTTACAATCATGATGGAAGGCGAAAGGGCAGCAGACATGTCACATGACCAGAGCAGGAGCAAGATAGAGGGAGGTGCCACACACTTTTTAACAGCCAGAACTCATGAGAACTCACTCATTATCATGAGGGCAGCACCAAGGTGATGGTGCTAAACCATTCATGAGAAATTCACCTCCATGATACAGTCACCTCCAAATAGGCTTCACACCTCCAATACTGGGAACTACAATTCAATATGATATTTGGGTAGGGACAAATGTACAAACTTATTCTGTCCCTGGCCCTTCCCAAATCTCATTTCCTTATCACGTTTCAAAATACAAGCATCCCTTTTCAATAATCCCCACCAAAATCTTAACTCATTCCAGCATTAACTCAAAATTCCCAAGTCTCAAATTCAAATTCTTTTCTGGAAATGAGTTCCTTCCACCTCTGGGCCTATAAAATCAAAACAAGTTATTTACTTCCAAGATACAATGGGGGTTTAAGTATTGGGTAAACATTTCCATTCCAAAAGGGAGAGATTGTCCAAAAAAGGGGGGCTACAGGCCCCATTCAAGTCCTGTAAGGAGTGGGCTCCCAAGGCCTTGGGCAGCTCTGCCCCTGTGGCTTTGTAGAGTTCAGCCCCTGTGGCTGCTCTCACAGGTTGTTGAGTGCCTGTGGCTTTTTCAGGTGCAGGGTGCAAGCTGCCTGTGCCTCTACCATTCTGGGGCCTGGAGTATTGTGGCTCCCTTCCCACAGCTCCATTATGCAGTGCCTCAGTAGGGACTCTGCATGGGGCCTCCGACCCCACATTTTCCCTATGTACTGTCCTAATACAGGTTCTCTGTGGTGGTTCCATCTGTGCAGTGGGTTTCTGCCTGGACACCCAAGCTTTCCCATATATTCTCTGAAATCCCGGTGGAGGCTGCCAAGCCCCTTCCACTCTTATACTCTGTGTGCCTGGAGTCTTAACACAATATGGAAGCCACCAAGGCTTATGGCTTACACCCTCTGAAGTAGCGACCAGAGCCAAACCTGAGGTCATCTGAGCTGAGGCTGGAGCTGAAGTGGCCTGGATATGGGGAGCATGTTGTGCAGGGAAGCAGGGCCCTGGGCCTGGCTCCCGAAACCATTTCTTTCTAGCCCACAGGACCTGTGATGGGAGGGGCTGCCTCGAAGTTCTCTGAAATGCCTTCTAAGCCTTTTTCCCATTGTCTTGGCTGTTAGTACTTGGCTCCTTTTTAGTTATGCACATTTCTCTAGAAAGAGGTTGCTTTGCAGCTCACTTTGATTCTTCTCCTAAAAATGGGCTTTTCTTTTCTACCACACGGCCAGGCTACAAGTTTTCTAAACTTTTACACTCTGCTTTCCCATTAAATATAAGTTCCAACTTAAGTCATTTATTTGCTCCCTCATTGAGCATAGGCTATTAGAAGCAGCCAGGTCACATCTGGAATGCTTTGCTGCTTAGAAATTTCTTTAACCAGATACCCTAAATCATCACTCTCAAGTCAAGCTTCCACAGATCCCCCGGACATGAACAGAACGCAGCCAAGGTCTTTGCTTAGGCATAACATGGGTGGCCTTTGCTCCAGTTCCCAATAAGTTCCTCTTTTCCATCTGAGTCCTCCTCAGCCTGGACTTCATTGTCCATATAACTGTCAGCATTTTGATCAGAGCCATTTATCCTGTCTCTGAGAAATTTTAAACTTTCCCTCATCTTACTATCTTCTTCTGGGTCCTCTAATTTCTTCCAACCTTTGCTCATTGTGCAGTTCTAAAGTTGCTTCTGTATTTTCAGGTATCTTTATAGCAATGCCCCATTCCTCTGTACAAGTTTTCTGTATTAGTCAGTTCTTGCACTCGTATAAAGAAATACCTGACACTGGGCTATTTATAAAAATAAGAGGTTTAATTGGCTTACAGTTCTGCAGCCTTTAGGAAGGATGCAGCACCATAGGAAGCATGGTGCCGTCATCTGCTTGGCTTCTGGGGAGGCCTCAGGAAGCTTACAATTATGACAGAAGCTGAAGGTGGAGCAGGCACATCACATGGCAAGAGCAGGAACGAGAGAGAGAGAGAGAGGGAGATGCCACACATTTTTATACAACCAGATCTTGTGAGAACTCACTATAGTGAGAACAGCACCAAGAGGATGATGCTAAACCATTCATGAGAAATCCACACTCATGATTCAGTCACTTCCCACCAGGCCCTACCACCAGTACTGGGGATTACAATTCAACTTGAGATTTCGACAGGGACAAATATGTAAACTATATCACGGGGCTTTGGTGTACATATTGTTAGCCAGGTAATAAGCATAGTACCTGATAGGTAGTTTTTCTAGTTTCTCAGTCCTCACCCTTCTCCCATCCTGCACCTTCAGGTACGTCCCAGCATCTATTTTTTCCCTCTATGTGTCCATGTGTTCCTGTCATTTAGCTCCCACTTATAAGTGAGAACATGTGGCATTTGGTTTTCTCTTCCTGCGTTAGTTTGCTAAGGATAATGTCCTCCAACTCCATCCATGTTCCTGCAAAGGACATGATCTCGTTCCTTTTTATGGCTGCATAGTATTCCATGGTGTAGATGTACCACGTTTTCCTTGTCAGGTCTTCCATTGATGAGCATTTGGGTTGATTCCATATCTTTGCTATTGTAAATAGTCCTGCAGTGAACATACTGGGACATGTGTTTTTATGGTAGAATGATTTGTATTCCTTTGTGTATGTAACCAATAATGGGATTGCTAGGTCATATGGTAGTTCTGTTTTAAGTTCTTTGAGAAATCACCAAACTGCTTTTCTTAGTGGCTGAGCTAATTTACATACCCACCAGCAGTGTATAAGCTTCCCTTTTCTCTGCAGCCTCACCAGCAGCTGTCTAACTTACAGCTTTTAAAAAGAGATTTAGAGAAGGCCAAAAGTTACAAATATATAAATGGATATATGTATCTTTAAGCAGCTTGCTCAAAATTATAGGAGCAACATGGAGGGAATGGAAAAGGAATCTCCCATTTAATGAACTTATTCAGTGATGACAGGACTATGCCCAAAATGGGACAACATGCTACTGTGATTTTGTCATAACCATGGAATTTGTGCATTTATATAGACTGTAAGGTATTTTATATTGTTTTTTCTTTTCCCCCTGCTTTTAAAAATCCCCTTCTTCATTGCAGAGTCAATACATTTTACGGAGTGTTTTTTAGTTCTCTTTGGATAAATCATAAGATAAAGCATCTCTTAGACCAAAGGAACTACCTTATTTTATTCTATGATAACCATTGTGTTTTTCTACAGAGAGTTTTCAGAAATCTAAGAAACATTTCCTATCCTGGATCAACCTATTAGAAAACCAAGAGAAGTCTTAAAATTGGCCAAGGAGTATACTGTTGGAAAATTTAAAGAGTTTATATATTCAACTGCATGTGAAGTCAGAGCAACATTGAGATGGAATTTTAGTGTCTGCCCCCGATGTTGTTGCTCCTCTACCTTAACAAGTTGGAGTTAGATTATAGATGTAGATTCTTCAACAGTACATTATTTTTTTTTTCTTCCATAGTATTCTCCTTAACCTCTTTTCTTGTAAAAATCTACCTACTATTCTGGTAGCAGTACAAAAAAAATTAAAGTTGATAGAACTCTTTTATATTGTTTTGACTGGTTGTCTAATTTTTACAAATGAACAAAGTTAAGATAAAAAGGCTGAGGCTAGAAACCAGATTTTCTAATATGCATTTTTCTTGACTCACCTATTATATTTTTAAACAACTTTTTTGAAAATAATTAAGACATAATTTGCAAAAATATTGTGTTATTTTCTGGAACTTGTTATATTTGTGGTATTTCTTAATTTTTAACAACTTGTAATTTGCTATGACTTAATTATTTTCTCATTATGGATGCATATTCAGCTTCCAGAAAAAGTTGGAGAGAATACGGGGCATTCTTACAGTATTCTAGAAACATGTTCCAATTCTGTGCCCAATACAAAATGCCAGTTTAGATAAATAAAGAATTTATTTCAACTTTCTATATTTTAATTAATTGATAAAGGTAAAAGGAAAAACAAGCCATGAGCAAATTATCTCCTCCTTACCCCTATAACTTGAATTTGTGCATTCGATAAGCATTAATGCTGAGGAGCCCAGTAGCGGTTAGAATAGTTAGCATTTTTTCATGTGTCTTTTGGCTGCATAAATGTCTTCTTTTGAGAAGTGTCTGTTCATATCCTTTGCCCACTTTTTGATGGGGTTGTTTTTTTCTTGTAAATTTGTTTGAGTTCATTGTAGTTTGAGTTCATTGTAGATTCTGGATATTAGCCCTTTGTCAGATGAGTAGATTGCAAAAATTTTCTCCCATTCTGTAGGTTGCCTGTTCACTCTGATGGTAGTTTCTTTTGCTGTGCAGAAGCTCTTTAGTTTAATTAGATCTCATTTGTCAATTTATGAAGCTGGAAACCATCGTTCTCAGCAAACTATCACAAGGACAAAAAACCAAACACTGCATGTTCTCACTCATAGGTGGGAATTGAACAATGAGAACACAGGGACACAGGAAGGGGAACATCACACACCAGGGCCTGTTGAGGGGTGAGGGGAGGGGGGAGGGATAGCATTAAGAGATATACCTAATGTTAAATGATGAGTTAATGGGTGCAGCACACCAACATGGCACATGTATACATATGCAACAAACCTGCATGTTGTGCACATGTACCCTAAAACTTAAAGTATATATATATAAAAAAAAAAAAGAAAACATTGACCTGTTTCATGTCCCCATCCCCATTGGTTTCCTCCCACAGTGTCATAGAGCCACGTGATATAGCTAAATCTAGGTGCAGAAACTGACCCTGCGTCAAATGGGTAGATTTGACTAGTCCAGATGTGTGTGTGTGAAGCTCGATTATTGAATCACAACATACTATCCTTTTGCAGCACTGCAGCTGAGGAGAACTGCATTGAGATATGCGAAATGTTCTTGATCTAGCATCCATAAGACCTTGAAATTTATTTACAAAATGTTTTATGTTTCTTCATAAAAGAAGTCCATAGTTTCATCACATTTCACAGGCATCCATGACTTAAAAACAAGGATTGAGAACCGTTGTTAGGAATTTTTATTATTTTTTTAAACTCAGATAAACATTCCTTAAGACCTTATAAAAGGAAGAGGTCCTAAAGAGTGAATACAAGAGTGCTTCTGGGATTTAAAGACTTGGGGTTGGGGGTTGGGGGTTGGGGGCTAAGGGAAGGGGAAAAGTTGGAAAATGTTGCCGTTAGTACTATGATATATAGGCACCTCTTCATATAACATGCAAGCAGATGATATCTATGCCTTAGTCATATGGGACAGAAATATTATAAGTGTAGAATAGTGAATAAGAAAGTATATTTTGGAGCCAGACCAATGGGATCATCTCCTGATTCTGCTATTTATTAACTGTGTATCATTGGGCAAATTATTTAACTTCTCTGTGCTCATCATTTTTGGTGGGATAATAGTACATACCTCATAGGTTGTGAGGATTAAAATGAGCTAACATGTAGAAGAAAGTGCTTTTAATATTGCTTGCCCAAGTACTAGATAAGTGTTAGCTGTTATTACTATTACTGTTGTTACTGTGATTGTTTTTAACCATTGCTGCTGCTGCTGCTGCTGTTACAGAATGCCAGCAGGGAAAATATGAGGCAGTTAGAGACTTAGCTAGATTTAGTAATCTAAGTTAGGAATCAGCGATTTTTTTTTTCGTAAATAGACAAATATTATAGTACATAGTTTAGGTATTGCAGGCCGCGTGGTCTCCATTGAAACCTTTTGTAGCCATAGACAATATGTTAACAAATGGATATGGCTGTATTCTAAAAAATTTATTTCTAAAAATAGGTGGCAGGTTTTTCCAACTTCAGTTGAATAGTCTTTTTTTCCAAAAATTGATAATTTTAAAAAACCCCAGTATTAAGAGATTATACAGGAATGTCTCAATGCAATGCCTAGTGTATATTAGTCATGCACTAAGTATTTGATGGATTAATGAATGAATAGCAGATGATGTATAACTGAGGAAATTGTATGTTAAGGAAACGATAGAGCAGTGTTTTTCCAAGCTTTCAGGTGTGTCAGAAATTAACATTACTGAGTTCCATCTCCAGCATTTCTTACTTGTAGATCTGGGTGGAGCATGAGAATGTGAAATTTTAACAAATTCCCAGGTGTTGCTCATGCTGCTGGTCTAGGGAACACTGCTGTAGAAGAAGCAATCACAAGAATTGTTCTCTGGGCCTAATTCTAATGAACAAGAAAGAAAGGGTTTAGTTAAAATGACCAAAATCTTTTGAAGAAGCATCTGTGTCTTTATTGTAAATGTAATTTTTTTCATTTCTTTCCATTTAATTCAACAACAACTTTTTAAAGCATCTATTCTCTGCATAATACTCTTCTAGGTATAGTGGATGTACAGTATATGAAAAAGAATATGACATAGACCTTGATATCAATGTCAAGAAGCATCTAGTTAAAGACAGATGGTATGCACTTATGGACCAATTAGAGAATTAGAAAATGGATTTTATCGGGTTCCAAAATTTTCAGTAGAGGTATGAATGCATGATCAGAAGGGGCCTAAACAGTTATGACATGAAACTAATCAAAGTAGGCTGACTACTTTGCTGAAGTTATAGGAATCTCAGATTACTGTTAACCCATCCATTCTCAGAAAAGAGCAACAAGATTGGGCTCCACTCTAAGCCAATAACCATCAGTAGTCTGTTCATACCTATCTTTAACATGGTGCGTATATGTTTGAGATACTAAATTGTTTCAGAGACTCATGGTTTAGACCAGAGTTTCTCAATCTCAGCACTATTTACATTTTTTTTTTTTGCCAGGATAATTTTCTCTGTGTTGGGGAAAGGGCTGTCTTGTGCATTGTAAAATGTTAGCAACATACCTGGATTCTACCCACTAGATGCCACTACCTTCACCCAACCCACTTGTGACAGACAAAAATGTCTCTAAACATTGCCAAATGCCCTATAGAGGCAGAACCATAACCGCTTGAAAAATACTGGTTTGCTCCAACTCAGTATATATTGAATTGTTGTAGTCTTTACAATAATATGATAAATATATGATTTTCTTTCTCTTTAACAAGTAACCTCAAACTAGTTCAATGTTGAAAGGCAGTGATGTCGTTTGGCTCTGTGTCCCCACTCAAATCTCATGTCAAATTGTAATTCCCAGTGTTGGGGGAGGGACCTGGTAGGAGGTGATTGGATGAGGGCAGATTTCCCCCTTGCTGTTCTTGTGATAGTGAGTGAGTTTGTAAGACATTACAACAGTGTTTAAAAGTGTGTAGCACTTCCCCCTTTGCTCTCTCTTTCCTGCTTCGTCATGGTAAGACGTGCTTGTTCCCCATCACCTTCTGCCATGGTTGTAAAGTTTCCTGAGGCCTCCCAGCCATGCTCTCTGTATAGCCTGAAGAACTGTGAGACAGTTAAAACTCCTTCATAAATTACCCAGTCTCAGGTAGTTCTTTATAGTAGTGTGAAAATGGACTAATAGAGGCAGGAGGAATAAAATTTTCTTGCAGTCCTTTCTTTGAATCTTATTACTCATGTTTTGATTCTGTAGTCTGGCACAAAGTAAAATCTATTTAAGGAACAGGACAGTTTTAGATGTGTTGGCATTTGAACCAATGGGCTAATTTGTGAGGGTTATTTAGCAAGGTGCCAAAGCATATAGGAGATACTGAGTAGCCATTGATGAGCAAATTCTTGTATACCATATCTTAGTAGTTAGAAAAAGAATAAGAATATGGGGGGAATAATGTGCACATACGCATATCCTCCTCAATTTTATAAAGAAATAGAAGCACCATTCCACACCTTCATATTCCACCCTTAATCATTGTTAAGTTGGTTGCATGTCTTCCTACATTTTACATGCTTGTACAGGTAACTGTGTATAAATGAGTACATATATGCATACTTTAAAGAAATTTAGATGGCTGTATTGTCTGGTATGAGGATGTATATGCCATAATTTAATCACTTTCCTTGTTGGTGTAAGCATTAAAATTATGTCTTTGATATGGAAGAAATATCTCATATCTAGAAATTTTAGAAAATAACATAAGTATTATTTTTTGTTACAAGAATTAACTGAAATCCCATCACCTGTTAACAATAGCACACTGAATATTTTGGTGTATTTTCTTCTACATTTTTTAGTCCACACATTTAAAAAAGTATATAGCTTTGTGCATCACTTAACAACAGGGATACATTCTGAGAAATGCATCATTAGGTGATTCCATAGTTGTGCAAACATCATAAAGTGTTCTTACACAAACCTAGATGATACAACCTACTATATGCCTAGACTGTATGATATAGCCTATTGCTTCTTGGCTACAAACCTGTACAGCGTGTGACTGCACTGA
The DNA here is from genome assembly GCF_000001405.40 of Homo sapiens. Lineage (NCBI taxonomy): Eukaryota > Metazoa > Chordata > Mammalia > Primates > Hominidae > Homo > Homo sapiens. The sequence continues at coordinate 85,939,065 of NC_000023.11, read as the reverse complement.
ATACTGTAGGCAATTGTGTAACATAATGATAAGTATTTGTGTATCTAAACATACGTAAGCATAGGAAAGGTACAGTAAAAATACAGTATTAGAATCTTATGGGACTTTCCTCATATATGTGGTCCATTATTCTCTGAAATATTGTTATGTGGCGCATGGTTATAATCTCAATATTTTTTGTATTTGGGCATCTTCAACTATAGAATAAGCAGACTTACAGCCATCATTAAAAACACACACACACACACATATATCAGCTTAAAATAGCAACGGAAGGCTGGCTAGATTAAGAGGAGGTCTTTAAATTCAGGAGGCCTTAAACTGATATGCAATGTTTGTAATCAGTTACTTGGGTTTCAGGAATTTAGGGGGTAAATACCCTGAAATTGCATGCCAAATATTGTGCGTATAATGTGCATAGCTACATTTTTCTAGGAAGGAAGTTCATAGTGTCTCTATTAGTGTCTCAGAGGAGTGTGTGACTGCCCCCTGCAACCCCACCACCAAAAAAAAAAAAAAAAGATTAGGAACCACTGAGATATACTATCTCAATTGAGAACTGTCTTTACTAAATTAGAAGAGTAGTGTGCAGTAGATTGACAAAAAGCTTCTATCCCAAAAGTTTGAAGGTTGCTGTTTGAATAGAATTCTTATAAACTATGGAATTTTGGAGGATAAAATAAGCACAGCAACATACTTTATTTTCAGAATAATTTGTATATGATTTTAAAGACAATTTCCTCTCTAGTTGATAGTTTATATTAGCATGGAGATGATACATGATTATGTTTGTATGATCAATTATTTGTTTTTCCCTTGAGGAAAGAGTGTTTCTTGGGATAAACAGAAGGGGGTGGTGAGATAATCCATCATTTTGAAACCTGTTCTCTGGTGATGGATGGATATATTGGTAAAGTAACTCAATAATCTTCATTTTTTTCCAGGTTATTCACAGATCAGTGAACATTGTCGTTAATAAAGCAATGGAATGCTTTTGTGTCCTTGCCTGCATTATTCCTTACGTTTTGACAGAAAAATATTTCCCATTTGGGAATAACCTCTTTTAAAACTTACATTTAAGTATATTTTGTGGAGGAATTATTGTGACTCTCATGAGTATATTGGAATTACATTGGCTATATAGATTATAGAGTTTGATTTCCTTCTTTTTTAAACCTTTCCTATGGTGTGGATACAGTTTAATTTCCTTTTTTTTTTTTTTTTGAGACAGTCTTGCTCTGTTTCCCAGGCTGCAGTGCAGTGGCAGGATCTCGACTCACTGCAACCTCTGCCTCAGGGATTCAACTGATTCTCCTGCCTCAGCTTCCTGAGTAGCTGGGATTACAGGTGTGCACTACCACACCATGCTAATTTTTGTATTTTTAGTGGAGGTGGGGTTTCACCATGTTGCCCAGGCTGGTCTCGCACTCCTGACCTCAAGTGGTCTGCCCACCTCAGCCTCCCAAAGTGGTGGGATTACAGGCTTGAGACGTGAGCCACCATGCCCAGCCTGATTTTCCATTTTAATAATAGCCCCCTTCAGTGCTAACTAACTTAGATACTAGATTACCCTCATAGGTAGATACAAAACTTACCCAGTCCAGTTTTCTCTGTATGTTATATATGTATACTATTCCAGCTCTTAAAATAATTTTAATAGTTTGTATGAGAATAAAAGGTGGTTGACTCATAATAGGGCAAGGCTGATATTTGAATTAAGGCAAGTGTTTGGAGCTGAAATCTTAGTTTGATTAAACTGAAAGATAGTATTATTACACAGACTGTTTTTTTTTTTTTTTTTTTGACGGAGTCTCACTCTGTCACCAGGCTGGAGTGTAGTGGCGCAATCTTGGCTCACTGCAGCCTCCGCCTCCCGGGTTCAAGTGATTCTCCTGCCTCAGCCTCCTGAGTAGCTGGGACTACAGGCGCCCGCAACCACACCCGGCTAATTTTTTGTATTTTTAGTAGAGACGGGGTTTCACTGTGTTAGGCAGGATGGTCTTGATCTCTTGACCTCATGATCCACCTGCCTCAGCCTCCCAAAGTGCTGGGATTACAGGCGTGAGCCACTGCACCCGGCCTGCACAGACTAATTTTTTAAAGATTGTTCAAGATAATTCTTGACCCATCTCTGGAACCAGTATACTGTTACCCAGTTGTGATAGAAATAGTATGTGAAATGTGTTTATTTGCTAGCTAAATTTAAGATTGCCATTCAATAAAAAGTATAACACAAAACAAAAACAAACAAAACAAAGGCAGCCAGATCTAAGGCTTTACTTGCTGGGTTTCCGTGTGTTCTCTACTATTCCCCAGTGTAAATTTGTTTTTGTTCTAGATTAAAATAATCCAATTAATGTGATTGGTATAAATTGTAGCAAAGCTATTTATTTCTGATTCTTCATCAGTTTACCTTCTACTTTGGAAGGGAATACTCAAAAACTGAGTCTTTTTATAAAATCTTTGTTACATCTTATGAACTTTGTAAGGTTTTCCATGTGCTACAGAAGTATCAATCTCAGAAATGGGTTTTGATTCTAACTTTGTCATGTTGTTATTTAGGTGGACTTGAACATGTCATTTAAATTCCCAAAGCCTCAGTTGTCTTACCTGTATTATGGAAAAGGCCATAATCTAGTCTTACCTCCTACCTTTGGCTACTTTGAGACTTGTATGTGATAATGTAAAGAAAAGAGTGTTGAATTTTATCCCACACTAATGCAGAGTATTATTACATAAAAGTTGCATGACTTTGCGGTCTTGATGTTTAGAATGAATGTTTTGGTGATTACTGAAAGATTAATTTATATATTATAGATGATTCAGTTTATACAAACTAGATTTGGTATTAACATTTAATTATGTAATTAAATTAGCTAATAATTTATGTCTGTTGATAGATGTATTTGCTTTATAAAAGTCATCTTCATCTCTCCCATAGTTCTGAGCATATTGCCTTCTACAAAATGGGTACTCCATAATTTTTTCTTATCAAATTCTGTGTTTTACTCATACACAGTTAATTGCCTAGAACTTTGGTAGGCACATAGTAGGTGCTTAGTAAATTGACTTTTTAAAATTTAATTAGCAATTACCATAAAAAGAAATTAAATATTATGGGACAGAAACTTTTCCTTTCATGTACTAGAGAAATAATTTGTAAAAAGAACTCTGTTAGGACTGAAATAATTAATGTAGCTTTTACTCTTCCTCGTTTTTATTTCTGGATCTCTTCATGCTCCATCCTCTGCCCTCCCTCCAAATTAGGCAGTAGATTCACGCTTGCTTAATATAATAAAATAGTATGAAAGTTTTGACAAATATTTTTACAGTCATGTGCTGCATAGTGACATTTCAGTCAACAACAGACCACATATATGATGGTGTTCCTATAAGATTCTATTACTGTATTTTGACTGTACCTTTTCTATGTTGTTGAGATATGTTCAGATACACAAATACCATTGTGTTACGTTTGTCTATGGTATTCAGTACAGTCACACATTGCACAGGTTTGTAGCCTAGGAACAATAGGCTATATAGCATATAGCCTAGGCATGTCATAGGTCATGTCAGCTAGGTTTGTTAAGTACACTCTATGATGGTCACACAACAATGAAATTGCCTAATGGTGCATTTCTCAGACCTGTTGTTAAGCGATGGATGGCTGTTGACATGGTTTAGATATTTATCTCCTCCAAATCTCATGTTGAAATTTGATCCCCCAGTGTTGGAGTTGGGACCTAGTGGGAAGTGTTAGGGACATGGGGGTGGATTCCTTATGAATGGCTTGGTGCGATCCTTGAGGTCGTAAGTGAGTTCTCACTCTATTTCACATGGAAAGTGTTAAAGAACCTGGCCTCCTCTCCTCCCTCCCTTGCTTCGTCCTCTTTTACTGTGTGACACATCTACTCCCTCTTTGCCTTCCACCATTATTGGAAACTTCCTGAAGCTCTCACCAGAAGCAGATGCTGGCACCATGTTTCTTGAACAGCCTGTGGAACTGGGAGCCAAATAAACTGCTTTATAAATTACTCAGCCTGAGGTATTCCTTTATATCAGTGCAAACAGACTAAGACAGTTTTATTTGGTAAAACTTCTCTGATTTTAATCTCACCAAATTAGAATTTATAACAAAACATTCATAACAATTTTAATGTTTTTACCTCCTACTCTGTATGTAAACAGTTTGATGATCAAATGAATACCATGAACAAGAAGGTATATTACCTTCTTATTATACCTACTCAAGAAACCAAACATTACTGGGTATATACCCAAAGGATTATAAATCATGCTGCTATAAAGACACATGGACACATATGTTTATTGTGGCACTATTCACAATAGCAAAACTTGGAACCAACCCAAATGTCCATCAGTGATAGACTGGATTAAGGAAATGTGGCACATATACACCGTGGAATACTATGCAGCCATAAAAAAGGATGAGTTCATGTCCTTTGTAGGGACATCAGTGAAGCTGGAAACCATCATTCTGAGCAAACTATCGCAAGGACAGAAAACCAAACACCACATGTTCTCACTCATAGGTGGGAATTGAGCAATGAGAACACTTGGACACAGGATGGACACAGGATGGGGAACATCACACCAGGACCTGTCATGGGGTGGGGGGAGGGGGGAGGGATAACATTAGGAGAAATACCTAATGTAAACGATGTGTTGATGGATGCAGCACACCACCATGGCACATGTATACATATGTAACAAACCTGCACATTGTGCACATGTGCCCTAAAAAAAAAAAAAAAAAAAAAAAAAAGGCTGAGCGCAGTGGCTCATGCCTGTAATTCCAGCACTTTGGGAGGCCAAGGTGGGCAGATCACAAGGTCAGGAGATCGAGACCATCCTGCGTAACACAGTGAAACCCTGTCTCTACTAAAAATACAAAAAATTAAACTGGTGTAGTGGCAGGCCTTTGTAGTCCCAGCTACTCAGGAGGCTGAGGCAGGAGAATGGCGTGAACCCAGGAGGCGGAGGTTGCAGTGAGCCGAGATTGCGCTACTGCACTCCAGCCTGGGCAACAGAGCGAGACTCCGTCTCAAAGAAAAAAAAAAAAAAAGCTAATTTCAACCATTTTGTAAATGACTCCTGCAATCTTGAATTCATGTACTGAGTGACAACACTTGAATTTAATAAACCTATATTTTATAATATGCATCCTTCATTTATTTCATAGAAATTAAATTTTGCCATGCAGATACACACGTGTTTGTAAACAGCCATCCCTATTAAATGTTTTGCTTTTCCATCTGCAGTTTTTAAAAGAAAAATGATTCTGTGTGGCTGTTTTTCTTAAGTAAATCTCTTTTCACTCTATTAGAATGTAAAATATTCCTTCTCGATCCCCACAGTCTTTAATTGTGGTCCTATCTGCATAGAATCTTATTCTTCAGGTGTATTTAAAGGAGAAATTAACTCTAAAATAACCCTTTTAAATAGCACACATTTATTGAACAAATAATTAGCTTTGATCCTAACTTTGTGTTTTAACTTCTTGTATTATAAAAGTCTGCAAAGTGTATATAGGCATAGTGTGGTGGTCAAGAGCACAGACTTTGAAGCCAGACTTTCTGAGTTAGAATCCTACTGTTTAACCTCTCTGTTTTACAATTTCTTCCTTTATAAAAAAGGAATAGTACCTATATCATGGGGTTATTATGAGGATTAGGAAATTGATATTTGCAAAGCTCTTAGAATAATATCTGGCACATGATCAGCACTATATGAGCCATTGTTAGTTAAAATAATTTCCAAACTGTGTTAAGTTGTGAATATATGAATTCAGATTTTTTTTCTTATTTATTTATTTTATTTTATTTTTTGAGACAGAGTCTCACTAAATCCCATGCTGGAGTGCAATGGCTCTTCAGAGGTGCGATCTTGGTGCACTGCAGCCTCAAACTCCTGAGCTCAAGGGATCCTCCTGCCTTAGCCTCCCAAGTAACTGGGACTACAAGCACACCACTGTGCCTGGCTTTGAGTTTAGGTTCTTAGGTATAGTAGGCTGGTCTCAAATGCCTAACAAATTGAGAGACAGACTTCTGATTGGAGTGTTTCTACCTTCCATGATGTTTTCATAATCAACACTTAACTGCCAGGCTGTAGTGATCCTATAACAAGTGTAAATGTACCAAGAGCAGAGCTGCTACTGTCACATATCTTGTGTAGCACCTGCTTGTCCCTCACTGAATTAACTTTCTTGCTTGTCTTTTTTTGTGAGGTTAGGCCTCACTCTTTCCATGCATTGTGGTGGGGCAGTAGTGTATGCTATGATGTACTTCTTTCCTAGAATATACAGACGAAAACAAGCATTAGTTTTCTTTGTGCTCCAAAAGGAGAAATAAAAAGTGCTGTTTAATGTCCAATTAGGACATGAAAGTTTTAATGTTTGAAATGGGCTCTTTAAGGTCTGCAAACTAAGGCAATCACTGTATTGTACAGATAAATCAAGTGCGACTCAGAAGTGTTTTGTCATATGTTTTTATATGTTCAGTATTCTAGCCACGATGAGACTGCACTACTCATGTCCAGTGCAGTTTCTGTTTTATAATAGAGATTTAATAATATCACAATTTATATGAGAAAAGAAATATTGCTTTATTTCTGAATAGTTACTGGGGTAGAAAATAATTTTCCTTGGACATGTAAACTTTGGAAATGGTATTTTAAGGCCCTAATAAACACATTGATGCTTGTTAATATTCACAGCCAATTGAACAAACCAAATATTTCTGCTGTTCACTTTAGCCATTCTTTAGAGAGATAGTCTTAATACTAGAAATGTACTAATAAAATTGGCCTATTGCATTCGGAAAGGTTTTAGAAGTACCCTTATATAGTGAGGTTAAGAAATACGAATCTGTCAACCTTGCAGATTAAATTAGAGCTTCTGTGCAGTTTGCTCCCCCTGGAAGATATCAAAGGAGCTATGGGTGACATATCTCCATAAGTAGGGATATTTTCTATAGTGATACAAAGCTAAGTTTGCCAGATTAAATTGAGTTTAATTCCTTAATGTCAGTTTGGAGCATATTGTTTGTATGTTGAAATGGCATGAGGAAAAGATACTATCAGAAATCAAGCTAGTAAAAATGAGGACACTGAAAGCAGCAAAGCACAAAAGCATAGTGCAAGGTACTTTGAGGTCCTCTCTGGCAGGATGCCCTCTTGTTCTGCTAAGAATTGAATACTTAAATAATCATTAGTTCTTTAAACCCATTTATATGTCAGCATACATGGTGGATGCGTTTTCACATGTGACTCATTCCCAGGGATGTACCTAGAGTTTTTACAGGCTTTGGCATAGATGAGAGGCTGTAGTCTCTGCATGGGTCCCACTGTGACACCATTTTTTTCTCCTATGGGATTGGGGTACAATACTGCCTCTCAGACCATCAAGGTTAAGACCACTATATTATAAAACGAAGCATGAAATTCATAGTAGATCCGTAAATCATCTAGGAGTGATAGCTTTTATTGATCTTGTTAGGTGGAATTTGGCTTATTGACAACTGATATGTGTGTTTCCTTATGTTTTAAGGAAAAAAGAAAACACAATTTTAGATTTCTTGTTTGGATGAAAAAATAGTATCTAAGATATGTGAACTATATCTCTTTGTGGGTCTGGATTTTTACGCATTTTTAGTTCCATAAAGCAAATCGAACTGGTCTATTTTTGGCAGTGCATATATTAGGTAAGGATAGCGTTCTGTTTATTTTTTTGCTATTTTTTTTCCCTAACTTACTGCTGTTCTGTTTTTGGTTGTGCCTCATAGCAAGTTGACCGTTTTTTCCCCTGAAATAAAGTATTTTTGTCTTATGAAAATAATGCATGCCTATGATTAGGAATTTGGATAGGAAAGAAGGTATTAAGAACATAAAATTTAAATTAATAATTATTTTTATCAGAATTACCTTGATTCATTTTGGTTTGTTTTAAAAATGGCTTGTATAGGCTTGTCTTTACTTTGACCATCCTGTTACTTAGTATCCCCGCCTTAATTTATGCAGTGTCAATACTACTAGAATACTTGAAAACTAAAAAGAGCTCTTTCATATTGCTCAATATGGTATCATTTTGTAAACATGTTTGTTGTTAAAGTTTGAAAATTCTCAGGCTTTTTTCGCTCTTCTGTGGCTTCCAGTGTTGCAAATATGTTTTGCCTTTTTAATATTTACATGATTTATTGGCAAAGGAAGAAATTCTGATCCTCCTACAAATAACTCGATAAAGACTTGAATTTCTCATGAGGGGAAGGTTACAAGACATAATAAACTTGAATCCATAAGTTGGAGAAATTAAGTTATGGGAAAGCGTCTCTCTGTCTCTTTGTGTGTTTTTTAAAAATAGTATTATCACAAAGTTTCTGTGAGGACTGGGAATAAGAGAGTGGATTTCAGAGGCCCATCCATCAAAGTTGAGGCATTTTTCCCTAGAATGTAGGAATAGAAAACAGTATATATGTTTATATGCTACTTTTTGCAAGACTAAAGCGTGCCAGTTATGATGTTAAATTAGAAACTAGACATTTCAATAAAATCAGCCTTTTCTACGTCAGAGGTTTTTTAAAAACAAAACTGTAAAAGAAATTTAAATAGGAACTTTGACCTTGGGGACTTGTACTAGTTTTGATCTAATTTTCTTCTACCCATTGACTATGTCCTCTTTGAAAACAGACTGCTTCCCTGTCCAAAGATTGAGGCCCTAAACCTGTCTTGCAAGTACGTACTCTTGGTCACAAGAGGGACCTCGTGAGAGTAGGAGTGGTTCATGTGTCTGTTACTACCAGTACCTTAGTGAATTTCTAACATTCTTTGATAGCCATATGAGTTTTGTCTATGTATGCATACACAGACACACTTTAAGGCATGTTAGGTATGGTTTAATGGTTATGGAATTTCTTTCTTTTTTAAAAAACTTATTTTTTTTATTTTCTATTTTGAGACAGAGTCTCTGTCGCCCAGGCTGGAGTGCAATGGCATGATCTCGGCTCACTGCAACCTCTGCCTCCCTGGTTCAAGGGATTCTTATGCCTCAGCCTCCCAAGTAGCTGGGACTACAGGTGCATGCCACCACACCTGGCTAATTTTTGTATTATTAGTAGAGACAGCGTTTTACCATGTTGGCCAGGCTGGTCTCGAACTCCTGACCTCAAGTGATCCGTCTGTCTTGCCCTCCCAAAGTGCTGGGATTACAGGCATGAGCCACCACACCTGGCCTGGTTATGGAATTTCTTACCAAAGACCTAAAACTAATATTAAATGAAAAGGGAGGAATTGACTATAAATTCGGGCTGTTTTATCATATGCATATTTAGAATAAAAAGAGCTAAAACTAATATTTTATTAAATGAAAAGTTAAGGGAGGAATTGACTATAAATTCGGGCTGTTTTATCTTATGCGTATTTAGAATAAAAATTAGGATTCATTTAGTAAATATATACTGAATGTATTGATCCCAGCTCTTTTGTAGACATTTGGAATACACTGCTGAAAACAGAAACTCTCTGGTTGTGGAAGATGTTGAAGGCTCTTCCCAGAGAGACAGTAGACAAATACAATTTGAGAGAATGAATGTGCTGTGAAGAAAAGAAAAAAAGCAAATAGGGTAATAGACAGGCCAGGGAGTGACAGTTGGCAGGAACAGGGAGGAATTCCTCTTTAGAGGGCATAATGGTCAATGAAGGCCACTAAGGAGGGTGGCATTTGAGTGTGTAATGATACCAGAATATGATGGGAATGGATGAGTTTTTGAATATTTGAGGGAAGAGCTCTCTAGTCAGAAGGAACTGTGAGTGTCAGAGGATCTTTTGATATGCGGAAAGGTTGAGTGAGGGAGTTAATCAGGAGTGTGTTTGTGACAATACCAATGGAGGCCATTGGTGAGCATACACATCATTGCTGCTTGCTTTTTTGATGTATCACTGTGCTTCCCTAATTTCTTACGTTCAAGCTTTCTGTCTTTTGGTATATGATTTTCTGAGTTTGAGACTTTTTACTTCTTTTGGAAAATATGCATCATATTTAATTTGCTTTATTGCTTTTATATAGTTGTATGACTCAACAGCTTTGATGATAGAACCTTAGCTGAAGGGCTGGGGAACTTTAAAAAACATAATAAAATGAAGCATTAAATTCAGGACACAGAATGTTCTGTGTGTAAAAATAGATTAAATAATAATAATATATCAATGTCCCTTGACATTTTTTCTCTGATCTCCCTCCAGCCTGTCATGGCCTTGTGCCCAGTGTTTATCTTAAGGGGCAGAAATGGCCTCTTGTCACCTTTAGGAAAAACTCCGGTTAAGGCAAAGACCTACTGTTCATTTTTCATATATAGAATCCCACATGCATAATTTTAGAAATGAAAACATTGCCTTACATATTGCACTTATGAATTTGGAAGCTATTTTCAAAGATTCTTTTATGTTTTCAGTTTCTAAAGCATTAATACAGTTCAGTTATTATAATTTTTTATTTTATTTATTTATTTTTTTGAAACGGAGTCTTGCTCTGTAGCCAGGCTGTAGTGCAGTGGCGCGATCTCGGCTCACTGCAACCTCTGCCTCTTGGGTTCAAGAGATTCTCCTGCCTCAGCCTCTCGAGTAGCTGGGACTGCAGGCGCCCGCCACCATGCCCAGCTAATTTTTGTATTTTTAGTAGAGATGGGGTTTCACCATGTTGGCCAGGATGGTCTCAAACTCCTGACCTCAGATTATCTGCCTGCCTCGGCCTCCCAAAGTGCTGGGACTACAGGCCTGAGCCACCGCGCCCGGCCCTATTTTTATAATTTAAAATTAGTACGAATGCATATGTATATAATAGTTCTTATGTTTTGACAATAAAGATACTGAATAAAGAGACACTTTCATTGTGTCCACACAGTATATTTCTCTCTTAACAGGTTCCCTAACCCTGAAGCCTGTCTTCTTTCTTGTTATACAGATTAGTTTTTAATTAAAGAAAACTAGTTGGATGCAGTTACTTTCTGTGAAATGAAGATTTATTTTGGAAGTGACCTTCACTTTATTAGCTGAAGCAGTAATCAGAAGAATTAATAGAATAATCAAATTATATACAAACTCATAAATCATCTTGAATAGTGCTGTCAAAAGTTCGGCTATTAGTGGGTCATACTGTTTTGCAGCTATGATTAAGAAAATTACAACTGCTGATTTGTACCTTGATAGGAACCAAAATTGCTTTTGTAAAGCATATGTAGAAGGGGGGCTACCAGCCAAAAATTTTGACAACTCTTAGTTTATCTGTAGTGCAATTTGATGTCACCAGGGCAAAGTTGAAATTCAGTACATGTTGGTATGCTCTCTTTCAGTAAAATCTGACTCGTTGGATATAATATACTCAATTAGAGTTATATTGATTTAAATGTCTGTTGTTTGGGGTTAATAACATCAAAGAATTAGATTATACTCCAGATATACGCAATTATCTGAATAATATACTGTAAAGATATTAAGTTGCTTTAGTGAATGTTTCTCGAGTTTGTAAACAAGTAATTGAAGTGGCAGTTTAATAATTGAAACTTAAGCAGGAAAAATATCTCATTAGACTTAGTACTTCACATTACTCAGAAACTATTTACATGGATTCCCATATTCTTTTTAACTTCAATTAAAATGGGACAAATGGGAAATTCCTTGCTGCTGAGTTTTGTATTTTTTTACAGTTGCATATACAGGAATCGTATGGGAATCGTGAAGCTAGCTGGTGATACTAACTACAAGTTTCAGCCACAGCTTTGTACAGTCAAACATTATACTCTTGTCAGAGCCTATTAAAGTAAATTTATTTTTTAAAAAAAATCCAAGACTGTACTAACTTAGAAAACAATTTTTAAATTACTGGGCAGTATAATTTATTTTGTATAGTTGAAAGTGACATTTTCTTTTTTTGTAACTAATTTTTTACAAAAGAAAACCATGCTTACAAGTGAGGAAAATTGTCTTTACTCTTGGTCAGTAGTCAGACACAGGTATTAATTTCAAATAAATGCCCATTTTTTCAAATTAGTATTCCCATAGTGTTAATTTCAGAACTCTCCAAAACTTCTGAAAAGTATGAAGATTATCTTGGTATTAAATGGCAAATAACTGTTATGTAAAACGTATGAGCATTCTATGTAAGAATAACTCAGAATAAGGCTTAAACTTTCTTTTATCACCGGCTCTCATCTCAGAGAGAGATATTTTTATTTTAAATTAAATTTTAATTATTAAAAAATCTCTATTAAAAATGGAAGTATTACAAATGAGGCCAGAGTGCCCTTAAGGCATTTATCCTCCTCAATTTCATCCTTAGCCCCCTAACCCTCTATCGGAAGGTAATAGCTCTTGCCAGTTTGTGGTGTATCTTTCCTGATCTTTTGCTGTGCATTGAAATATATATATTTTTTCTCATCAGAGGAAATATATAGTATTCTATAGTTTTTTTCTTTTTTTTTCCTTCTGAAGTTTCAAGAAACAGGCCAGAAACCACAGAGAAGTAAGGCTAACTATTACCGTGGCATGACAGTCAATTTTGTGAAAAATAGCTAAAGGGTGAAATTCTTGAACATATAACCCACAGGAGGGAAGAACATGGTTTTTGTGAGGTAATTATATCTCAACCATCTAACAGAGTTCTTTGAGAGGGGTAAATAAGGTATGAACAAGGGGGAGCCAGTGAACATTTGAATTTCCAAACAGCCTCTGAGAAGATTTTATACCAAAGACTGCTTTAAAAAATAAATGTTCTCCCACCATGGGGTTGGGAATAATGTTTAGTCATGCATAAAGATCTAGTTTAAACACAATATGGAAGGAAGGGGGTGGTTTATATGAGCTCTTACTTGCATGGGGAGATTTTTACAGTAGGCTTTGCCAAGAATCAATGTTTAGTTTTTTGTGTTTTTTTTTTAACATTTTTATAAATGATTTAAGAGTCAGCATCGTAACACACTTCCAACCCACCTTCCAGTTTATTGTTGATGCTGAGAGCTTATAGATAGTAAAATAAAATGCTAAGCTGAAGAGTATTTGCTAACGGACTATTTCACAAGGACCCTGTGAAAAAGCAGGAAAATGACATGAGTGGCCGTGTTTCTAAGAAGATGGTCTCTGTACATTTTTCAACCCATGAAAGAGATCTAGGAGTTGTTATGTAGGGCTCCCTAAAGACATTCACTTTTGATATTTTTGTTTCTACATTCAGAAAAACCAACATAATCCTGAACATAGCCATGAAGAGCATTAGAAGTAAAAGAAGTATATTCTTTCTGGATTCAAAATGGATGTCTCTTTACCTTTATGTTATTTGTACAATTTGAATTTTCAAGACTGGGCAGCAAAATGGAACAATGATTTAAATAAGGATTACTCAAAACAAAAATGAATATATATCATACAGGACATTAAACCAGAGAAAGAGCCCAAGAAAGGAGATTGAGCAAAAGAAATCTTATAGAGATTCTAAGTAGGATTGCTGTAGGCTAGTTTGCTACACCCCAAAAGTTTGAACCAAAGGCTTTCTTTTGAATTTAAAAAACCTATTTTTGAATGAATTTGCTTAGGTATCTCTGTGGCAGATAATAAAGATGGGGCAAATAGCATGGGTGTTCAGACTGAAAAATGCAATTTTATTAAGAGCTTAGTTTAAATTATGATGTGTTTAAAGAGTAGTCAGGAAACACCAGTGCTTTTCCATCAAAAGTTCCATTGAAATGATGTCCATTGACATCATTGTGATAAGCTATATTGAGGAATCATTGAGTTGGTTCGGTGGTTCTGGCCCTTGTACAAACCAGGTGGTCACTGTACTTATGAAACATAGATATGGAGGCTAGGGTTTGACCCAAACATATAAGTTGACCCTCAGTATTTTAGAAGGCTTTATGTTTTAAAGATTGAGTGATCACTTGTAGTCTATAATTTGTGCTAATTTATTCTGGACCCCTGGTACAATTACTAATACAGATCTGTTTTTGTCATCCAATACATAGTTTTACTGTGACTGTCCTATAGAAGGTTAAATTTAAGGACAGCTGGAAAAACTGAAAGATATTGAATGTATCATCTACAGTCTCATCAAGAATAGAGGAAGCTAGATAAATGGCTAAGATTTATAAAAAGGAGGCACTTTTTGGGAGCAAGTTTTCTGAAGGCTATGTGTTGTTTTTTTTGACAGCTTTTTCTAGATTAAGCATGATGATTATGCCTTCCAAGATTGACAGCAGTTCCTAAAGGGCAGTCCATCTGCCCACAACCTTTTCCTTGAGTGGGAAATCCACACCAGAAGCCCCACTAGACTCAGATACTTGTACTACATAATTTCTTGAATTAGCAGCAGTGCTGTTATTCCAGGTCCATGATGACTCCTTAAGGCACAGAAACTAACCTGTTCCTTGTGCCCTCCTATATAGAAATTAGTACCCAGAGTATTAAGTTGTAATCTTGATGAATGGCCAAGAGATAGTAGTGGTTTTTGAGGTTGGTAACAATTTGCTGTCTCTAATAATCACCCCACAGGTGGAGTAAGAGTGCTTTCTGGGTATTCCTTCACAGCAATACTTGTATAGGAAGACTACCAGGCTTGAGCAGTTGCATTTGATTGCTTCACATTTCATGGGGGAGACTGCTTTCATGAATGTGCACATTACCTTATACTTGTTCTGAGGAAGACACCTCCCTTCTGCCTCCAGTCTATTAGCAATTCTTGTCAGCTTGATGTCTTATATATGTCCCCAGCCTCTCCACTTCTTCATGTGCACTGCCATTACCTTGCTTTAGGTCACCATCTTCTCTTACTTGGTTTATGGCAGACATAACTGGCCTCCCCTCTTTCACTCTTGCCCCTTTGAGAATTCTCCACAGAGCAGCCAGACCCATTTTAAAAATAATACAAATCTGATCATGTCACTGCCTTGCTCAAAACTTGCTGGTTGTACTACTCATTGTACTTAAGAGTAAAGTTTAAGATCTTTAACCTGGCCTTGAAAGCCTTGCATGATTAGGCCCCCAACTATATGCGTCCTCGTTTCCTACTGTATTCCTCCCTATTCACTGTGATCCATCTCCCTTAGCCATCTCTCTTCTTCTTCAAATACACTGAGCTAGCTTGCACTTCAAGTTTTGAAATTTCATTTTCTTTCTGCTTGGAATGTTCTTCCACCCTTTCATGTGGTCAGTTTCTTCTGATCATTCAGGTCTCAGCTCAGATACCAGTTCCTCAAAGAGACTGTCCCTGAATACCCTGTCTAATGTTCCAACCCCCATATCACCTTCACCTTATCCTGTTTTATTATCTTCAGAACACTTACCACTATCTACTCTTATTTCTTGTTTGTTGTCTCTCTCTTGTACTAGGTAAGTTATATGACAGCAGGGACAGCATTTGTCTCGCATACTTTTGTATCCCCAGTGCCCAGAATTATACCTGGTACATAGTAGACCTAGTTCTACAAATATTTGTGCATAAAAGTATAAATGTTGTTGCTTGTTGCCATCAGCATTAACACTTCTCTTAAAACTGTCACAAGTTCCTCTGTAGAAGGTAGTTGAATTGACCAGGTCCCCAAGTTGCTTGAATTCTGTTAGAAACTACAGGGCTTGAACACCTGGAGGTGGACTCTCACACAGTCAATAAGAGCAATGTAGCCTACAAACCCCACATTGGTGGTACAATCTGTAATTATTATCTCCTTTGCTACGGAAGATGATAGCTAACAAAAGCGTTGATGTATTTAACATTTACCATGCACCAGGCAGATAGTAAGCACTTTACATGTATTAACCCATTTAATCCTTGTGGCAAGTCTATGCAATAGATATCATTATCCCCATTTTATAGTCTTGAGAACTGAAGCACTGTCACACAGCTGGTAAGTGGGAGGAATCGGGAAAGGAACCTAGGCAGTCTGACTCAAGAGTTAGAATGTCCACATTAATTTCACAATCACCCCCACGAGTTGATCTCTTTGCAATTTGCACATCATTACTAAAGTTATACACTTGACTTCTAGTGACCTAGTAATTTTGATTTTGGTGATCACTGCTTGCTAAACAAGCCCACTCAACTTCTGTCATCATGACTCATATCAGGTCACGCTTGCTGTTTTGGCAATACTGGATCATTGTGAATGAGGCTATGTTGTAGTGGAACACTCATTTGAAGGCTTTTTTGATGGCCTTGCTGAATAGAGTAAAACCTTATAGATAATGAGTTTCAAGAGCTTGTAGCAGAGGATGAGGCCTGGCTTGGGATTGTTTTGAACGTAACTGTTTCCTGAGGCTGCAGGAGTCATTGCCTATGAAAGATCATCCCCAACTTGGTTTGATTTAAGGTTTTCTTGACATTAAAATGGTATGAAAGTGATACACATTCAGTACACTCCTCAACTTATGATGGAGTTGTGTCCCATTATACCCATTGATATTTTCAGTTTACAAGGCAAGGAGCATCTGTATTTAGCTACTGCTCTTGAGGAAGCATTCTGTTTCAGGCCAATAGGAAGTCCATGCTGAGTTGGATTCCAATAGCTTGAGTCTTAGCAGGGATCTTGGGGAGAGATGATGCTATGGCATATGCCGTCCAATTTTGCCTTCCCAGGAGCCAGACCCACTACAGCAAAATACAGCATTTACTTCTGACACCCACCATACAAATATTCTCCTTCCCTCTACTTCCTGCTCAAAGAAAGATACCAAATACCAAGAAAGGAAGAAAAAAAAGGGGGGAATGTTAGCATAAGTGAAAACTCTGATAATTTACTTTATACTGTAGATCATATAACATGTTTGTGGGTTACATATTTATATTGCATATTTATATCATTTATATTACTACTACATGATTTAGTAATATAAATATGCAATATAAGTATGTAACCCACAAACATGCTATCTGATCTACAGTATATAGTAAAACTGCATTTATAGTGCATGAACATGTGTGTAAACAGCACTAAGACCATCCTGTGTAAAAACTGCATTTATAGTTCATGCATATGTGTGTAAATACCACATGCACATGTGTGTAAATGCACATGTGTGTAAATACTGCATTTATAGTTCATGCACATGTGTGTAAAGACTTTTGGGATCCCCTTCCCGTGTGTGTGTGTATATAAAAATAAATACATGCATTTAGATTTCCCTACATGTATTTTTTCAGACTGGCAGCCACCAATCAGGTCAACATTACAACATGACAGAAAACTCAATATGTTGTTTTAAATATAGTGTTATGATAAATGCATATGTATGAATATAGTTACAAGAAACAAAGTTGAACTTTTTGTAGATAGATGCAATCACTGAAGTCTTACAGTGTCTCGTGACATGTAGGCATGCCTACTTACTGTTGGAATGGAACTTCTGCTTTTCAGTTTACGGTTTTAGCTGGGGTGTCACTAAAGCACATTGATGATCAATGGTCACTCTAATTTTTCTCTTGTAACAGACCTTTTTGTTTGGTTTGTTTTTAATGGAATTTGATGAAGAGTTCAAATGTATTTTTGTAGTGACTTTTTTGGGGACAGTCCTACCTACTGTGTTTAGTAGATTTCTTTTTTAGATAAGTCCTGCAAAATTTATACTTGCTTGCCTCTAGGCTGCATACTACCCTTTGGAAGGGAGGTGTACAGAGCTGTCTTGCCAGGTGTTATGTTAGGCCTTAGGATGGCTTCTGTAAACTGCACCAAAGATGGAGCCTACCTGACATCTCAGAGATGTTTGCCATCTTTGGTTGCTTAATTGTCCTTCACTAAGACGTGTTAACCTTTGGGTTGTTAGGCTGCCATTTAATGCACTGGAAGAAAACGTGTCATGTGGAAACTTATTACCTCCCCCAAAATCATGGTAAAGTATTTACCTTCTACTCACAGCTTTTTCTTTATTTAAAAATTTCTAGCTTACCAGTATACTTTATACATCACATTTTAAAATATGGATTACAAGATAGTCATAATTTGCTAGGTACTCTGAAGACCACTATTCCCATGGTTATACTTTGAGTTTTTGCACTATCTAAAATGAAGTCACACATAATCCATTTAACATGTACAGACAGAATAAACATGTACTTTCTTGAGAGAAAATAATGTGTAGAAGTTGAGGGATTATTTTACTCTTTGTAATAATTTTTGCAATTCAACAGGAATTAGAACAAGTCTTAGAGTAACTTTGATCATCTGATTCTGTTGCTTTCCTTCATAATCCCAAGAAAGATAATACTGACAATGGGGCAGGTTGGTATGATGGTTAACAGAGAAACCTCTGAGACCAAATCACTTGGATTTTTACCCCAGCAATACCATTTCCTAAATGACCTCAAGCAAGTCACTTGACCTCTTCCTCAGTTTCCAAATCTGTGAAACCCTGGCTTATAGGATTATTGTAGGATACAATGTGTTAATACATGTAAAACATCTGTTGTGTAGTAAGCACTCAATGCTAGTTGTGATTATTATTTGTATGGTTGTTGTTGTTGGCTGTGTGCCCCAAAGAACAGTATGTAGCCAATAGTTATTTCCCCACATGTAATTCCCTACTTCTCATGTAAATGCCTCCTATTTGGGTTTTGAATACAGCTCTCAAGAACTCCCTACTACTGTGCTTCTTACCCACTTACAAAAGATTTCCACTATTGGGCCGGGCACGGTGGCTCACGCCTGTAATCCCAGCACTTTGGGAAGCTGAGGCGGGCGGATCACAAGGACAGGAGATCGAGACCATCCTGGCTAACACGGTGAAACCCCGTCTCTACTAAAAAATAGAAAAAATTAGCTGGGTGTGGTGGTGGGCGCCTGTAGTCCCAGCTACTCGGGAGGCTGAAGCAGGAGAATGGCGTGAACCAGGGAGGCAGAGCTTGCAGTGAGCCGAGATCGCGCCACTGCACTCCAGCCTGGGCGACAGAGCGAGACTCCATCTCAAAAAAAAAAATAAAAATAAAAATAACAAAAACAAAAAAGATTTCCACTATTGCTCGTTGACACCAAGTAATCCTTACACCCCCAACCAAAACTTATTTTTTTTAAAGACTATCGGAATGACTGATAAGAATAGCATACAGAGGAGTCTTTATATCAATACTCATTTTGTGTGGCACTTCTTACAAATCACTTTTTTTTTTCACTTGGGCATAAGATACATGAAGAAAATACAGAGGTGACAGAGAACAAATGCTGCCATTATGAGCTACACATAGCTTCCCTTTCTAACAAAGACTGGTATGGGGGAAAAACAAATGAGAAGCAATATGAAAAATGTATGTGCACATGTAACCATATACCTTTCCAAGAGCACAAAATACTTCTTATGTTCTCATTTAAAATTAAGAGGATATTTAAATGAATTATCACAATTCTGTCTCATTATTAAACTTCTTCTATAATATTTCCCATCATTCACACTAGTTCTTAACATTCTTTACATTCTTGTGTTTTTTTTCCATATAGTATATATCCACTGTTAATAAATCATATTGTTGAAAATCAGGTAATTTTTTGATGATTTACTATAAGTAGTTATAGATGTCCCTGTATCTCGGCATCTATAACTGTATTTAAATGTATTTGAGGCCCCATTTAGCCTAAAAATACTTCATAAAATTAATTTTCAAGGAAAAGGATACTTAATATTATAAAGTAATAGTATATTTCATAAACATTATACTATTTCATAAAAGGAGGTCTTTATAGAAAATTACATTTAATTTTGGTTAAGTGGATTATTTAGGCTTTTGATAATGTAATAGCCTGTGGCATATTGTTTTATATATTTTTAACCTGTATATAGTTTTAACCTTATACAGCTTCCAGTGGGTTCTGAATTTATTCCTTTGTATTTCTTGTAATGTGGAAAGACATTTAAAAGTTATTTTTCTCCAGTGGAGAATTGATTCAATAATATGAAGTTTTATCTAATGCTCTTTTTCTGTGTGTATATGCTTTATGGTTGAACATGTGGTCGATTTTAGAGTATTTGCTATGTGCAGATAAGAATATTGTATATTCTGTCGTTGTTGGGTAGGGTGTTCTGAATTCAGGTCCTCAATATCTTGGTTATTTTTCTGCCTCAGTAATCTAACACCATCAGTGGGGTGTTGAAGTCTCCCACTATTATTGTGTGGTTATCTAAGTCTCTTTGTAGGTCACTAAGAACTTGTTTTATGAATCTGGGTGCTCCTGTGTTGGGTGCATTTAGGATAGTTAAGTCTTTTTATTGAATTGAAACCTTTATCATTATGTAATGCCCTTCTTTGTCTTTTTTGATGATTTTTGGCTTAAAGTCTGTTTTGTCTGAAATAAGAATAGCATTTCCATTTGCTTGATGAATCTTTTTCCAACTGTTTACTTTGAGCCTATGGGTGTCACAGCATGTTAGATGAGCCTCTTGAAGACAGCATACTGTTGGGTCTTGCTTCTTTATCCAACTTGCCACTTTGTGCCTTTTAAGTGGGACGTTTATCTTGTTTACTTTCAAGGTCAGTATTGATATGTGAAGATTTGATCCTGTCATCATATTGTTAGCTGGTTGTTTTGTAGACTTGGTTGTGTGGTTGCTTTATAGTGGCAGTGGTCTATGTACTTCAGCATGTTTTTTCTGCTGGCAAGTATCTTTCTTTTCCATATTTAGGTCCTTTGAGGATCTCTTTTAAGGTAGGTGTGGTGGTAACGAATTCCCTTAGCATTTGCTTGTCTAAAAGTATTTTATTTCTCCTTTGCTTATGACACTTAGGCTAGATATGAAATTTTGTGTTGGGATTTCTTTTTTTAAGAATGCTGTATATAGGCCCCTAATCTCTTCTGGCTTGTAATGTTTCTGCTGAAAGGTCTGTTGTTAGCCTGATGGGGTTCCCTTTGTACCTGATCTCCCCCTTCTCTCTAGCAGCTCTCAAGACTTTTTCTTTCGAGTTGACCTTGGAGAATCTGATGACTGTGTTTTGGGGATTGTCATCTTGCATACTATCTCACAGGGGTTCTTGGAATTTCCTGAATTTGTGTGTTGACCTCCCTAGCAAGGTTGGGGAAATTTTTATGGATGATATCCTCAAATATGTTTTCCAAGTTGCTTGCTCTATCTCCATCTCTTTCAGGAATGCGGATGTGTTATAGGTTTGGTCTCTTTATGTAGTCCCATATTTCTCAGAGGTTTTGTTCAGTTTTTCAGTTCTTTTAAAAAATTTTGTCTGTGTTGATTCGAAGCATCACTCCTCAAATTCTGAGGTTTTTTTTTTTTCCCTCAGATTGGTTTATTTTGTTATTTATGCTTCCAATTGCATTATGAAATTCCTGTAGTGATTTTTTTTTATTTCCAGAAGTTCTGTTTGGTTCTTTCTTAAAATGGCTAAGTCATCTTTCAACTCTTGGATCATTTTACTGCTTTACTTGGATGCGTTTCAACCTTCTCCTCTATCTCATTGAGCTTTCTTCCCATCCAGGTTCTGAAATATATGTCTGTCATTTCAGCCATTTCAATCTGGTTAAGAACCACTGCTATAGAGCTAGCGTGGTTGTGTGGAGGTAAGAAGACACTCTGCCTTTTAGGGTCGCCAGAATTGTATTTTGTTTGTTTTTTTCTTTTTTAAAAAACTTTGATTTTAAGTTCAGGGCTACATTTGCAGGTTTGTTACATAGCTAAACTTGTGTCATGGTGATTTGTTGCATAGATTATTTCATCACCCAGGTATTAAGCCTAGTACCCTATAGTTATTTTTCCTGATCCTCTCCCTCCTCCCAGCCTCCCTTGACCCATAGGCCCCAGTGTATGTTGTTCCCCTCTATATGACCACATATTCTCATCATTTAGCTCCCACTTATAAGTGACAACAAGTAGTATTTGGTTTTCTGTTCCTGTGTTAGTTTGCTAACGATAATGGCCCCCAGCTCCATCCATGTCCCTGCAAAGGACATGAGCTCATCTTTCTTTA
Organism: Homo sapiens; assembly: GCF_000001405.40. Lineage (NCBI taxonomy): Eukaryota > Metazoa > Chordata > Mammalia > Primates > Hominidae > Homo > Homo sapiens. The sequence goes on along the minus strand of NC_000023.11, from coordinate 85,917,113 downwards.
TGGCTGCATAGTATTCCACAGTGTATATGTACCACATTTTCTTTATCCATTCTGTCATTGATGGACATTTAGGTTGATTCTGTGTCTTTGCCGTTGTGAAGAGTGCTGCAATAAACATTCATGTGTATGTTGTCTTTACAATAGAATGATTTATATTCCTTTGGGTATATACCCAGTGATGGGATTGCTGAGTTGAATGGTATTTCTGTCTTTAGGTCCTTGAGGAATCTCCACAGTCATCCATAATGGTTGAACTAATTTGCACTCCCACCAACAGTGTATAAGCATTCCTTTTTCACCACAACCTTACCAGCATCTGTTATTTTTTGATGTTTTAGTAATAGCCATTCTGACTGGTGCTAGATGGTATCTCATTGTGGTTTTGATTTACATTTCTTTAATGATAACTGATGCTGAACTTTTTTCCATATGCTTGTTGGCTGCATGTATGTCTTCTTTTGAAAAGTGTGTGTTCATATTCTTTGCCCACTTTTTTAATGGGGTGATTTTTTTCTTTTAAATTACTTTAAGTTCCTTATAGATGCTGGATATTAGACCTTAGATAGATAGATTGTAAAAATTCTCTCCCATTCTGTAGGTTGGCTACTCTGTTGATAGTTTCTTTTGCTGTGCAGAAGCTCTTTAGTTTAATTGGATCCCATTGTTCAATGTTTGCTTTTGTTGAAATTGCTTTTGGCATCTTCGTCATGAAATCTTTGCCCATGCCTATGTCCAGAATGGTATTTCCTAGATTGTCTTCCAGGGTTTTTATAGTTTGGGGTTTTACATTTAAGTTGTTAATCTATCTTGAGTTAATTTAGATATATATATGGTGTAAGGAAGGGGTCCAGTTTTGATCTTCTGCATGTGGCTAAGCCAGTTATCCTAGCACCATTTATTGAATAGGGAATCCTTTCCCCATTGCTTGTTTTTGTCAGGTTTGTCAAAGGTCAGATAGTTGTAGGTGTGTGGTCTTTTTTCTGGGTTCTGTATTCTGTTCCATTGGTCTATGTGTCTGTTTTTGTACCAGTACCATACTGCTTTGGTTACTGTAACCCTGTAGTATAGTTTGAGGTCAGGTAGCCTGATGCCTCCAGCCTAGTTCTTTTTGCATAGGATTGCCTTGGCTATTCAGGCTGTTTTACGGTTCCATATAAATTTTAAAATAGTTTTTTTTGTAGTCCTTTGAAGAATGTCAGTGGTAGTTTAATGGAAATAGCATTGAATCTATAAATTGCTTTGAGCAGTATGGCCATTTTAACAATGTTGATTTTTCATATCCATGAGCATGAATGTTTTTCCATTTGTTTGTGTCATCTCTGATTTCTTTCAGCAGTGGTTTGTAGTTCTCCTTGGAGAGATCTTTCACCTCCTTAGTTAGCTGTATTCCTAGGTAGTTTATTCATTTTGTGGCAATTGTGTATGGTGGTCTTTCCTGATTTTCCTCTCAGCTTGACAGTTGTTGGTGTATAGGAATGCTAGTGATTTTTGTACATTGATTTTGTATTCTGAGACTTTGCTTAAGTTGTTTATTAGCTTAAGAAACTTTTGGCTGAGACTATGGGGTTTCTAGATATAGGATCATGTCATCTGCAGACAAGATAGTTTGACTTCCTCTGTTTCTATTTTGATGCACTTTATTTCTTTCTCTTGCCTGACTGCCCTGGCCAGAATTTCCAATACTGTGTTGAATAGGAGTGGTGAGAGGGCATCCTTGTCTTGTGCCAGTATTCAAGGGGAATGCTTCCAGCTTTTGCCCATTCAGCATGATATTGACTGTGGGTGTGTCATAGATGGCTCTTATTATTTTGAGCCATGTTCCTTCAATACCTAACTTATTGAGCATTTTAAACATGAATGGATTTTGAATTTTATTGAAAGTCTTTGATACATCTATTGAAATAATCAAGGATATTGGCCCGAGGTTTTCTTCTTCTGTTATATCTCTGCCAGGTTTTGGTATCTGGATGATGCCAGGGTTTCCAGAATTCTTACGGTGGTTCTTTCTCGTCTGTGTGAGCTGGTGTTTAACCTCTGAAGTTGCCGGGTTTTTTTTTATATGGGTTTTTTGCTTTTATATTTTTTTATTTTTTTGAAGGTTTGTTTGTGGTATAAGTTGGGTTTATTTCATTGGCTTCCTTTCTGGGTACTTTCAGGTGGCCAAGGCTCAGCTCACCTGTCCTGGGCTGCATGCTCTAACCCTAGGTGGCTGGGACCAGGCCTGCTACTTTGTTCTGGTTTATTGAGGTCAAGCACCTGCTGTGCTGGAGAAGGTGAGGTGTTCCCATTCCAATGGCAACAATTCTTCAACAGGGGCTGCCAGCAAAAGTGCTGCAATTGGGCGTGGGAGGCACAGAATGGGTGCTGTGGCAGCTGGGGCACAGGCAAGTGTATACTAGCAGGGCAGTGTTGGGCTCCATGGGTGACTGCAGCAATGGTATCGCTGAGGGAAGGGCTCCCAGTGTGTCAGTGGGACTGTGGTTGGTTTGTGTGTGCATGGGCGCTGATGTGGTGGTGGTAGATTCTTATGCATGTGGGCCCTGGCAGCGTGGCTTGGGGAGGCTGTAGTTGAGTGCGCACCGTTGAGGGGAGGCTGCAAGTGGATGCTCACTGGGGGAGGTTTGTCTTCAAAAATACTCTGATGGGAAGGTGGAGACTGTCAGTCAATGATCTATGACAGTGAACTCTGGCAAGGATTTTGTCAGGGCAGCTGAGGCTGTGCTGCAAGCAGGTGTGGCCAGAGGAGATATCAGCACATGGGGGTTTGTTTAGATCACACCGGCCCAATCCTGCAGGTAAGATAGACTTGCAATCTCCAGGTCCAGTTGCTCACAAAGGGTAAAACCACCTAGAGGAGCATGGTGAGCCTTGGGGGATGGGCTCCCTTGGTTGTGCTCCACTGCAACTCTTCCCGTGCCAAACCTTCTGGGCTCCAAGTATACTGGATTTCTGTCTCTACCAACTCTCCGAGCAATTCTCCTTGCCATCTCAAATGTCCATGGGGCTCATAGGGGCTCCTGCATCTAGCATTCCAGAGGTCCATGACAAAGGTGAACCATTCTATGCCTATTTCACTCACCCCTTCTTTAGGAGCCGCTAGTGGCCAGGAACAAGTTTTGGTGTTTGGCAACCCCATGGAGTCTTCTCGGCCTCCTCCCTTTTCAGCCCTGGGGCCTGCATTCTTTCTCCGTATATCCACTCTCAGTGCCTTCTTCCTGAAGATCTGTTCGCAGTATGCTTGTCTACTTGATTGTCTGGTCTCGCTTGGTGGGAGAAGCTTTTATTGGCTGTGTCTAGTGTGCCATCTTGGCTCTTCTCCTTCCAAATCATTTTTTCAAGGTTCCATTCTTTCCCCACTGTTTTGTAATGCCACTTCTGTCATCATTTCCATACATTCATGGATCTTTTTATTACTTTCCTATTGGTGCCATAACAAACTTAGTAGCTTATAACAACACAAATTTATTATCTTACCATCCTGGAGGTCAGAAGTTTAAAACTGGTTGGCAGGGCTGCATTTCTTCTCGGGCCACTAGGGGAGAATCTGTTCCTTGTCTTTTCTAGCATATAGAAGCTGCCTGCATTCCTTGGCATGTGCCCCACTTCCAACAGTGGGATCATTCTGACGTCTACTCCTGTCTTCACATCATCTTCTTTGACTTTGGCCTTCCTGCCTCCTGTCCTCCAGTCTCCTCTCCCGTCTCCTTTCTCCTTTCCTTTTCCTTTTTTCTTTCTTTCTTTCTTTCTTTCTTTCTTTCTTTCTTTCTTTCTTTCTTTCTTTTTTTTTTTTTTTTTTTTTTGACAGAGTCTTGCTCTGTTGCCCAGGCTGGAGTGCACTGGCACAATCTCAGCTCACTGCAACCTCCGCCTTCCAGGTTCAAGTGATTCTCCTGCCTCAGCCTCCCAAGTAGCTGGGATTACAGGTGTGCACCACCATGCTCAGCTAATTTTTGTATTTTTAGTAGAGACAAGGTTTCACCGGGCTGGTCTCGAACTCCTGACATCTGGTGATCTGCCTGCCTTGGCCTCCCAAAGTGCTAGGATTACAGGCGTGGGCCCTGCCTCTTTCTTTCCTTTTTTTTTTTTTTTTTTTTTTTTTCTGAGATGGAGTCTCACTCTGTCACCCAGGCTGGAGTGCAGTGGCACGATCTTGGCTCACTGCAATCTCTGCTTCCCAGATTCAAGCAATTCTCCTGCCTCAGCCTCCCGTGTAGCTGGGATGACAGGCATGCACCGCCGTACCTGGCTAATTTTGTATTTTTAGTAGAGACGGGGTTTCACCATGTTAGCCAGGCTGGTCTTAGAACTCCTGACCTCAGGTGATCCGCCTGCCTCGGCCTCCCAAAGTGCTGGGATTACAGGTGTGAGCCTCTGCTCCCTGGCCACTTCTTTCTTTTAAAGACACTTGTGATTATGTTGCACCCACCAGAATAATCTCCCAGTCTCAAGATCAGTGCATTAATCACCACTGTAAAGTCCTTCTTGCCAGATATGGTAATATATTCACAGGAGCCAGAGATTAAAATGTGAGCATCTTAATGGGAGAGTGCATTTTTCAGCCTACCATAGTCGTCTTTCTGGACATTCCATTATTATTTTCCTGTGTTTTTGATTCATTCACCCTAAGCATACCCATTTTATAATCTCAATCAGATAGTTATACCATCCGAATATCATTTTGGGGAGTTTAATCCTATTTCTTTTGTCTGCTCACTCAAAGTAAGATGTGTTTCCTCATGTGTTGTATAATTTTAGATTATAAACTCATCATCTAGGGACTCTATCTGTGGCAATCTCATGTGGCCTTGGTTAGTCTTATTCCACCAGAAAGCTTTAGCCATTGCTTCCCCTAAGTGTCCAGGAGTCTACTCACTGACCCAGAACCACTTCTCATGATATTTTATATTTTATTGGCTAAGAGTTTCTTGTATCATATAGTGGTATAATTTCAAACCCCTAACATGTATGAGGGCAGACTACTGATAATATTAATAAATACACAGTGTAATCTTCCTCCATTCAGGGATCCACCCAAAGAAAAATGGGTTTTTTTGCTTGTTTTCTCCCTCTTTTTGTACGTGGATTTCTTTTCTTGGTTACCCTTTAACTGAGGCATAGCTCTTTAATAATCCAGATATTATAAGAAAATATCTCCTTTCCTACTTACTGCCTTGTTTGGATCTTAAGGCCTCTCCTCTCCTTATGTGTGCATTAAAACTTATGCACTTAGATTACTACTGAGATAGACACACTCCCTAGGGCTTCTGCTGCATTTACTCATGTTTACTGCTCTAGCTTTCAGTTCCCAGTTTAGTTTTGGCTACTGGAGATTTTGTTTACATTTATTGTAAGTAAAATATCTAGGAGTTTTCCAGAGTCTTCCCTGCTTAATTCCTCTTTAACACTTCTCAATGGTGATTTCTCTTGGGTTTGTCATACATGCATTACCTCTTGAAGCTGTTTGTGTTCTTTGTACCTTAGGTAGGCAGGAGCTGATTTTCGGGGGATAATTGGCTCTTGCTTAGGGACACTTCTGGTTTGCTCACAGTTCTAAGTGTCAGCATTGTATTATTATCAGTAACACCTCTACTGTGTCAAGATATTACTAATCTTGCCTCTGAGAGATTTTTAATACTATGATAGAGAAAATAGTACATTATCAAAATGTTTTTTCTGTAATACCAGTTATGAAGTGTAAAATACTTAAAAGAAAATACTTTTACCTTTATTTTCAACCCAATTACCCTAATTCTTATTTTTCTGTTCTCTTTCTAGGATGTGTGCTGTGTTTGGTGGAATTTATTGTCTTCGCCATTCAGTACAGTGCCTTGTAGTGGACAAAGAATCCAGAAAGTAAGGATGATATAAGTAACCTTCATATATATATATATATATATTCATATATATATATTCATATATATATATTCATATATATATTCATATATATATACATATATATATATATATATATATATATATATATACATATACACACACACATATCCCAAACACAAGTGAAAAATGCTGAAGTCAGTTTTAAGAAAAAGATTCTTCAAAGATCCTCCTTGGTATTAATAACATATCAACCTTGATTAAAAGTAATTTGTGTTTAGGTCCTCCAGAACAAGAATAGTGAGTTCAGAATATAGAAACTAAATTAATTTCCCTGCAATATGCCTATAGCTCCTGGTCATCCAAGCTTGGAAGACAAATCATTTCAGCTGCCAGGGGGTGGGTGATGAGTGATGTTAGTTTTCCTTGTGGCCTTACCTCCTCTAATTGATTTTCATCAGATGACAACAAAGCCCTCTGTTATTGCATTTTTAAAAATGGAATTCACCTAAAGACTCATCAGATTAATCTCTGCTGATAATGCATGTCACTCCAAGAGAAAAGACTTTAATGAGTTTTTAGGTAGATTGTTGTCATAAACCATGCTGCCCTCTTATCTAAGGATAAATTTTTTACAATAGTATCAGGCCTATAGGCTGCTTTAGGATTGAAATAAGAATTTACCTTTTCTTTAAAAGAGCTGAACACCATCTGTTTACTGTGTATTTTATATTTCAGTTATAATCACTGGTCTGAATTAGACTGGATAAAATATTCTTTGATTTCTGCCTTCTACACTGAAACTTAAATATTTTAGATCCAGTTTTAGAAACTATCTAAATTGCAATGTGTTTTTCTTTTTTTTACATGTTCTCAACAATCTACTGACCTGTATTTCTTAGATGATTGTTTTTAGGAGTATATAGTTAAATAGTATTTTTGAGGTTATAAAACATTTTAATATTTGAACTGGAAGCTTAAATAATATAAATTTTAAGCTGTTTCTTTCATTTTACAAAAGTTTTGTATCGTTTAAGTGGCATACAATGTCTATTAACTTCTTATAGACTAGTTGTAGTGAAAAAACTAGTATTTTGAATTATGGTGAAGAAAATCCTCAACTCTGGAAATATGTAATGCTTAGATAGTAAATTTGCTTTAGAAGAGTAATTCTGTAGTATAAGATAACATTGATACGTATTTTAAACGGCTTGTAAAGTACCTTTAGCACTTTTATAGAAGGATAGTACAAAATGAAACATGATAGTTTGCAGAGAAAAATTAATCCCTAAAGGCCCAGGATGTTAACATCTTGATTCATGAAGAACTCTGTTGAAGTTAAGGAATAGTTGTCTTTAGACTTCTAGAATCATTTTTCTTTGTGCATTCATTTTGCTACAAGAGTATGTTCCCATGACAGAAAGCCAGATAATGAATTGCTTATTTGGTGTTTATTTGCTTAGATTCTTTTACCCTTGGGGTCCCATTTCAGTCCCATGTGACATGAATAATTTGCATAGCTCATGTTTGTTTGTTTGTTTGTTTTTTAAAGGTATGCTAGTATAGTAATTGCCTTTGTTGAACTAAAGGCTACCTTTTCCTTACCTTTGACTTAGTTTTTATGACATGCTCTAAACAGAGGAGCTCTTTTTTATGATCTGGTACAGATTCCAGTTGCAACAGATAGCTGAAAGCTAATGGTCTAGAGACCAAATGAATCTCTAGATTGGTGGTTTTCAAACTTTAATGTGCCCAAAAATTACCAGGTAATCTTGGCAAAAATGCAGATTTCTGTTCTTCACCCTCAGAAAGTGAAATTGGTTAATATGCTTAGGGGGAATGCAGTAATTTGCAGTTTTAAAGAAAACCCCAAGTGAATCTAGTATAGGAAGTCCTTAGATTAGATAACACTGATCTGTAAGGTAAAATTGAGGGTTTAGTAAAGGGTACTGTGTTCCATCACAAACTGGGGGCTCTAGGTCTTAATTCAGTCTAAGGCCGTATCAATATGAAACTGCCAGATATACCAACAATCAAATGTGAATTTTAAATAGCAGACAGACTGCTTCTAAGAATATCTTCATAGAAAGACATGTCTTGTTTTGTAACTTCTAAGGCATGAGTAAAGGTTGTGTAGCCCTTGAATGAGAGGAGACTTGGATTTCCACTAGTGCCATGAATGACAGTGGGCAAATCCTTTCCTCTGGACCGGATCCTTTATCTGTAAGATGAATGACATGGACTCTGCAGTAATCTCTGGATATCTTTCTAGATTTGACATGCCTTGGTTGAGTTCTTAGATAGTTCTTTGGTAATGTTCTTAGAAAGTACTTGGCTTTTCCTTATTTAGAAATAAATTATCTTAAAGTATTTTATATGCTCAAATGTAAGCCATTCTCACATAATGCATCATCTTCAGTCCCAGTGAGAAATTTAAAGAAGTTGAACAACTTGGATGTGCCTGCTTTTATGAATATAAATTAAATAGCACACAGTCTTCTTGTGCTATTAATTATATTGTTATATTACTAGAACCCCAGTTTTCCAGTGAACATCATCTTCTTGTCCATCTTGTTTTTTCAGAATGCAATGATTTTGGATTCTGTATATGAATCTCTTCCTGGAAAATTTATTCTAAGCTATAATTATTTATTTCTGTAACTTGCCAGTTTTTAAAACTTGACCTGTAATCATAGTACTACTGTCATCTACAATATTCTCACTATACTAAATTGCTTAAGTGATCTTTAAAAGTTTTAAGACTCAAGCAATACTTGAAAAGTATAAGTTCATATTTATACCTTCAGTAATAATTACCATATTTATATTAAATTTTTCCTCTTTAAACTAGCAAGTCAAATAGTCTCTATAAATAAAAGCTAGCATTGACTGAAGTTGGCTCAGGTCAGCGTATCTTTACCAAACACAGCTTTGCCATTCAAAATCAAACATACAAGAGAGATAACCAGTAATAGGAGATATTTTGTTAGGACTTGAACATAAAGTGAGGGATAGTTTTTTGAGGGAAAAACCTTGACATTGTATTAGGCAAATCCAACATACATTTCTTTTTAAGGATTCAAGGCTGGCTTAAACAATTGTTATGTTCTAAGTATAATTAGGGTACTCACTAAGGAATCTGCAAAGATTTGCATTTGTCTCCTTATGGTTTCAGTTTGCCTTTCTTTTCCTAGTTTTCTATATGGAACACTTGACATCCTCTCTCCTCTTTAGGACAGTTAAGAACTACTTATACTTTGAGTCAAAGTTCTGAGTTTATTCTGTGATCCCACAGACTACATCAGAACCCTCTGTCAGTCTCCACTCCCCACTGTCACATCCCCTCGTATGATCATTTTATAAGTTCTCTATAAGAAAAGGCAGGATCTCACTGTTGTATCTCCAGAACCAAGGCAGGTTCCTAGTAGCCATTATACTGAATAACTTTGAGTTAAATAAATGATTAAAGATTAAAGACTGGCTATAACCCTTTTTGTGCTTTTCTTTGCACTCTCCATTTAGGAAAACTGAGAGAGGCATAAGGGATCATAGCATTGAGTTTAATGTGGTGATTATACATCAAAACACTGTACAAACTTTGACCGAAGAAATAGGGCATTGAGGAGGCACACTAAATCATGGTATATGGAATATGTAACCAAATGCATACCTATTTTCAGCCAGGTTTTATTTTTCATTTTTGTTTGATTGGTTCTGCTTTCTTATTTGAGAGGATGTAGGTATGCATCAGTGGTTCTTTTCTAAACCTTTTCACTAAATTCTAATACTGCATGCTTCCGTTGACTGTTTTTAGAAAAACTGAATGTTCTAGTTGAACAGTTTTCTTTTCCTTTGCAGCTATGCTGACCAGGTAAAACTCCGGTAAATTAGATCTGGCCATTTAGTAGTATAGTATTTGATATATTGGTAGGGTAGAGATGACCTTGGACTAGGACCAGATACATCTATAACCAATAGTTGTAATTAATTACTTCAGCTGCTGTTTCCTGTGTACTTCACCTGTCTCACTTACCAGCTTTCCTACTATGACTCTTTCTTGATGTCAGGAATATATTTTTCTGATGTCAGGAATATATATTTTCTGATGTCAGATATATTTTTCTGACTTTTCTTTTCTTTTTTTCTATTTTTGAGACAGAGTCTCGCTTTGTTGCCCAGGCTGCAGTGCAGTGGTGCAATCTCAGCTCACTGCAACCTCTGCCTCCCAGGTTCAAGCGATTCTCCTGCCTCAGCCCCCCTAGTAGCTGGGATTACAGGCCCGTGACCACGCTTGGCTAATTTTTGTATTTTTAGTAGAGACGGGTTTTGCCATGTTGTCAGGGCAGTCTCGAACTCCTGACCTCAGGTGATCAGCCGGCCTCAGCCTCCCAGAGTGCTGGTATTACAGGCGTGAGCCACCACGTCCGGCTGTCTATGCCTTTTCTAGATACTTGGAAGTTAGTAATGAATAGAATGTGAGACCAAGTTTGAGGTGACTGACTGTTAATACCATTTGTCATTGCTGAAGCACTGATTTTAGCATGGCCTGCTTGCAAAATGGTAGTGGTCATATTCTGGATACTTAACGTCTGCCAACCCCCGTGCTAGTTGTTATGGGGATAAAGAAGTGAATGAAACATGGACCTTGCCCTTGTATACAAGGAGACTTCAGTAAAGAGTACAGCTCTAAAGTTAGATAGATTGGATTTGGATCCTGACTTTGTCACTAGCTGTGTGTACTTGAGCAATTGTTTAACTCTCTGTGACCCAGTTTCTTTATCTAGAAACTTGGACAATTGACTACACCTACTTCATAGGGTTATTATAAGTATTAACTAAATAGACAAAACTTGTAGAACCATTTGTTACACATTGTAAGTGCTAGCTATGTTAGCTAACAATAACTATTAATATAATTGGAGACCTTGGAATCCAGTGGTGGGGGAGACCTATTGTGAAGATTCTTCTGTGCTATGCTAATAAGGAATTTGGACTATAATCAGAGGTAACAAGATTAAATTTGCTACTTTAAGTTAGTAATTCTGGCAATGATTTGGAAGAAGCACTGTGATGGAAAGTGATTCTTTTCCTCCTAAATCAGAGATTCTGTATCGTTTTTTTCCTGTCTCTACACTATTCACAAAGTACGGAATACTTCATTAACCATCCATCCATTCACCCATCCATGCAACAAGTATTATTTGTTTTCTTTTTGCCAGGCACTGGGGATACAGCAGAGAATAAGACAATCAGGGTCTTTGTTCTAAGGAACTTACAGTCTACTGGGGGACATTACAGAACAACTAAATTTATAAGATAATTGCACATTGAGATCTGTTCGGTATGCAGATCTGGCCCCCTCCTTATTTAAAAAGCTTCAGTGCCTTTATATAATCTCAGAATAAAGTGTAAGACCTTTTTACATGACATATGACGGGTGAGACTCTGTAATCTGGCCTCTGTCTCCCTGTCTAGGCTCATCTCTCTTCCCTACTTGCTTTTCATTTTATTGTCACATAATACTGATCTGTTCATGGGTCTCTGTACCTGCTGTTCTCTTACTTGCCTTTGTAACCCCGCAAATTCTGCCCTTCTACCTGAGATAACTGTATCCTTATTTGCTTGCTTAACTGTATGTTATCCTTTAAAAGCAACAAATGTGTCACTTCCTCCAAAGAGCATTCCCTGATACTCCACCCCTCCACCATAAGATGAGTTAGGTACCTCTTCTAGTACTGTGTAATTCCCTATCCTTATCTTTTATCACTGGACTTTGCTATTGTCTTAAAATTGTCTCTGCCTGAATCTTCAAAAATTGTCTCTGTCTGAATCTTGTCCTTTAGGGCAAAACATTTTTATTCTTACCTCTTAGAACAGTGCTTGGCACATGGTTGTTATGCTATACATTTATGTTGAACAAATGAACTACCAATTTGCTAGCAGGTCATTATCATATTAGACATTGTAAGAGTCTAAGGCAGTATCAGTGGAGACGGAGAGAAGAGGCTAGTTTCAGGAAGTATTTATAAAGCGGAATCAAAATGTTATAGCAGACTAGATATAAAAAGAGATTTGAGGTAGGAAAACTGCTGATTATGCCATTGCCTGACATAGGGATTCCAAGGGAGTGGGAGCAGGTGAGGAGCCATGATAAACTCAGTTTGCAGCATGCTAGTTTTAAAAAATGCTTGGCTAATAATACTATATTATTTCCTTGAGATTTGGTAAGAGCAGGTATTAAGTTCCTCATGACACCCACAGATGGTAATGATGGGTGGCAATAGATGTGTTAATTCATTTGTGGTAATCATTACACAGTGTATATCAAGTCATTACATTATACACATTGACTATATACAATTTTTGTTTTTCAATTAAGTATTTATTAAAAGGGAGCTTGGAGTCTATCCAGAAAGTAGTAGATAATAGACAATTACAAATATGGATACAGAACTTAACAGAAGTCAGAGCCTAAAACTATAGATTTGAAGTTATTTGCCTGCTAATGGTGTTTAGAACTAGTAGAGTGTTTTTCACCCAAGAAAAATGAGTGGGAAGCATTTGAAATGGTTTTATGGATGAGGTAGCATTTGAACTAATGTGTTTGAGAAAGCTCAGAAGGGCATAGTGACTAGGGAAAATTATTTTGTTTTCTTCAGTGATTGAGAATCTTCTAATTTCCTTAGTACATTTTCCTTTAAATTATTCCATATGTGATTTCTGCTTTCTTTATCATAAAATTAGTTGGTATATTCATTCTGAAGATCACAGAGATTGAATACTTGTTTTAGTGTTATTTTTCCTCTTCTGGGCCAAATTCCAGATTTTGAGTTTTCATCTTACTATTTTCTTCCTCATCATCATTTTGCTATCTACACACTTATATCGTTGAACCAATAACTGAATAACTTGTGATTTGTTGATTTAGAAAGCTTAGCTCTAGAAATGTTCTGTCTGGCTTGAGTGTTTTGTATGGTCAGCTTGGTCATTGTGTCCCTGTAACTGGAGACACCTGTTACGTTCCTCCTCAAGTTACTATTTATGAGGCTCAGCAAGGCCCTCAACTAAATCTTACGTGGTTTAATCTTTCCTGCCTTCCTCAGGTTTATGTGGGAGGGGTATTTTCATGACTCTGGCAGCACTGTTTATTTTGCTGCTTTCTGTTAATTAAATGTCATCTAATTTTTTATATGAATCTTTATAATACAAAGACTAAATTTAGATCTAAAATCAATGTTTTTTTATTCATTGTTTTCCCAATTATGCTGAATATATGACAGTAAGTTAAATGTCTGAGAGGAAAACATATCTTATCACTTGCTTAAACATGTCTTGATTTGAGCAGTTTTGCTTAAGCCTAGAGTCTTAGTACTTCAGCGTGATATTATCAGGTGAGTCATGTTATTATCATCTACCAGACTGAGACTTGGGCATATGTGACCATCACCTCAATTTCTGCAGAAACAAATATTTTATCTGTACCAATAGCCCTTGATTTTTCTCCACCTAGCACAACATAAGAGATACAACAGTAGCAGTGGCACGCTTGACAGTGATTTTTTTCCTGGGATTTGGGAGCTTATCAGAATCTCCAGGGGTACTTTATAATTTCAAAAAGTCCCCCAGGTGTGATTCTGATTTGCTTCCTTTTCCTCCTCCTGCTCTGAGAATCACCGTTTCTTTAGAAGCATCAGCATAAATAGGCACATGTATTAGTATCTTCTCCTGGTATGGTTGAGCTCCCTAACTCCCAAACCCCCATACTTGCCTTTTGAGTGATCTCCATTAGTTCTTTCTAATATCATAACTTTTGAAACAAATGTCTGTCACCAAAGGTATGGCTACCACCAAAACAACCTCGTTCATGTTTAGAAGCCTACAAAGCTTGAGGGCCAGGTTTAATAATACAGTTTAAATGGGAACCCTTTTTAAAGACTTACACTCAGGTCTGAGATTTATATTAACACTGACCCCCTCCCCCAGTTTTATTTTAACATTTTATGATGAACATTTTCAAACTTATACTGACATGGAAGGAATTTCAAGAGAACACCTGTATATCCACCTCCTGGATTCTATAACATTTTAATAAACTTGTTCAGTCACACGTCTACCCAAATATTAACCCCTCTATCCATGTATCGAGTCATCTTTTTAATGCATTTGACTGTGAATTGCAGATGTCAGTAAAATTTCCCCTAAATACTTCCAGCTTGCATATTATTACCTGGAGCTCAATATTTGTTAAGTGTTTTTCTTTTGATGTAAATTTATATACAGTGAAGGGTCCAAATCTTAAGTGCTTCTTAACTGAGTTTTAACAAATGATAAATCTGTATAACCTAAGCCCCTATCAAGATATAGAAATTTAACAACCCCTTTTTTCTGCCCAGTTATTTCCTCTTGACTTTACATAGTCTCTGAATTAAAGGTAAGAAAAAGATTTGTCAGTGCTTACAGGACAAATAGAGATTGATGTTTAATGACAGCAGATTTCTCTTCTCAATTGCCTGAAGCACTTTGTGTTTCAAATGGTATATGAGTGTTTTAAAATAGAAGACTGAGTGAATTACTTATATTTTCAGTTTTTAAAACATTATTTTGGAGAATATCAGATGTAAATACTTCAGATCTATTTTCTTAAGTATTTTATAAGGCAAGAGCTCTAGTTCAATGAAATATGAGGAGGTATGTATAGAAACAGAAGTGTAGAAGAGAAAGAAGGTGGAGATGAGATGGAAAAAAATCATGTAAATATTAACGTAATATTACAAATGTTATATTAAAAGGTGGTTAATTGGTTAAAATATCTATTATGTACATGTAACATCACTAGACATCATAGACTATCCTTACAACAGTGGGATGCCATTTATTAAAAAATACCAGCATATTATAATCTGCCTTTAGGAAATACAAATTAAATTCCTCTCACTATTGGTCTTGAGTGTTAGTCATTTTATTTTTAATGCCTTTATTCCTGGAAAATATCACTTATATGGCTTATTTTTAAAGTGAATGAACAGATTTTAACTTATACCAGTATATTTTACAGTATGCTTTTGGAATTAATTTGCTTGCATCTTATGAGGGGCAACACATAAGTTCATTTCTAATAAAATAATTCTGTTCCCCAAAGGAGAAGCTGTGACACAAATAAATTGATATTTCCATAATCAAAAGATATAGCAAACACACAGTCATTTGCATATAGTTCCTGAAATATTGCATACTGGCTTTGTCAATGCTGGTAAGTCCATTTCAAGGATGTTGCCCTTAGTCCATTAGTTTGGATAATGAGCCCTATAAAGTACATTTATAACTTGTGGCACTGCAAGGAGATGGATTCTAATTTTCATCCTTTTATCTAGACACATTGAAAGAAGGTCAATGGAGGGTTCTATATGATTCATTGTTCCAACACATATCAGATGACAGAGACCTGATAATGTCCGTGCATAAGTGTTTTCCTTATTTGGAAACAACACTTCAAAGAAATCTTTCTATGATCATCCTTTGAAGTAAAGTAGAAACAGATATTAAAAGAAGCTCTATCACATTTTTCTGTTTCAAACATTATCCAACACGTGACCATATAGCTATTCTTGGACAAAAGAGAAACCAACATTTAACAGAAAAATAAAAACCTCGTAAAAGGCCTTTACAGGCTCTGAATGGTATAGCAAGGTATTTAATCAATTTTTCTCTCTTTCTTTTCTTAGAGCTGTGAAGGGGGGAAAAAAAAGCCTGTTTTCTAAACAAAGGGAATGCTTTTATGTTCCTAAATATTAGGAAATTTATGGTTTACTATAATTCTTATCCTGACTTTATTCTTATTAATGGCATTCAAAATACATGTTTAAGTTGTATTCCATGTTCATTTTGTACTTTAAAAGCCCTCAAAATAGCAACAAGAATATATATTCTGTCATTTACTGTCAGTTTTGTGTCAGAAAACATGGAATTGTAGGCAAGTTTTAAATCTTGTCTTCACGTGAAATTCATTTTAGATTCAAAATTGGTAGCCGATTACATTTTCTCAATTATTTAATCATTAATATGAACTTTTATGGTATGCTTATCTTCTTTATAGATGTAAAGCAATTATAGATCAGTTTGGTCAGAGAATAATCTCTGAGCATTTCCTCGTGGAGGACAGTTACTTTCCTGAGAACATGTGCTCACGTGTGCAATACAGGTAAGGCCCCCTCCACCCATTAGCAAGCGAAGGTAATTTTATTGACATTCCTGTGTAATTCTGTTCTTCAAGTAACATGCAAATAAATGCCAAACCAAAGATATATTCAATATCTTACTTCACTTACAGGGTCTGGTTTTAGGGAAGCCTAGCATAATTTCAACTCCTTTGCTTCAGCTGGGGTTTGTCTGTAGGTCAGGCATTCTTCTTTCATGAGCCAAGGAAAGATTAAAGCCGAACTTGACTTGGTTTTGGGAGGTGACACTTTTATCCTGACTTAAATCTTTGAAACGTGCCTTCTGGTGGTTATATAACTATAAACGAAACTTATCCATGGAATCAGAATTACTGCTTCACTGTTTTGTGCATTACAGGCAGATCTCCAGGGCAGTGCTGATTACAGATAGATCTGTCCTAAAAACAGATTCAGATCAACAGGTAAATTCAGTCCTATATATTTTTAATAAAAGTTGTATATATGAAGATGTTTCGGTATATATATACATGGTGAACTAATCACTACACTCAAGCTAATTAACATATGTCTTTACATAGTTACCTTTTTTTGTGGTGAGAACACTTAAGATCTACTTTCAGCAAATTTTAAATATATAATACCATATTATTAACTGTAGTCTTGTACTGTACATTAGATCTCTAAAACTTATTCTTTTTGTGTAACTGAAAGTTTGTACCCTTTGACCAACGTCTCCCCATTTTGCCTAGCTCCTGGCAAGCACCGTTTTACTCTCTGCTTCTATGAATTTGAAGCTTTTTGTATTTCACATATAAGTGCAATCATGCAGTACTTTCCTTTTTGTGTCTGGCTTCTTTCACTTAGCATAATGTCCTCCAGGTTCATCTATGTTGTTGCAAATGGTAGGACTTTCTTCTTTTTTAAAGATTGAATAATATTCCATTGTTTATACATACACACACCCCATTTTTAAAAAACCCATTCTTCCATTGATGAACACTTAGGTTGTTTCCAAATCTTCGCTGCAATGAATAATGCTGCATTGAACATGGGAGTGGTGGATCATAGGATAATTCTATTTTTAATTTTTTTGTGGAACCTCCATACTGTTTTCCGTAATGTTTGTATAGATTTGATTTGCATTCCAACCAACAGTGTAAAGGGTCTGCTTTTTTCTGTATCCTCATCAACACTTGTTATGTCTTGTCTTGTTAATAATAGCCATCCTAACAGGTGTGAGATGAAACCTCATTCAGTCCTGTGCTAATAACATTGTTACTAACTTAATCTACATGGTAATATGTATAAATCAATACTGGCAAAATACAGCGTATTAAGCTATATGTACTAAAGTTTGAGTATCCCTTCTCCAAAATGCTTGGGGTCATAAGTGCTTGGATTTTAGGGGTTTTTTTGGGGCGGGGGGTGGGTTTAGAGCATTTTGGATTTCGGATTTTTGGATTAGGGTACTCAGCTTGTCATATTTTTTAAATGTGTTTTTAAAAAAATACATGATGGCAATAATGTAATGGCATTGGTTTCTTAAGGATTTCCATCCAGTGGAACAAATAGTTGCATCTTATATAACAGATTTATTTTAGGAAAATCAGACTAAATACTAGATTTTGATGATTATTTCTGTGAAATTGAAAATACATTGTTATGGGGAGAAAAAGAGAATCCCCAGAGAATACATTTAAAAATCTGGTAGGAAAAGACAGTAGCCAACCCTATGGCAATGACTATAAGTCCACTGTTAGGCCTGGTTTGAATGTATTTCCACACATGTCCCCGGTTATGGTATTTACTTACCACCATTGTTCATTTCAGTACCCTCTTCTTTCTCCTTACCCCCAGTTCCATAGAGGAATGTCATTATGCCTCTGATTTTTCCTCAGTCAGACCTCTTAAATTCCAGGGTACCAGTTCTCCTTCTGACCATATTTTATAGTGATTGATAAACTCACCTTACTCAGTAGGCGTGACTTTCAGTTCTGTATGCCACTGCTAAAAGTAGGCTCCTAAAGTTCTTTAAGTTGAAAGCTGCTTCTTATGTAAAAGAAATATGTGAGTGGATAAAGTCAATTCATTTGTAACAATTTTTATTGCTAATAAATGAACGTTATATACAAAAAAGTCCCCCAAATATACTTGTTATATGTGTAAGCATAAATACTTTCATTAAGCCATTCAGCAAACAATGAGTGCCTTTTACCTTCCAGCCAGTGTTGCTGGGTTCTAAGGAGATAGTGGTCACTATGATAGCATCTCTGCTCTCAAATAGCTTACGGTCTGGAGAATACAGATACTGATAAGTAGCAACTGTAGTTCAGAGTGACAAGTATGAGCATGGGCGGGTAGAAGAAATAGTACAGCAGCTATTATATTACTTACTCCACTGTCCTACAATTACTGGTTTATTGTCTGTATCTCCCAGTAAGCTATGAGGTTTGTGAGTGGATCAAAGAGTGCCAGGGAGGCAGAAGAGTGAAGAGAGCAAATAGAGATAACTCTTGGAGGAAGCTAAGCTGTGAAGAGTAAGAGAGAGGAACTGGTCTTTGAAGAGGGATGTGGAGATGAAGAGGGTGTTTCTTTACTTTAAAAGATTAGTATATATTTCAGCTGATGGGATGAAGCCAGTAGAGAGGGAGAGGTTGAAGATAACGAAGTAAGAAGGAGGATAATTGATAGATCAAGGTCCAGGCAAAGGCTGGGGAGGCTAAAATTCAGAGAACAGGCAAAAATGTTGCCCTTGGATGGGATGGGAGACACGTTGAAACCAGAGGGTGAATGCATTTGTAGATTTGGGAATTCACATCTTATGGGTTACATTTATTCTTTAAATTATAAACAAGGTGAGGTCATCTTTTGAGAATGGGGGTGTGCAAATGTGGATGGGTAGAAGCTCAAGGAAAGATGTAAAATAATCACCATAAGGAGTTGGAGAGTGTACTGTCTCATGGTCAAATTGCTGGGCAATATTAATGGCCCAGTTGAGTCTGAAGGTCATGAATCTATAGTGGCATTAATCTGCTCCTATCCTTCCAGCTCTTTCATTCTCTTACCCCCACCCAGTCTGTTAAGAGACGTACAATTCCTCATTCCCTGTTTCTTTTCAGTTTATCATCTGCCTTCTGCCCTTTTCCTTTTCCCTGTGCTAGACCCCATAGTAAATCTTCTGAATTGCTCTTTGTCTGACACTCTCAGTACCCATGTTGTCATGTCCTTTCACTACACCCACAGAGGAAGATCCCATTCCTGAGTCAGGCTGTAATCTTCATCTGGATCACTGATGGCTGCTTAAGAAAACCATGCAACCAGACAGACTAACCATGCCACAGACACAAGGGTGCCAGCGTTATTCAGCTGGACCTTCAGCACACACCACCAGTCAGTTCTTCCACTGGCCTCAGACAGCCCCTTTCCCTTTTCCCTCAGTGCCTAATCCAAGTCTTCCTGATTTTACCCACCCTGCTTATCCCCTGCTCCTCTCAACCTGCTGCCCCTCCCCCACCAACCTTGCTTCGCTGAAAATAGTGAGGCTGTCCACCACGCGCAGTAGTCCTTGACTTCCTGCCCCACCACCACGTGTGTACTTCAGCCCAGGAATGAATCAGGAGGCTCCCCTCCTTGTTCAAAGCCAGCCCTTTTGACAAGTGCTCTTGTACACGCACACACACCACCCTTTATTGCCTGCTCTCTCTCCTGTATCTTCAGCCTCTCCCCACTGCTGCTGGCAACATTTTTTTTAAACAGACACAGACACACACACACACACACACACACACACACACACACACGCACACACAAGCATTTTCTATTTCATATATGCTAGTATATATATATATACTACTTTCTATTTCATATATGCTAGTATATACTTTCATATATGCTGGTATATATATACTTTATAATATATAGTATATATATAATATATATATTAGATATATATGCTATATATTATATATACTTATTTATATATTATATATACTTCATATATGCTGTTATATATATTATATATTATGTAATTAATATATAATATATTATGTAATGTATTATATATTATGTTATTATATAATTAATATATTATATATTATATGTATTATATAATTAATATATAGTATATATTATATGTATTATATATTAATTTCATGTATTATATATTATGTATTACGTATTACATATTATGTATTATATATAGTATGTATTATATACTATATATAATATGTAATACATATTATATACTATATATAATACGTATTATATAATATATTATATAATTATATATTATATAAGTTTGTACTCTTGGCTTCCATGAAACTGCCCTTTGGTTCCCCTCATGACTCTGGCTGTTTCCTCTCTACTTCTTTAGTGGGCTCTTGTTCCTTTACCCAGTCCTTAAATATCAGGGCTCCTCAGTATTTTTCCCTCAGCCCACAGTATGCCTTGCTTTGGGCATACTCACTAGATGACTCTGTGTAGTCTCATGATATCAATTCTGCATAAATCTTGGTGACAGACACTTCTGTATCTCCCAGGAGTGTCTGGCCCACATGCTAAGCTTCCTGCTGGACATCTGTCAAATGGAATACACTCAGAACTGAACTCACCATCTTCCCTCCACAAACTGCTCCTCATCCAGTGTTCCCTACTTCTGGGAACAGTTCTGACATCCTTTCAATGGCAACTTCTTCCTTCCCTCTCTGACATCTCTTCAACTTCACGTCCTTCAATGTACTTCCTAAAAGTTGCTTTGATCTGCCTTTTCTCACTGTTCAGTTAGGTTCTCATCACCTCTGACTTGTAATTGGTCACCCTGCCTCTCATCTTGTCTACTTCAAATCTGCCTTCTACATATCCTTCAGAGTGATCAGTCTAAAGTGTGTGTCCTGATTGTCTTTCTTTGTTCCCTGTAGAGAGTTTTCTTCTTTCATCTTCTCTCTTTTTTTTTTTCTTTTTTTTTTTTTGAGTTGTGCAGTATAGATAGAATGATGAGACTTAGAGGGAAGAATAGGTGTGGGTCCAGGTAAATTTTATGGAAGTGATAGTAGAGGGTTGAGGGAATTCTTTTTTGATGGTTTTTTATCATCTCTATGAGGTTTGAGACAGTTAACTTCTCAGAGTTCAGGTGACGGAGGTACTGTAGTAGGAGGTTACTAATTGCATCTCAGTTAAAAAAAAAAAGGTGATAGTCGTAGAAATCAAAAGACGTCCTTACATGTTATTGCAGTCATTAAGGTACTTTTCCAATTATGGTCATGTTTTTAGTTGTACTCATTTAACTATTGTTCAACATTCAATGTCTTAGTGGCTTCTATCTCTTTAATGCCAAAGTACATTTTCTATCATGAACAAAGGGAGTTAAGAGGAACATGGAGAAATAAATTTTTGAGACATTTTGAGGCTAGAAATGCACATAAAAGTAGGATAGTCATGGTTATCAAAATAATTTCTATGTAAAATTTGTTTTAGGTGTTTCCTCTTTGGGCCATCACTGTGACATTCTCAGTCAAAATGTAGCATAGCACTTATAGGGCAAAGTGCAAATGGGCTTTTCCCTTTTGACAAGTATTTTCTATGTGAGAGGATAAAATTTCCTCAGATGAATATTAGTTTGAGGATTAGTATTGAAACTTTAGGATCTACAAAGAAACATTGACCTGGGTCGGGCGCAGTGGCTCACGCCTATAATCTCAATACTTTGGGAAGCCAAGGTGGCTGGATTGCTTGAGGTCATGAGTTGGAGATCAGCCTGGCCAACATGGTGAAGCCCCATTTCTACAAAAAATACAAAAAAAAAAAAAATAGCCAGGTGTAGTAATGCATGCCTGTAATCCTAGCTACTTGGGAGGCTGAGGCATGAGAATCACTTGAACCCAGGAGGCGGGGGTTGCAGTGAGCTGAGATTGTACCACTGTACACCAGCCTGGGCAACAGAGTGAGACTCCATCTCAAAAAAAAAAAAAAAAACAAAAAAAAACATTGACCTGAAGGTCATTTAAAGTTTTAAAATATAAAGCCATCTAGCGTATCATTAATGCCTAGGATAGCATACTACATATAAATAAATAGTACTTAAGAATAATTTTACATTTTACTTTTGATTCTGAATTTCTAGTTTTATTAATGGAGTCTTTAAAAATTGTTTTCAAATGTTTTGATATATATATAGTTTGACTGCTTGCTTCAATATAATTGGAATGGGTAACATCTTTAATTATTAATGCTAACTGCTGTTTTTAGCCATTATGAGTAATCAAGATTGATTTAATATGGTCTGATTTCAAACAGCAAAATACACATATTTCAGAACTAAGAAGTCATAATTGTATCCTTTGAAAAATACAGATTGAGTATCCCTTATCTGAAATGCTTGAAACCAGAGGTGTTTGGGATTTCAGATTTTTTCAGATTTTGGAGTGTACTAGTTGAATGTCCCTAATCTGAATATCTAAAATCTAACATGCTCCAATGAGCATTTCCTTAGAGCATCATGTCGGTGCTAAATTTTGGATTTTGGAGTATTTTGGAATTTAGATAATGGTTACTCAACCTGTAGTAAGTTTATAGTAAGAAACCTATAGTAAGTAAGGATTTAATAAATATTAAAGATATTTAAAAGTTATTATCTATGAGAATTATGAAAATGATACATAAATATGTTTCAAATTCTGTTCCAAAATTAAATCCTTACAAGCCATATTTTTTTCAGACATGATGTTTGAAAAAGATACTCAGTTTAGAAGTTAACAGCATTTTAATGTTAGAAGAATGAAAATGAGATCTAACAGCTGTGTCTGATACTTTATTTTTGCTTTTTAGATTTCCATTTTGACAGTGCCAGCAGAGGAACCAGGAACTTTTGCTGTTCGGGTCATTGAGTTATGTTCTTCAACGATGACATGCATGAAAGGCACCTGTAAGCATAGTAGAGTGGTTATTTGTATTTTGTGTTTGTTTAGGGGGTAAAGGGGGCAGTTATTACAGTTGTGAAGGTTGTATTTGTAGAGATTTTCTTACTTTTTTATTATTCACAGTTTTTGTTTATATAAAAGATGGTTATAGAGTAAGTCATTTCACACCATCCCCTTACCTATAAACATTTCAGTGGCTAAATCTTCACAAGCATGATGTTTTAGTTCTCCAGTTAAGGAATTTTATGACTTTCAATTCTAATTTTTATTTAGCTTATTGAAAACCTGGTTGCATAACATTTTTTTTATTGTTAATTTTTTTTCTTTACTTTCTTAGTCCATTTGGGCTGCTATGAAAAAATACCTTAGACTGGGTAACTTATAATAAACAATAGAAATTTATTGCTCACAATTCTAGAGGCTGGAAAGTCCAAAATCAAGGTGCCAGCAGATTCAGTGTCTGATGAGGACCCTTTCCTCATAAGTGGCACCTTCTGTGTGTCCTCATACAGGCAAGGGGATAAAAAAGCTTCCTTGAACCCTTTTTTAAGAGCACTAATCCCATTTATGAGGGCAGAGCTCTTGTTATCTAACCATCTTCCAAAGCCCCTACCTCTTAATAACTTTTGCATTGTGGGTCTACTTGAGGTATTAAGAGGTAATACTTTTGTATTGCATATGTCAACAAATGAATTGTGGGGAGACACAAACATTGAAACCATAGCACCTTGAATTCTAAATTCTAAATCCAATTACTGAACTTTTTTCATGTATAAATTTTCAATGTATTTTGTTTATTTATGAGACTAAAGTTAAGGACTACTTTACCTGCTCTTTCACTTATTTGTTTCAAATTTTTTGTTTCCAGCATTAGATATCATGCATTCTACAACATATTTCTTGAGGCTATTTCAGTAAATAGGAGTCAATAAGTATACATTATACATCACTGTGTCTAGACCTAAGCTATGTACTATAAGTATTAGAAGCAGAAGGTGAGATACCTGATTTGAAATGCTCATAATCTTACTGCTCACCTAATGGAACAAGACTATTTATTAACCAAGTACAACATATTGTGCTAGGCATTTCATGGTACGTAAAGATGAATAAGATATTCCCTTACCATAGGAGATTCACAGTCTAGTTGAACAGATAAAACAAGCACAGAAGTAGCTGGAAGATGCAAAATATGAGAGGTACCAACAAACAGTGTACTCTAGGGATTCATAGGAGGGAGACATAATATCATTAACTAGAAAAAAATTTTTTGTAAAAAAATATTTGAGTAAACGTAAGTGTTACTCAGATTGTTATGTGAGTTCTGAGAAGCAAAAAAACTAATATGGTTTTGCGTAGTCACAAGGAAAACTTCAGTGGGGAAATGTAGAGCTACTACTTAAAAATGGGAACATGTGGTCAGGCAGAAAAGTGGGAAGTCTGATGCCAGCAGAGAGGGTTAAGAAAACTTTTCAACATTGCTATAATCCTAAATTTCCTTTGGAAAAGTAGCTCAGAGGACCATTTCTCCTTTTATAGTGTATTAGTCCCTTTTCATGCTGTTAGTAAAAACCTACCCGAAATTGAGAAGGAAAAGAGGTTTAATTGGAATCACAGTTCCACATGGCTAGGGAGGTCTCAGAATCATGGCAGGAGGCAAAAGGCACTTCTTAACATGGCGGTGGCAAGAAAAAAATGAGGAAGAAGCAAAAGCGGAAACCCCTGATAAACCCATCAGATCTTGTAAGACTTACACACTATCATGAGAATAGCACAAGAAAGACCGGCCCCCATGATTCAGTTACCTCCCCCTGGGTCCCTCCCACAACACATGGGAATTCTGGGAGATACAATTCAAGTTGAGATTTCAGTGGGGACACAGCCAAACCATATCATTCTGCCCCTGGCCCCTCCAAATCTCATGTCCTCACATTTCAAAAGCAATCATGCCTTCCCAACAGTCCCCCAAAGTCTTATTTCAGCATTAACCCAAAAGTCCACAGTCCAAAGTCTCATCTGACACAAGGCAAGTCCCATCTGTCTATGAGCCTGTAAAATCAAAAGCAAGTTAGTTAACTTCCTAGATACAATGGGGGTCCAGGTATTGGATAAATACAGCCATTCCAAATAGGAGAAATTGGCCAAAACAAAGGGTTTACAGGCCCCATGCAAGTCCAAATTCCAGCGGGGCAGTCAAATTTTAAAGCTCCAAAATGATCTCCTTTGACTCCAGGTCTCACATCCAGGTCACACTGATACAAGAGGTGGGTTCCCATGGTCTTGGGCAGCTCCACTCTTGTGGCTTTGCAGGGTATATCCTGCCTCCCGGCTGCTTTCACAGGCTGGTGTTGAGTGTCTGCAGCTTTTCCTGGCGCAACCTGTTGGTGGATCTGTCATCATTCTGGGGTCTGGAGGACGGTGGCCCTCTTCTCACAGCTCCACTAGGCAGTGCCAGAATAGGGGCTCTGTATGGGGCCTCCAACCCCACATTTCCCTTCCACAGTGCCCTAGCAGAGGTTCTCCATGGGGGCCCCACCCCTGCAGCAGTCTTTTGCCTGGGCATCCAGGCATTTCCATACTTCTTCTGAAATCTAGGTAGAGGTTCCCAAACCCCAATTCTTAACTTCTATGCACTCACAGGGTCAACACCACATGGAAGCTGCCAAGGCTTGGGGCTTGCACCTCTGAAGCCACAGCCTGAGCTCTATGTTGGGCCCTTTCAGCCACTGCTGGAGTGGCTGGGACACAGGGCACCAAGTCCCTAGGCTGCACACAATATGGGGGGACTGGCCCATGAAACCACTTTTTCCTCCTGGGCCTCTAGGCCTATGGTGAGAGAGGCTGCAGTGAAGGTCTCTGACGTGGCCTGGAGACATTTTCCTCATGGGCTTGGGGATTAACATTAGGTTCCTTGCTACTTATGCAAATTTCTGCAACAGGCTTGAATTTCTCCTCAAAAAATGTGTTTTCTACTGCATCGTCAAGCTGCAAATTTTCTGAACTTTTATGCTCTGTTTCCCTTTTAAAATGGAATGCTTTTAACAGCACCCAAGTCACCTTTTGAATGCTTTGCTGTTTAGAAATTTCTTCCACCAGATACCTTAAATAATCTCTCTCAAGTTCAAAGTTCCACAAATCTCTAGGGCAGGGCCAAAGTGCTGCCAGTCTCTTTGCTAAAACATAACAAGAGTCACCTTTACTCGAGTTCCCAACAAGTTCCTCAGCTCCATCTGAGACCACCTCAGCCTGGACCTTACTGTTCATATCACTATCAGCATTTTTGTCAATGCCATTCAACAGGTCTCCAGGAGGTTCCAAACTTTCCCACATTTTCCTGTCTTCTTCTGAGCCCTCCAAATTGTTCCAACCCTCTGCCTGTTAACCAATTCCAAAGTCGCTTTCACATTTTCGGGTATCTTTTCAACAATGCCTCACTCTACGGGGACTGATTTACTGTATTCGTCTGTTTTCATGCTGCTGATAAAGACATACCCGAAACTGGAAAGAAAAAGAGATTTAATTGGACTTACAGTTCCATAGGCTGAGGATGCTTCAGAATCATGGCAGGAGGCAAAAGGCACTTCTTACGTGGCAGCAGAAGGAGAAAAATCAGGAAGAAGCAAAAGCAGAAACCCCTAATAAACCCATCAGATCTCTTGAGACTTATTCACTATCACGAGAATAGCGTGGGAAAGACCAGCCCCTGTGATTCAATTACCTCCCACTGGGTCCTTCCCACAACACATGGGAATTCTGGGAGATACAATTCAAGTTGAGATTTGGCTGTGGACACAGCCAAACCATATCATATAGTGATTTGTGCTACAGGAAAATCTTCACCATGACAGTTGTTGTTATTTTCTATTATTACTTTAACTATTTTTCATGTCTTTTTATCTGTGTTAGCTTCTTAGATATAAAATAAAACTGCACCTATTATGGTTTTTGTAATTTGTATTTTATGTTTGTGAATATTATTTTTCAAATTTCCATTTTTAGTTTAGATTCACGGAGTATATGCACAGGTTCATTACAAGGGTATATCGCATGATGCTGAGGTTTGGTCTTCTATTTATCCTGTCACTCAGATAGTGAACATAGTACCCCATAGGAAGTTTTTCAGCCATTTCCTCCCTTCCTCCCTCCTTTTAGAGTCTCCAGTGTCTATTGTTCCCATCTGTATCTCCTTGTGTATGCCAGATTTAGCTCCTACTTGTGAGTTCATGTAATATTTGGATTTCTATTTCTGTGTTAATTCACTTAGGATAATGGCCTCCAGCTGCATCCATGTTGCTGCAAATGACATGATTTTCTTTGATTTTATGGCTGCATAGTATCCCATGCTGTATATGTACCACATTTTTTTAATCCAGTCCACCGTTGATTGGCACCTAGGTTCCATGTCTTTGCTATCATGAGTAGTGCTGTGATGAACATGGGAGTGCATTTTTTTTTCTTTGTACAATGATTTCTTTTCTTTTGGATATATACCCAGTAATGGGATTGCTTGGTTGAATGGTAGCTCTGTTCTAAGTTTTTAGAGAAATCTCCAAACTGCTTTCCACAGTGGCTGAACTAATTCACATTCCTGCCAACAGTGTATAAGCATTCCCTTTTCTCTGCAGCCTGGACAGCATCTGTTATTTTTTGCATTTTTAATAATAGCCGTTCTGACTGGGGTGAGATGGTGTCTCTTTGTGGTTTGATTTGCATTTCTCTGATTAGTGATGTTCAGCATTTTTTCATATGTTTGTTGGCTACTTATGTATCTTCTTTTGAGAAGCATCTGTTCAAATCTTTGCCTGCTTTTTAATGGGATGGTTTTATTCTTGTTGGTTTAAGTTTTTTATAGATTTTGGATATTAGTTGTTTTTTGGATGCATAGTTTGTGAATATTCTCTCCCATTCTATAGTTTGTTTGTTCACTCTGTTGATAATTTCTTTTGCTGGGTACATGCTCTTTAGTTTAATGAAGTCCCATTTGTCAATTTTTGTTTTTGTTGCAATTGCTTTTGAGGACTTGGTCATAAATTGTAAATAGTCTTCATAAATTGTTTTGTAAATTATTTTTCCATTTGTCATATTTTAATATCCCCAGTCTAATAATTCATGTTCACTGTTGATAATTTGGAAGATATGAAAAAGAAAAGTTACTATAATCCCTCTACCAAATAATGATAAATACCCTTGGTGTATGATTCTTTGTCCTTTTTTCTTTGTATGGGCATGCACATACATTTTCATAAAATGCAATATTGTTTTATATACTGTTTTATAATATGTTTTTAAATAAATGTAGTACAAAAATGGTTTTGCATGTCTGTGATAGCATTTTCAGTGATTTTGGTTATGCCATTTAAACTGAAGTGAGACCTCAATTTTTTCAGTGATGCTTGGTAGAAGTAGAGCAATTATTGTCTCAAAGTTTTCTATCTTGCTAAGATATGGTCTTTTGCTAGAGCGTGTAGGTTTTTGTTGGGGTTTTTAAAATCTGAGACCATTGGTGTTTCCAGTTGTCAGTTTCTATGGCTCTTACTTGGAGATATATGATACAAAAAGAAAACCCAGGGGACTCTGCCATTTTGCTCTTTGGTCCCAAGTTCTCTAGCCAGTCTGCTTTCTTCGTTCCAGCTTTCAGAGTCTTGCTATGTTGGTTTTATATATTATGTCTAAGATTTTTAGCTGTACTCAGGAAAAACCGGGATAACCTCTTTTATTCTTTCTGGATGTGGAAGTCTCAAAGTGCCCCCAAAGTTATATCGACTTACACATCCAATGGCAGTTTATAAACAAGCATGTCTGTTTTCTTCAAAGCCTCAAGAGCACTGAATATTATCTTATCAAAACTCTTTTGCCAATTTGAAAATTGAAATATTGTGTTTAAACTTGCATTTAATAACTCATAACGTTATGAGTTATGAGCTGTACCTTGGCCCCTTTTAGCCATGGCTAGAGCAGCTGGGATGCAGGGCACCACATCCTTAGGCTTCACACAGCAGGGGGCCCTGGCCTGGCCCATGAAGCCATTTTTTCCTCTTAGGCCTCCAGGCATGTGATGGGAGGGGCTGCTGCAAAGGTCTCTTGACATGGCCTAGAGACATTTTCACCATTGTCTTGGTGATTAACATTTGGCTCCTCATTACATGTACAAATTTCTACAACCAGCTTGAATTTCTCCTCAGGAAATAGGTTTTTCTTTTCAATCTCATTGTCAGGCTGCAAATTTTCCAAACTTTTATGCACTGTTTCCCTTTCAAAACCGGATGCCTTTAACAGCACCCAAGTCACCTCTTGAATGCTTTGCTGCTTAGAAATTTCTTCCACCAGATACCGTAAATCATCTCCCTTAAGTTCAGAGTTCCACGGATCTGTAGGGCAGGGGCAAAATGCTGCCAGTCTCTTTGCTAAAACATAACAAGAGTCACCTTTACTCCAGTTCCCAACAAGTTCCTCATCTCCGTCTGAGACCACCTCAGCCTGGATTTCATTGTCCATATCATTATCAACATTTTGGTCAAAGCCATTAAACAACTATCTATGGAGTTCCAAACTTTCCCACATTTTCCTGTCTTCTTCTGAACCCACCAAACTGTTCCAACCCCTCCCTGTTACCCAGTTCCAAAGTCGCTTCCACGTTTTCAGGTATATTTTCAGCAGCGCCCCACTCTAATGGTACCAATTTACTGTATTAGTTCATTTTCATGCTGCTGATAAAGACATACCAGAAACCGGGCAATTTACCAAAGAAAGAGGTTTATAATGGACTTACAGTTCCACGTGGCTGGGGAAGCCTCACAGTCATGGTGGGAATCAAGGAGCAAGTCATGTGTTACATGGATGGCAGCAGGCAAAGAGAGAGAGCTTGTGCAGGGAAACTCCCTCTTGTAAAACCATCAGATCTCATGAGACTTATTCACTGTCACAAGAACAGCATGGGAAAGACCTGTCACCATTATTCAGTTACCTCCCGCTGGGTCCATCCCACAACATGTGAGAATTCAAGATGAGATTTGAGTGGGGACACAGCCAAACCATATCACCATAGTTTAATCAGTTTATCAGTACAAAACTAGACAAATGGACTGGGTTTGGGTTTTTTAGTCTTAATAGTAAGGCTTACACCAGGAAGGTTGACTGAGAAAGTTAAGTTTCAATTTATTATTTATACTATGCCTTGTTCTCAATAAAAAGAGAAGTTAATGTTCATTTAAAAATCTAGTATGCATTCTTTTTAAAATAACATTCATTACTGTAGTAGTGCTATAATAGAGTTAATGTGTAATATATAACAAGACTTAAGAAATACACTGAGATAAAACTGATATTTTTATCATTCACTTGTTCTTATTAAAGCTTAAATTCTTTTTTTCTCCTCCTTTTTCAATGCTTTTGGCCTGTTCATAGACATTCAGGAGCAATTTGTAACTTGGACATTAAAAGACTTTAATGATATATTTTCTTGCTGCTGCCCTAATTGAGAGTCACTGACGTCACAAATAGTTGCAAGTTGTTCTGTTCTCAGTCTGTCTTCTGAAACAACTAGCCTTATAATCTCATAGAAGGCTTTAAACCACCTTTTTCTTTTCTATTGATTTCTTTCTGTTTCAAGTCAGAAAAAAGAAAAAGAAGCAAATATACCCTGTGTTTATTTTATGTATCCAAACCTGTTCGTAACTCATTTATTTTTCTCTTTTTAAGCTCCCCAATTATGGGCAAATTATATAGTTTAGAATGTTACACAGTCATTCTCTTTCCTAACTACTTTTACTTCCAAATCTCTTTTAAGGGTTTTGACTTTCCTATACCTTTTGAATAAAGCATATCCTGAGCACAATAGAACATGTTTTAAAATTCACATAATTGTTTCTTTACAGAATAATGTAGAAACATAATTTCATTATTTTCCTGGTCAAGCACCAAAAACTGAAAATGCTAAATATGCTTATTATGCCATAACATCCCACTTTTGGGGGGAAGGATGTGTGGAATTTGACATTACTCATAATTGGAAAGAAATGTATATTCAGAACAATTTGTTTCAAATAGAATTCTTGGTGGAAGGCTTTTTACCATTCTATCTGAATGTTGTTATTTATATATGTCTACATTAGCTATGTGGTGGAATTCTCATATTTGTAGTAATTATGATGTTGAAATGTTTGTGATCATCCATTTGATCATGGTTTTGTAGAAATCAAACAATAAAATCGTGTTTAAGAAGAATAAATTTTAAATGTAAATTTTATATTTTTAAAAAATCATTAACTCTAAATGGATTTTGTTGTGACTTATTTTCCCTTCAAACAACTACTTAAAATAAGTGGACAAACACATCTATACATTTAAACTTTGGTTCCATTGTATAAGTGACAGACATGTAATCAGTATTGCTAAATGAGTGGAACCAAGTGCCTTCCCTTGCCCTAAAACTTGATGCTGTAATAATGAAATCATGAAATAAACTTATTGTTCTTCCTGTTGGAAGAATCATTTGACAAATATTGGCAAGTACTGTAACTGATTTAGTTATACTTGAATAAATCAAATATAATCAAAATATAGACCAATGAGACTTTGTGACTTGTACGCATACCTCAAAGTTTATAAAATGAATTTTATAGAAAGTAAATGATGTAAACTTTGGTGATTTAATTAGAGTTCAATTGTTTAACAAAGAATGTGTTTTAAAGATATATTATTCATGAGCAAATTAACTTGGACATACTTATTACAAAATTATGGCTTTTAGAGAAATTATGGGAATTCTTCAGTAAAAATTTAAGCCTTTTTGTAGTTTTAAACACTGGATTTCATTTATGTCTAATCTAGTTTGTCCATTATTCATTAGCCATAACAATCTATATGTGAAGATGTATTTTTCTTTGAAAAATATTACTGATTTTAAAGGTATTTTCCCCACATAGATAAATCCAAGCAGATGAGGAAGTTTAAATTTGTCACGGGTACTCTACTCTTAACTAGTGAAGGTTTTATGTTGTTGTCTTTAAGTACATATTAAGTATTCACTTGTTAACTAATTCTGATACTCATTTTATCTTTACTTCTCTTCAGTATCTACTACTCAAATTCGTCCATTCTTAAATCAGCACAAGCTTTTACTTCCCATTGAGCATGGGGTAGAAATTTGTGAATTTTTAGTGTTGACTAATCAGGTTTGACTAATATTGTGGCACTTTATATTAAATATTATTTAATTACTGTGTCACAGTGGCGTATAATATATAAAACATTAAATCTTAATGTTTTAGATGTCATGTAATAAGATAAAATGTATAATTCTCAGTGTTTTCAACTTCTCAACCACTTTTTTCTTTATACAAATCACACTTTTTACACTTTTTATTTTTAATCCTGTGCTATGCAAATACTGTACTGTATGTAGTCTTAAGTGTGTGCTCAAGAATGTGCTTAAGACATAAAACTACCTCAGAGTTCACTTATACTTTTTATTCTCTTTAATGACTTTTCATAGATGTCACATTGCCTTAAATTTGGTTTGATTTAGAATTTGTAAAATCATACGTATGCCACTGAAGTTTACCTTCACATCATATGGGAATAGTATATATGAAAGGTTCTTGAAAGGCAAATAAATAGTTCAATAAACAAGGGAGGTACATTTCATTAACATACTACCTTATAGTGGTGGAGAACATAGGCTAAGTTCAAATCCCAGTTTTTACTAACTACTTGACTAACCTTAGGCAAGTTACTTAATTTCTATGTGCCTCAGCTTTCCTATCTGTGAAATAGGAATAATGATACTATCTGCCTCAGGACCGTTATTAGTATCAATGTTACTTAAGCTGATATTTTGATAGACTGATAGGAAATCATGATTATCCAGTAATGCAGGGGTTTTTCTAAGCAACTTTGGGTTAGCATCGTTATTGCATCTTTTTTTAAAGTAGTAAAGTTATGTTTTGTAAAATCTATAAGTCCACTTAAATTTTCCTCCCCTCAGCTAATTTGGTTCAAGTTACTGGGATTGTTAAATAACTGAAATGTATTTGTTTATTGTGTTTTTCAAAGCTAAACAAGCCATATTTTTTTTCACAGAGTTCATCTTTCAGGACATACCCAATATATTTATTTCTATTCATCTTATATCCTAAGTGAATTTAATATGAGATTTACTTTCTTTTAAAGTCATTTGTAAATGAACAAAACATTATCTTTGCAGCCCTTCCATTCGACATTCATTTTCATGTTCTTTGCAGTACTTACTCATACACTAGACATTTTGAATTTTTTTCGTACATACTAATCAGGCAATAACAGCTGTTTTATTCTGGGATTTGATGTTACAGGATGTTAGTTATCTGTGATATGATTATATATTTGTGAATATATAATGTGAAATATATATATGATGTATGTAATAATCCAGAATTTCATGTAGGTACTGGTTTATATACTTTTTCTGCTTTTGTGACCCTAGTTTTAAAATGCTATATACCTTTTATAAAAATGAGTTAGATATTGATTTAAAACAATTATCAGTGCCTTTTTCATTTGCTTTTTGAAAATGTGACATTTCAAATTATTATTGTTAGTATTATCACAAAACAAAGATTTGATTTTATTATATGTAAACTAATTTTTCTTCCTGATCTTAAGGTGATGTTCTGGAGTTCTTAAATTCTACTGAGAAAGTATAAGCCGACTATAGACTTTTTCATAGTTGAATTAAAAAATTAAATTGTGTGTCATATATCATCAAACTCAGTTCCTTACTTGCTACCATAGAGAAAGTGTGTCTCTGAGGTTCTCTGTTTTATTGATACAGTCATATCCTCATTTGTGCTATATTACATAAAGTACATGTGGCCTTTATAGTTATATGAAAGATATGTTACCAGCCACATTGATCTCTATGTAAATTAATTACATATTTCTAGTTAGGTTACACAACAAAGCCTACTTGCTGACTAGCCTATAAATAAAGATTCTTTAAATGCATTTGGAACAATTTTGCCTGCTTGTATAGAGTGAATGACTGCTGTATGTGGTAACCTCAGAAGCTTGAGGAATAGATTTCCTACCTTTTACAGCAAGCATTTACTTAGGTTTTACATTCACATTTGTAATGCCATCCGTTTTGATTTAAAATCTGTCATCATTGAAAGAATTGTAGCTGGTGAGTAAGGAATTAGCTTCGTAAATTTGAGACCGGAAGAGGTCTTAAAGATGGACTAATTGCACCCCTTCATTTTAATTATGAGGACACTGAAGCCAGAGAGAAAAACTGACTTGGCCAAGTAGATATAGAGAGCTGACGTAATACCAGACCCACGTAATCATCCTATAGTATGTCACTCTGCTACTGTACATTGGACTTGTTACTTTTAAATGTGCTCATTATTGTGCACATTCTGAGCAGAAATCCTACTTCTCATGTGTTTCAAAACAACTCGTAAGAGCGATCAGCATTCCAAAGGCAGTTTTGGAGAACTGAAAGTGTGTTGTTATTTCTAGTTTTGTGTTGTTACTTCTCACTTCTAAATTAAAACTTATTTTGCACTAAGATTTCTTTAATGCCAATACAAATCTAAGTGTATTGCCAAAAGAGGGATTGTGATAGAAAACACATTTTTTCATTAAGTCTTTGGCCATTTTTAGCTCATTAAGCCTTTAAGCAGTTGCTAAATGAAGTCAAAGGAGCATAGTTTATAAAAAGATATTAATTTTTTTTTTGTTCAGTTATCTCACATGGTGCCTGTGGGAAATGTTTCCACTTGTATTGCATCTTCCACAATCTTAGTGATAGTTGTCAATTGGTACTAATGAAACGTAATACTTTTAGGAAAGCATTTACCCTGTATGATCTAATTTGTGGTCGTTGTTGGCCTGTATTGAGCAAGTTCATTATTTGGAGAAGAATTAAAGTCACATAGATGCAAAGAAGTATTTTACATAATTGAATTTCAGTAGAAATGTGATAGCATGTTCTACATGTTTGGTTTTGAGTTTACCTTATACCCTTAAGGTCTTCAGACTTTTTGCTCATTTATCCCTTGAACCCTTTACAAGTTGACATACACAGTTTTTCATCAGAAGAGTCAAATAATTGCAAAGAATATAATTTCTAACATCGTAAATATTGACTTATAGTAAAATTATAACATCAGTCATTTAAATGTATTCAGTGGAATCTAAGTATCAGGGATATTTGATACCCATCACCCATTTAAAAAAATAAATGGAAATAGAATTTTTTTGAAACTTTCTAGGGCAATAAGCTTCTAATCTAAAACTTTCTTCTGGATTTAGTAATTAATGCAATTATTATTTCTACAGAATTAATCTAACTGTCATAAATATATTACAGTTTTGGTAAATAAATATTAAACAGAATAAGTAAAATTTCACTGAATGAAGTAGGAGAGGTGGAGCTGAGCATCTGTATGAGAACCCCCTTGTAGGTGATATAACTTGTGAAAAGTCCTCTTGTATCCTCACACACATCCCAGTTTGAATGCTGCTGACTTAAGTGACTGACTGTGCCTTCTGCAGGAGATTATTAGAATCACATAATATAATTTAGTGACTAAAGGCAGACACTCTGCAGGCAGGCCATATGGGCTTCAATTCGAGCTCTGAGTCCCAGCCCTTCCTTCTACTAATTGCATGACTTTAGGAAATCTGCATAGCCCCCCATCCCTGTTTTCTCATCTGTAAAATGAGAATAACAGTTTGCTGTTGCACAAGTAAAGTGAAATGATACTTGTAGCATGCTTAAAATAGTGTCTAACACATGCATGTTATTTGTACAGTCAACTCTAGATATTCTCTTAAATGTATTTTGAGAATTTTATAGATATATCTTAATGTGTTTATAAGCATTTCTCAGACAGATTTAAATAATTTGAGATTATCAATTGGTACTTCCCTTTCCTCTTTCCTGGTAAATCAGATAATTTCCCAAATTTTATACAAGAAACTAATCAGAATTTCCCCATGAATATGTACACATAGATCTATTGGTATGGGAATGCATATCTATTTAAACACAGGAATACTTGATGTTTGTCCGTGACAGTGAGACAAATTATAATTAACATTTATTGAATACCCACTCTAAGTAAAAGTTGTATTTAACAAAAAGGAGAAAAATCGACTCTAAAGCTTGCCCCTGCAAAGGACTTACAAGATATATTAAGATTAATAAACAAATGTTGAGAATCAATGAATTTTAAAAAGAGCACAATCAGCAATCTCTGATTTGAAGAGAACCAAAATGAATTCAGTAATCTATACTAGAAGGTGACCTAGGTAACAGGAAAAGCAGGAACGGTAAGGGGAAAAAGTAGTTATTCATACCTTAAATTTGTATTAATAGATCAATTAACAATGTAGCCTCTAAGCAAAGTCAATGTATAGGGATTATAATTCAGCTTATGAATGTCTTTGTAAGAATTGTTATAAAACTCATTAATCATGAGATGATAATCTTACTTCACTACTAGACATTTTTCCTAGCATAACCTGAACTGTCTGTTATGTTGCTAAGAAATATAATGATATACTAACTTAAGTGTATCTCTTTAAAATATATGTCCTGTTTAACAGAACCAATAGTTTACCCATTAAGATATTTTCCAAAATATACTTATTTATGTCCAGGTTCATCTGCTTTTTCCCAAATAAACATTAACAAACAAGCAAAAAACTGGAAAATTGAGAACTTTGGGCATTGGTATTTCACGAGATTTTGAAATAAGAGACAGGATAGATTATCTCCTATGGATTGCTGACCTTTGTAACTGCATACCCTGTTTACTTCAGTAATTATCTAGGAGGATTAAGTCTCATCCCAACTAATGCTATACAGCATTTGAAAAAAGTTAACCAAAATAATTTTTGTTATGAAGCTCATTATATCTTTGGAAATAATTAGTACCATACATCCTACAGTATCCCAGAACCAATGAGAATCATTGTTAAATTCATGTGAAAACAATGCTTAAATAAGGTAGACCTATTATTAGGCCATAAGTAATTCAGGAACCATCCGAAAATATACTTCCTTTAGTGGACCTGGGAGGGAAAAACCTACAACATTTGATTTTAGTTCCATGGTTATTAGAGTCCCTCAATTTATGCTTAGATATATTTTAAAGTAGTTGAATGTAGAATAAATTTTGATAATGAGAATCTTATTCTGATGTTGGCTTTCATGATAAAATTTGAACTATCTTCCTGGAGTTTAAAAAAAAAATTCTAGTAGTCTGAAATAAACTATTGGAAGAGAAGTGGGTGTATCTTTCTCCCCCTACTAATATAGTGGGGGGAGGAATTTCTCGGTACTGGTACTTACTGTTCTCTAATATATTCTTTCTGCCATTATTGTATCTCATCCCAAATAACAGGACCATAAGAACTTCTGTCATTTGGAGGTCCCTTTACTCCTTTATTGCAAAACACAGAACTCTTTATTCTTTCTTCACCTTTGTGCACAGGCCTTTAGGAGTTTTAACGGAGTTAGGCTACAATATTTTACTTCCATGAAGGGCCTTGTTTGTACGTGATTTTCTCTAACATAAACATTCTCCAAGATTCAGGCCCCATAACTCTGTAAATGCAAAAGGAAAATAATTTGAAATTCCTGAAAATATTATAGACTGTTTTAACCTATGCCGTTTTATGTGCTTTCAAGTATATGTGTGATTCTAAGTCAGCAGTGTTCTCCCAAAAGGTTTTTAGATAACCCTGTAATTAGTAGATAATTTGTTGTTAACTTATCAGCAAAACATGTATAAATGGGTGTTTCTGTCTGCAGTATATGAAGTGTGTTCTCTTAGGTAAATACATACCTCACTTTCAGCCTTTTTTTACCCAGTTATTCTTTAGGAATGTCATAAGTATAACAAGCTCTTTTCTGTGAATAAATGATTGTCTAAGATTTTCTACTCTGTTTTATCAAATTAACATCAACTGGTACTTCTTGGGTACTTGTTGGGTACTTCCTTTAGCTGTTAGTTAACAAATGTTGTAACCACCATGACTTGCTCAGCTCTCTATTATCCATAATACCAGCTTAATGCCTTAAGTATAAGTAAAATAGATTTGTGATGACAAGGAACTCAAATATTTTTTTTTTAACAGATTTGGTTCATTTGACTTGCACATCTTCTAAAACAGCAAGAGAAGATTTAGAATCAGTTGTGCAGAAATTGTTTGTTCCATATACTGAAATGGAGATAGGTAAGAAAAATAATTGATAACTCATGATGGAAAGGTAATGTAACCATCATAATCTTCTTAGATATATCATGAAAGTTTCTGCAACCTGAACTGAAATGGGATGTATTCAACAACAATTCACATGTTTTGATAAGATGCTTGAGCACAGTGTCTGCCTAAACATGTGGGAAAATGTTCACTCTACAATGTTAAAGGAAGTATATACATCA
This sequence comes from Homo sapiens, assembly GCF_000001405.40. NCBI lineage: Eukaryota > Metazoa > Chordata > Mammalia > Primates > Hominidae > Homo > Homo sapiens. The sequence goes on along the minus strand of NC_000023.11, from coordinate 85,878,755 downwards.
TACACACACCAAAAAAACATAATTAAGCACAAAAATATACATTTATATGTATAGTTACACAGAAAAAGGATTGTTAGAAAATCAGTTAATTTTGGTGGGATTATGGGCAATTTTCCTTATAATTTTCTTTATTTTACAAGTGTTGTACAAAAAGCATATATTCCTTTATCAGAGAAATGTATCTTCCTTTAAGGAAAAAAGATTCAACTAACAGATTAAAATATTAATTGGCAGATGTAGAAATCCTTTCCTATCCAATAGTCTTTTTTTTTTTTTGAGACAGAGTCTCACTCTGTCGCCCAGGTTGGAGTGCAGTGGCGTGATCTCGGCTCACTGCAGCCTCCACCTCCCACGTTCAAGCAATTCTCCTGCCTCAGCCTCCTGAGTAGCTGGGACTACAGGCGAGTGCCACCACACCCAGCTGATTTTTGTATTTGTAATAGAGACGGGGTTTTCCTATGTTGGCCAGGGTAGTCTGGAACGCCTGACCTCAGGTGATCCGCCCACCTCCGCTTCCCAAAGTGCTGGAATTAAAGGCGTGAGCCACTGCATCCAGCCTCTAATAGTCTTTTAATGCATAGTGTGCTAGTGATTTAATATTTAACTCCCAAAAGTGTATATGCTACTTATTCATGGGGGAAACACATTTTAAAACTTTCCCCCTACATAATAGGGTAGCACTTGCAGCTGTGAATGGAGAAAATATGGCATATTTTCTGTGTAAATGATAAAAGAAGCCTTTTGCATTTTCTTTTATATGAAGTGAAGGTGATTTTTATTGTAGGATTTGCATGTGCACTTGAATCTTGATCATTTTCTTCCATTGATTTATATATCTTTATTTTCTTTGCATGTTACTTTTGTTCATGCAACCATTTATTTACTCATACCTGTTCTGTTTCCTTGCAGCTCATTTCCTATGTGGGTTGCTTATTTTCTTAATGCAGAGATAGTGCATAGAGGGGGGTTTATTTACATAAGAAGACAAACTGTTCTGTTCTTTAATTTTTTTTTTAATTTTATGGGTACATACTAGGCGTATATATTTATTGGGTACATGAGATATATTGATACAGGCATACAATGTGGAGTAATCACATCATGGTAAATGGGATACCCATCACTTTAAGCATTTATCATTTCTCAGTGTTACAATCATTCCAGTTATACTCTTTTAGTTATTTTTAAAGTACACTGTAAATGACTGTACTCACCCTGTTGTGCTATCAAATGCTAGATCTTATTCATTCTATTTATGTTCTGCACCCTTTAACCATCCCCACTTTTCCCTCTTCCTTCTCCATTACCCATCCTAGCCTCTGATAACCATCGTTGTACACTCTATCTCCATGAATTACATTGTTTTAATTTTTAGCTCCCACAAATGAGTGAGAACACATTAAGTTTGTCTTTCTGTGCCTAGCTTATTTCACTTAACATAATGAACCTGTTATGTTCTCAGAGGCTAATATCAATTATGTTTTTTGGGAGCTACCCAAATGAAGTATTTGAAAACTTCACTTTAATTTGGGGGTTAATTTACAAATTAAATTATTTTAGTTTTAATTTATTAATTTGTAAGTTACATATTTTCTTTATTGGAAAGTATCATATAAATGTTTAGATTATTAAAAATTTGATTGCTAAGGTAAAATACATGATAATATTCCTAAATCTAATATGGAGTCATAGTTTTTTCTTTTGGCTTTAACTACAACTATACTTTGTGTAGAAACCCTGAGTTTCTTAATTATTTCTGAAATTTTAAATAATTCTTATATTGTAATTTCATTGTGTAGTAGTCTCAATGCACTAAATATGAATCATGTCATTACTCTTCACTTTTTAAATGCATTTAATTTTCTTTAAAAAAAATCAAGCTGGGGGAAATTACATGTTCATTACTTAGCATCCTCTATCCATTTTAGATTTTTAAACATTAATCTTAATAGTTAAAGTGATCCCATTTTGAAATGATGTATTGTTTAGAACCTGAGAGGAATTCTTTGATAAGAACTATGTGCTCAGAAGGGTCCTCAGGTGCACTGAGGCACTGAAAAGCTAGTTTTCACTGACACATAGGCCTTTTTATCATCAGGATGAGGTAGTGGTCATATTTTAATTAAAATGTCAGAACAAATACTGTTGGAGTTATTGAAAATGAATCACCAGATAAAGTGAGCACTGGGCCATAGCAGGTCAAAAAGGCAAAGTCACCTGGAGAAGAGAACTCAATTCATTTTCCTGCCTAAATGAGGAAGAAGGAACTTTATGAGCAATATGAACTTCTAATACATTAAAGCACATTCTTCTCTGTAGGAGAAGCCCCTATTTTCACAGATTGATGGCTTTTAGTATTATGTTTTGATTATTTGACATTCATATAATACCTTATGCTTTACTGCATTGTAAATATTTTAGTTTAAAACATGTACCAAAGGAATAACATTATTTGGGCATATTTTCTTTTTGTTTGTCTTTGAATTCTACATTCTCTGTGCTTCATAATCCTCAGTGAAAGTCAGCCTAGTCACCTTTTAAAAAAAATCTATATAATAGCCATCCTAGTACGTGTGAAGTAGTATCTCATAGTAGTCTTGCTTTGCTTCTCCCCCAGCGATTAGTGATGTTCAACATCTTTTCAAGAACTTATTGGCCATCTGTCTGTCTTCTCTGGAGAAATATCTATTCATTTCCTTTGCACATTTTTAATTGGATTTTTTGTTGTTGTTGAGTTGTAGGAGTTCTTTACATATTCTGGATATTAATCCCTTATCAGATACATGACTTGTAAATATTTGTTGTGGCATTGTAAATAGGATTGCATTCTTGACTTAGCCCTGTGCTTGATTGTTATTAGTGTATAGAAATCCTACTGATTTTTGTGTCCTAAAACTTTACTGAAGTCGTTTATCAATTCAAGGAGCCTTTTGATGGCATCTTTAGGATTTTCTAGGTATAGAATCATATGGTCAGTGAAGCGTCTCACTCATTTTCTATCTCAAAGAGCAGCACTGCCTAAAAAAACAGAAATTTCCCTTATAGGTGTAGTTTAAAGTCCATAGCTAGTGTGTTAAGTAATTGTTGGGCTGTGAAAGCAAATGTCTTAATTCCTTTCTGTGTGTGCTGTATCCAGACTCAGTCAGGGCTATGACAGTCTCCACCACTCTGCTGGTATTACTAACATAGTTTACTCTATCCCTAAACATGGCATGCAGCTGTAGACACCATTTCTTGCTTTCTTGTTATTGTTGTGCTATAGTTGCTTTTCTTCTACCTACCCTATTCTACACTTACTCCAGTTTAATTTGCCCAAGACCCTATTCTAAATTACCTGTTACATCTTTAGTCCTTCTTACTATCAAGTTGAATGAAATGAGCTACTGCAGAAAACCAGTTCTACCCCTGGCAACTTGTGATGCACTCCTAGCCAAAGCTCAGCAACTTTAATATTTTTTGACAGTTTTGCACTTCACAACTGCATATTCTTTTTCTAGCTATCTCTTTGCCTTCCAGCTGACCTCAAAGAAAGATGAAGCAATTATATATCTCTTTAAAGTTTTAAGGTCAAAGCCTGATAATGCCCTAGTATCCAGAGCATTTATCTTCAGCCTATGTCAGTTTTTCACCTTCCTCATGGTTTCTTTTCAAAGGCGCAACGTCTATGAAATTAGTTTAAATCTATTGGATTATTCATTTCCTCCAGCGTTTATTAAGTGAAGTGTTCCTTTGAGCTGGATGTTTAATGAGATACAAGATAAGCTCTCCTAGTATATGCTTAGAAATGGGCTGGGCACTATTAAAGACTTTCCAGACCTTAGCCCACTTGTTAGCAGTGCTCCCCAAGTCTGGTATCCCAAATCATAGGAGATACATTTAAGTATCTTCCCATAAGATTCGTGTAACTAAACTCATTAATCAGTTTACTAAGAGCCATATGATGTTAGCTATAAAATATGAATTCCTTATGTTCCTTTATTTTGTCAATAGATTTAGCCACCTAATATGTTCCTACATGAAGTTAGCAATATCTTAGATGACTCGTAGATCTTAGCACCAGAAAGGGGCACCTTAGGAGATCACTTCTTCCACTCAGTTTCTTCATCCTATTCCACTAATAATTATGGATTATTCAGGTTGAACTAGGAAAATAACTTATTTGGTGTTCTTATAGTGGAGATACTGTAAATTAAATATAATAAAATCCTGTTTATCCTGATGTGGGAAATAGGGCTTTCTTGTTAATTGAATACTGCTATTAGGTGAAGATTTCTCTACATTGATTACCAATTAAATAATAGTAATTAATGAGATAATTATGCCTTTAGCATTTTCTTTGTTATTCATGAGGTGCCTCATGGTCTTGGGCAATCTTCATAAACATTCATTATTATTGTACAAAATTTGAACTTTTGTTCAGATTCAGGCTAAAGAAAACTCTCTAGTCAATGAATGTATCAACAGCAGTATTTTATGTTTTCAAACAGAAAATTTAATTATAACAGTTTTAAAGAAGAGAGGCAAATAAATGATTATCAAATTAGCAAGAAATAGGCTTTATGCATTGAGATTAGTAATGTTGGACCTTTTTATAAGCACATCGTACTTTGATCATACCTGAAAATACAATAACATCAATTCAGAAATTATTTACTGAGCATCTGTCGTGTGCTAGGCCCTATATTAGGGAACCAAAAACAAGGAAGGAGAGTAAGAACTAAGTCTACTTCATGTGTATATCCCCAGCTCCTAGCTCAATGCCTAACACGCATAAAAGACACATGCTCTTAAATGAGAGAACATGTGCTCAAAATGGCATTCACTGTTATGACTTCATTTTTGATATTTGTTGGTTGTCATTAATTTTTTAATCCAATAAGACAAAGCATTAGGATGTGAGTTAGGACAACAAAGTTTTAATCCTGTATTTACTATTTTTTTAATAATAACTTTATTGAGATATCATTCATATACCATATGATTCACCCATTTGAAGTGTACAATTCATTGTCTCTTAGCATATTTGTAGAATTGTCCATACATCACCACCATCAGTTTTAGAACATTTCCATCACCCCAAAAGAAACGTCATACCAATTAGTGATCACCTCCCATTTGCCCCCAATTTCCTTCAGCCCTAGGTAACCTACTAACCCACTTCCTGCTTATCCTGGATATTTCATGTGTATATACTATTGAATAACTATATAATTTATCAAGTTGGTTTGTCCATTTGAAACATAAGGAAATCAATTTATGTTATCTTCTCTATAGGGAAAATTTTAGGATGAATGTGATCATAAACCCTTTGATACTAGTGAGAAGAAGTAATAGAAGTCCAAAGGAGCATGACTGGAGTAAAATCTAATTAACTTACTAATCAAAATAGAGTGTGTAGATGCAAATTTACTAAATGTTTACATACGAAGCTCTGATTTCCTACTATGTCTAGTCATGGCTTAATCGGTAATAGGCTACACAGTGTAGTAATTGACAAACATATTGTATTTTAGAATGTAAATAAAATTTATTTCTATATTTAGAAAATGAACAAGTAGAAAAGCCAAGAATTCTGTGGGCTCTTTACTTCAATATGAGAGATTCGTCAGACATCAGCAGGAGCTGTTATAATGATTTACCATCCAACGTTTATGTCTGCTCTGGCCCAGATTGTGGTTTAGGAAATGATAATGCAGTCAAACAGGTAAGGCTCTTGATGTTTCTCAGTTTTGTATTAAGATGTTGGTGTGGTTGGGAAATATTTTTTCCTCTGGGAGGAGAGAAGTCTAGAAAAGCATCTCTCAGTAGTACCATTTCTGTAATTTGCCCTAAAAGTTTTTTCTATGACCTACAAAGCTACTTTAAATATACTTTAAATACAGGATCAGGTATTTTCACTTTCTTGAATAAAATGTTGAGTTACAGAGATTTTTTATGAGTTCCATCGTGGGAATGACGATAGAAGATGCTAAAAATACATATTTCATAAGAATTTATAATGCCAATATTTTAAAGAAACATTGTTTCTAACTTAAACAGTTGGACGATTGCTATATTATTTTGAAATACATAAATTATTTTTCTTGGTAAACAGTCAAGAAGGTTGTAACTACTAAGGCTTATAAAATTAATTTTACAGTAGTCTTAATGCATTTTTTAATCATAGAAAATAAGTTATAGCGTAGTTTTACATAGTTAACTTGATTCTATTTATGTTTTGACACAAATTCCTGTCCCAGGAGCTACCATTACTGCTGCTGAGGTCTATTGTAAAGTAAGGTGGAAGTTTGTGATAGCCATCCCGGTCAGGGCTATGAAGAGGCACAGTTTGATACAAGCTGCTAAAAGTGAGCCATGATTCCATTAAGCTGAATATTGATATGTATATATAAATATACTTCTTTGCCCTGGACAGGACGAAAACAAACAGAAAATATTTTTTGAGACACATTTCTAAACTTTTCACGGGTAGAACTGGCACATCTGTCCATTAAGTCAATAATTGGGTAATTTAACATTGTTCTAAGACCACAGATGGAACTTTCATTCCCGCCAGTGGCAAGGATCTTATAGTAGCAAATGTCCTGGTTGAGCCTGTAATCTAATTTTGAGTCATTGTAGCAAAGCTATGTCTATCATGAGGATACAGACATCTGCAGTTTTTTTCTAGAATTCTTGTGTATTTTCTTCAGTGCCTGATGGTGATCCTGGATAATCATATTCAGCCAGTGACACCAAACAAAAATAGGAAGTCACATCTCTCATCCATCATTCCTTCTGTTAGTTTAGTAAGAACCCAAGATGGCTGAAGATCTGCATTTATAGCTTGAAATGATCAAGTCATTTTTACCTTGATGTTCTAATTTTTTGCAAGTAGAAATTGCCAACAAGTTTTTAGCAAGGTAGCTTAGGTCATTTTTATCCCTGAATGAACTTTTAATATTTTTTAACCAAAAAAATTTAAGTAAGGGCTTATAATACAAGTACTAATGTAAGCTAAACATCTAAACTGCATGCTAGAAGATTATAATTGAGGGATAATTTTATCATGAGGTAATTTGCTTCTCAAGAATATAATCTTCAGAGGTAACATGCTATACAGTAGAAAACAGTATAGTGCTAATTTTGGTACTAATTAATATATGCTATTAAATGTAAGCAGTTTTAAATTTGTTGTATAGCTTTTAATCTCATCAATTTTGGGGGAAATATTATAATGTCTACTTTAAAGAACATTGACAATGTTTATAAATAGCTTGTGTATTCAGATAAACTGCATGCTAATTCCTGTGTATCAGCCTGTAATTATGTCAGTCACTAATTGGTGATTTCTGGTGATTGGTATTTTCCAAATGAAGATTATCCATAAAAGCTCTCAGAATATCACCTAGACTTTGCTTGTGTTGACAACACAAGCCCATGCAGATTTCTTCTTTTTTTTTTTTTTTTTTGAGACAGTCTTGCTCTGTCACCCAGGCTGGAGTGCAGTGGCGCAATCTTGGCTCACTGCAAGCTCCCCCTCCTGGGTTCATGCCATTCTCCTGCCTCAGCCTCCCAGGTACCTGGGAGGCGCTTGCCACCACGCCCAGCTAATTTTTTGTATTTTTAGTAGAGACGGGGTTTCACCATGTTAGCCAGGATGGTCTCAATCTCCTGACCTCAAGATCCACCCACCTCGGCCTCCCAAAGTGCTGGGATTACAGGCGTGAGCCACCACACCCGGCCCGATTTCTTCATTTTTAAAAAGCAAATGAAATACTTCATTTTACCAGTTGGCAGGTTTACATCTTTTCTTATTTGTAAAATGTATAGAGGTTGAGTAATGTAAACTTGACACTCTTGTTTTCATAGGGAACCATTTATGATTTGAAGATGCACCGAAAACATAAAGTGATCTGTCTTTAATACCCACAAGTTCAAATTGTGTGCTCCTGGCCTCCAAGACATTCTCTATTGCCACCGCAATACCAACCTAAGTGATAGTTGTGATTCTTTCTATGACTTGCTCATTTTTGTATTTCAGTTTTGTTTTTATTTTTCTGAAACTGACATCTGATATATCTCTTTTCTTGGTAGATGTTGTGTACCATTTACCCAAACGTACTGATGGACAGTTCCATAGTCCTCATTCCCAAGACATTGATAGCTCACTCCTTCAGGAGCCCCACCCTCTTGGAGATGTCACTACCATGGGAATAAGAATAAATAGTACCATACTCTTTGTATTTTACTTCAAGTATAAAATGAGTTAAATTGGCTGATGTTGGGCTGGGCAGGCAACTTAACCACCATTTAGAGCATTGTTTTATGGACAGATTAGCCAGTCACTTACGACGTTTGATATACAGCCCATTATTAAGTTGAGAGCTAACTGTATAGATTGAACTATCAGGTTGTTCACATACGGTAGTGCCATTTGTTTTCTCATGCCTTTGAGAGAGAGCGAGCAATTTTAGATGTCATATTTTCTGTAGCTGCCATTCATTTGAGCACTTTCTGTGTGTCAGATTCTATCCTTAGCATCTCATATATATTATCTTATTTGGTCCTCAAAACAATCTTATGAGATAAGTATTTGTGATATACCCATTTATAGATAAGGAAGCTAAGTCCTGAAGGGGCTGAATAACTTGTCCAGAGGCCCCATAGCTAGTAAGTTCTTGAGCCAAGAATTAAACTCAACTCTTTTGGATCCCAGTGCTTGTACACTCACCCAGTGTTATATGCTACTTTCAGCTTATGAGTAGGCATACATCCTAAAAACATTAAAGTACTATATTGATGAAATGTTTAATTTTGTTTGTGTTGATGTATGTTAACTAAACATAGAAATATTTTAAATAATTCACTTTGTTCTCTCTGTACTTGCCAGTGTGAGCACACCAAGTCACAATATAATTAGCCCTTTCCAATGTTTTAACCACCTGAAATTTTTTACCCTTTGATCTAACTTCTGGCTTAAAAAAGGTGAAGAGGATGAAAAGTTGCCAATCAACTATTCTGTGCTTAGAACTAGGTTTAGTTGGCAAACAAAATGCAGCAGACCAAGAAGCATTAGATACACTTTCCAGAGCATGGCAGTTGACCCTAAGAGGTTGCAGCAGTTAGAGAGAGGAGAGATTTGGGAAGGGCTGGAGTCTGGCTATTGGAAATTGGCATCAACAAGGGCCAGGGCAGATGGGCTATAGGTGGGAGTTTCATAAGCAGGTAGAACACAAGAAAGAGTGGTGTGACAACCTGCAACTGGTGCTAATCTTAGGAGGCAGGTGGTGCATGACAAGATATATGGAAGTATGTGGTGTGGGATCCAGCCACAGAGACTGGAGTTTAGGGTAAAAGCTATTCTATGGGGAGGAGGCAAAAGGGAGACAAGGTGTCAAACACAGAGGAACTAGCATAGAAGAAGTAAAAGAATTAGTAGTAATAATAATTATTATATTTATACTTAATATTTGTATTAAATGTTACTGACATTCTATTTTATGCCAAGGCACTAAGGATCCAGAGTTGACTAAAAGTATTTGTCATCCTGGAGGAATCACTGTCAGGTAAAGGAGAAAAGCATGTAAACAAATGACAGTGTAGTGTGGCGTATGTACTAATATATCCAAAGTCTAGAAATAACAGAAAGGAGAAATGAGCCCAATCTAGGAGTCAGAGAACCTTACGGAGAGGGGTATAACAGAAGAGTAGCAATTCTCCATCTAAATCAAAGACAGTAGAATTGAAACATTCTGGATGTGAAGAATAACATTGGTACCAGTCCAGGATGTAAAAGATAAATATCATGGTGTATTGTTTCATACAAATAAACAGGTATTAGTAAATCAAGAAGTCTGAGAGATGGAGGCTAGATGAAATGGTATATGATAAGATCAGAGAAGGTAGGCCTGAAGGGTTTTATTTTCTATAGTAGGAATCTTGGATTTTATCCTATTGGTGATGGGGAGTCATTGAAGAATTTTAAGCCAAAAATGGAATAAACAGAATTTTATTTTCCATTGACCCATCTGAGGATGGCATGGAGATGGATTATATGGGGGAACTCTAGAGGCAAGGAGACCAGTCCAATTCTGAGGCTATTGTAGTTGTCTAGTTGAAAGATGGTGCATGTCTGGGCTATGTCAGTGGGGAAGGAACAGATGAAGTTAAGAGATAGAAGATAAAATTGATAGAATTTGATGATTGTTTGCATGCCAAAGATAAAAGGGAGGGAGAACTTTTACAGATAGTAAAAACAGAGATGTAAGACAAAAAGACCATTAGGGGAACGGAAGTATGAGGTAATGGCTTTGTCTGATCTAGGTCCTGCTTCTACAGGGGTTGCGTGTCTCTAGCAAAGGAGTATGGTGAGTCTCCGGGATGGAGAGCAAAGACAGGCATCTGTAATGTTTAATTTCCAAATAGCCATAATAAAAAATGCAGTTAGCTATAGTTACCATGCTGTACATTAGATCCCCAGAACTTATAGCTGAAAGTTCATACCCTTAAACCAACAGCTCTACACTCCCCAGCCCCTGGCAACCACCCTCAACTTTTTTAGATTCTACATATAAGTGAGATCATGTGATATTTGTCTTTCTGTGCTTGGCTTATTTCACTTAGCATAATGTCCTCCAGGTTCATTTATCTTGTCATAAATGACAGGATTCTTCAATTCAAATTTGACAAGAGAGCAGATTTTAAGTATTCTTACTACAAACACACACACACACACACACACACACACACACACAGTGGTAACTATTAGTGGTGATGGACGTGTTAACTTAATTGTGGTAATCATTACACAGTGTATATCAAGTGACCTTGTACACCTTAAATATATATACTTTTTGTCAATTAAGTATTTAAAAACTTAAATTGTCTATAGTAATTGGCATGTCCAAGAACATACCCTTGAAGGTTTTTTATTCTGTTACCCTGTCATACTAATAAGTTCAGCTTAAATCTTGACATTTTTACTTATGTTATTATTAGTAATAATGAAAATAGCTACCATATATGTCGGCTTAATCTCTGATATTTTATAGATAAGGAAGCCAAAGCTCGGAAATTGAGAAAGCATTCCCCAAATCACATAACTGCTAAATCGTAGAGCCAGTATTTTTACTGAGGCTATCTTTTCAAAACCCATGAGCTTAAACAAGTGCTATAGTCCTTAAAGTCCAGGGAATGGAAATTCTATCAAAAAGCAAATAGTTGAACAAACAGTGAAGAGTTTTCTTCATTTGAACAGTGACTTGTTAAAATTACTATATGCTAAATTAGACTATACCAGTATCACATGTGGGCTTGTATTAGTCTGTCCTCACACTGCTATAAAGATACCACCTGAGACTGTAATTTATAAACAAAAGAGGTTTAATTGACTGACAGTTCCTCATAGCTGGGGAGGCCTAAGGAAATGTAAAATCAGGGTGGAAGGCAAAGGGGAAGCAAGGCATGTCTTACATGGCGGCAGGAGAGCAAAGAAAGCAAAGAGGGAACTGCCAAACACTTTTAAACCATCAGATCTTGTGAGAAGTCACTATCACGAGGACAGCATGGGGAAAAGTGCCCCCATAATCCATTCATCTCCCACCAGTCCCTCCCTAATACTTGTGGATTACAATTGCAAATGAGATTTGGGTAGGGACATAGAGCCAAACCATATCATTCTGCCCCGACCCTTCCCAAATCTCATGTCCTTTTCACATTTCAAAACCAATCATCCCTTCCCAACAGCCCTCCAAAGTCTTAAAACTCATTCCAGCATTAACTCAAAAGTCCACGTCCAAAGTCTCATCTGAGACAAGTCAAGTCCCTTCTGCCTATGAACCTGTAAAATCAAAAGCAAGTTAGTTACTTCCAAGATACGATGGGGTATAGGCATTGGGTAAATGTCCCCATTCCAAATGGGAGAAATTGGACAAAACAAAGGGGCCATAGGCCCCATGCAAGTCCAAAACCCAGCCGGGCAGTCATTAAATCTTAAAGCTCCAAAATCTCCTTTGACTCCATGTCTCACATCCAGGCCATGCTGATACAAGGGCTAGGCTCCCACAGCCTTGGGCAGTTCCAACCCTGTGGCTCTGCAGGGGATAGGCACTGTGCCTGCTTTCATGGGCTGGCATTGAGTGCCTGTGACTTTTCCAGGTGCATGGTGCAGGCTGTCAGTGGAGCTACCATTCTGGGGTCTAGAGGACAGTGGCCCTCTTCTTACAGCTCCACTAAACAGTTCCCTAGTGGTGACTCTTTGTGGGGGCTCCAAGCCCACATTTCCCTTCAGCACTGCCCTAGCAGAGGTTCTCCATGAGGGCTCTACCCCTGCAGCAGACTTCTGCCTGGCCATCTAGGCGTTTCCTAACATCCTCTGAAATCTATGCAGAAGCTCCCAAACCTCACCTCTTGTCTTTTGTGCACCCTCAGGCCCAACATCACGTGGAAGCTGGCAACGCTCGGGGCTTGCACCCTCTGAAGCAACAGCCCAAGCTGTACCTTTATTCCTTTTAGCCATGGCTGGAGCTGGAGCAGCTGGGATGTAGGGTACCATGTTCCAGGGCTGCACAGAGCAGTGGGGCCCACCCAGCCCACTAAACCATTTTTCCTCCTAGGGAAGATCTCTGACATGCCCTGGAGACATTTTCCCCATTGTCTTGTCTATTGACATTTGGCTCATCATTGCTCATGCAAATTGCTATAGCCAGCTTGAATTCCTCCCCAGAAAATGGTTTTTTCTTTTCTCCCACATGGTCAGACTGCAAATTTTCCAAACCTTTATGCTCTGCTTCCCTTTTAAACATAAGTTCCAATGTGAAGGCATCTCTTTGTGAACACACATGACTGAGTGCTTTCAGAATCAGCTGGGTCACCTCTTGAATGCTTTGCTGCTTAGAAATTTTTTCTGCCACATACCCTAAATCATCTTTCTCAAGTTCAAAGTTTCACAGATCTCTAGGGCAGGGAGAAAATGCTACTAGTCTCTTTGCTAAAGCATAGCAAGAGTCACCTTTGCTCCAGTTCCCAATAAGTTCCTCATCTCCATCTGAGGCCACCTCAGCCTGGACATCATTGTTCATATCACTATCAGCATTTTGGCCAAAACCATTCAACAAGTCTCTAGAAAGTTCCAAATTTTCCCACATTTACCTCTCTTCTTCTGAGCCCTCCAAACTGTTCTAACCTCTGCCTGTTACCCAATTCCATAGTCACTTCCACATTTTCAGGTTATCTTTTAGCAGTACCCCACTCCTGGTACCAATTCTCAATGCTAGTGCCTCTTACACTGCCATAAAGATACTACCTGAGACTAGGTAATTTGTAAACAAAAAAGGTTTAACTCACAAGGCCACATGGCTGGGGAGGCCTCAGGAAAGTTACAATCATAGCAGAGGGTGAAGGGGAAGCAAGGCACATCTCACATGGTGGCAGGAGAAAGAGAAAAGGGGGAACTGCTAAATACTTTTAAACCATCAGATATTCTGAGAACTCACTATCACAAGAACAACATGGGAACAGCCGCCCCCATAATCTAGTCACCCCCTAACACGTGGGGATAACAATTTGAGATGAGATTTGGGTGAGGACTCAGAACCAAACCATATCAAGGCTCTATAAGAAATCATATAAACAATATTAAGGAAATTGTATTTCTATTGATATATAGAATGAATGTATTTCAGTTCTCAACAATCTGAACACTTGATAATGAACCTGATGAGGTACTGCCATCCTTGAAGAGTGGACCTCAATACATGTATAGAATTAAAGGGAGAAGTCATAGAATTCTGAAAACAGACTTACGGAAGTTCATGTATTCTGATTAAGTACTGTAGCCTGTTTAAGCAAATTTTTAAGGATAAAACACTTATTTTTTTTTAGTTAATGCCAGAAATGCACACACATTTTAAACCGATTTCCAAAAACGATTTTATCTTTTCTTCCTTGGCCAGGCTGAAACACTTTTCCAGGAAATCTGCCCCAATGAAGATTTCTGTCCCCCTCCACCAAATCCTGAAGACATTATCCTTGATGGAGACAGTTTACAGCCAGAGGCTTCAGAATCCAGTGCCATACCAGAGGCTAACTCGGAGACTTTCAAGGAAAGCACAAACCTTGGAAACCTAGAGGAGTCCTCTGAATAATGGATATACACCAAACTGGATACCCAACTTTGGAAATTCTGACTGGTCTCAGAGTCTACTTGATAGAAGGACTGTTTGAGAAATGTTAGAAAGCAGCAGCAATTATAAGGCAAAATAGGTAATAGAAATCCAAAAGGGGATTTTCCTTATAGAGGACATTCCAAGAACACACAACACTTATAAAGCACATTGACTTGCTCATTTTAAATACCAAACTTGTGTGACTAGCAGATGAAAATTATAAATCAATTGATTCTCAGGAATGTAACTGTGGATATGAAAGTGATCCTATGCATTGTTAATAATTCCATGGTCTTAGGACAATTTTGCTTACCACTTTGGATCTTTGTTTGAAAGCCACATTTTCAGAACCAGCTCATGTATTTTCTTTGGTTATTTGAATTTTATTTTCTTTATGGACAAGAGCATCATAACATAATGATAAAAACATATAGAAAAACTAAAGTATCATGATCTAGATAGAAGCCTGTATTTGGAATACAGGTTTGTTTTGCTTTCTATGTTGAGAAGCATTGAAAATGCTAATATAAAGGTGTTTAGACATTTTTACGAATAAGTCAGTAGTGTTTTTTAGTATCAGTAGTGATATTTGTTTGTAAATTATTTACATATTGGGAAAGGTCAATAATGAAGAAATGAAAGAATGGAAGGAAAGGTGTGGATAGGCTCATTGGTATTTGAATATTCTGTCTGTCAAGTAACTAGAGTATTAGGCTAATTGTCTACAGACCTAATTTAATCCTGGCTGTCCTACTGATGATATTTGGTAAATTGTTTAACTTCTGAGCCTACGTTTCTCCATATATAAAGTGGAAATAGTATTACTATGCCTACTATATGAGAATGGTTATGAAGACAATGCAATGCCATGTTTAGAATCGGTTTGCCAGAAGAAAATTGTTTTAGAATTTTCCCATTGACTTGATGAATCTCAAAAGTCTCACGCAGGAAATAATTGCTTGCTGTCAGTCAACTTCCAAACAAAATAGATCACAGTGTTTTTATTGCATTAAGCTTTTTAAATGAAAATTTCTTTTTTAAAGTAGTATTTTATAGTCTTACAGACCAGTAAAAATAGTAACAAGTAGAATTGTGGTTTTGAAATATTACTAAGGAAAACACTCTATAAATTGTTTTATTCCTTTTCTGGTAGGTAAACCTGCAACCACCAAGGACTCCAAATTGTGTATGACAGTTGGTAAGCCCTAATATACACTACATAAAAACGTTAGGGCTGCCTGTAATCCCAGCACTTTGGGAAGCTGAGGTGGGTAGATCACTTGAGGTCAGGAGTTCGAGACCAGCCTGGCCAACATGGCGAAACCCTGTCTCTACTAAAAATACAAAATTTTAGCTGGGTGTTATGGTGGGCACCTGTAATCCCAGCTACTTTGAAGATGAGGTAGCAGACTCACTTGAACCAGGGAGGCGGAGGTTGCAGTGAGCCAAGATTTTGCCACTGCACTCCAGCCTGGGTGACAGAGCAAGACTCTGTCTCACAAAAAAAAAAAAAGGGGGCTGTACATAGGCAGCAAACTAAGCTGCAGTGATGTTGCCTATATTTAAATTTTCTCAAATGGCCAAGCTCTGATGGTCTACTTTATTTGAGCAATAGTTGAGACTTATAATTGCCTATAAATAAACAAACAAATGAACTATTTGTTTTTTTTTCTCACAACATCTGGCCTATATTGTCTGTCAGGAAGCCATGGCTCCAATGTAAAGTACATAGTTCTTACATACTTCAACTGCAGCTGGTCCCTGACCTCACCAGGTTTCAGAGATGTTCTTAAAGGAAGCCAGCTGTGGCAGGTCACAGATTCATGGGAAATGGAAAGAACCAAGGAATATAGCTCTTGCCTCACCTTTCTACCCACTGCAGATATAGTTCAAGCCAGAGTAATGGAAGAACTTAACTTACTAGCCTCTCAGGCTGCTCCTATCCCTACCTCCCAGTGTACAGCCCCTCCCCATCTCTTTAGTCCCCTTTCCCTCACTTCCCCTTTTATAATGTCACACAAATCAGGGACAGTAGGATCACATTATAACCTACTTTGTCATAGGGATTCGATTTTTCTTATATCAAATCATGTTTCCTGAAACCCAGCTGGGGCATATGCACTCAATGTCTAATACATACTTATTAATGTACCGGATATTGGCCTTGCCCCTGGATATCAGCAATATATTATAAAAGGTTCCAGTAGATGAGACGATTGAGTCTGAATACAATTGCAGTAAATTGTGCCAATAAAGATATTGTACTGTTACGGTCTTAGAGTTAAAGCCGCTTGAATGCAGCATGCACATTCATGTAAACAGACAATCAGGGTAGGCCTAGAATAACCACAAAAATTCTATTGGCCTTACTGCAGCCACCTATATGTAGAACAATGGAGGAGATAGTTTGTGGTCCATTATTGTACCCTGTTTCATCCATTAGCATCAGAATCTCTCTTTCAGGTCATTTATTAAATATGATTGAAATGTTTAAAAGTTCCTGAACATGATTCATGATGATTAAAATATCATACAACTGATAAAAGACTTTAAGAACTTTATATATTTCCTGTTGCCTCAAAATGTAACAGAAATTATTCTTAGAGCTTTGATTTTAGCTATCCTAATTACTGCAAATAAATATTTGTTCTTATAGTTTTAAATCAAAAAGAAAAGTCTTGTTATAAAACCTTAAGCTTGAAATCATATTAATAAAATATATTGTACATAGTGGAAAATTTTCAGTAGCTAATTTAAAATTTCAGAAAATGCTATTAAAGAATTTTGATTCAAGTATTTAAACTGTTTAGTTATGCATGCTTCTTATTAACCGAAAATGATAATACCATTTAGTTTAGTGATCAGTATGAGAAGCAATACCTAATCCTATGTTGCTATTGTATTTTTTCCTAGTTGGTGTGCCTGCTCAGAAAAACATATACTGTATGTGTATACATACCTGTGTATATATAAAAGGTCAATTTATATATTTTTCTATAGGAAAATGGAGTAACAAGTTCCCTATCTCCCATATTTATTTGTCCATAGTAAAATGGCCACATTGATGATAATTTCTAGAACTAGTTTCTGAGATTGTCAGCCCTTTGTCTAAAATAATGGCAGTATTAATGATTGACTTCTGTCACTGCCATAGTTACCTGGATTGTCAGCCTTGGTAGCCTTTGTCTAAAGTCCTAAAGAGTTCCAAAAAAAATGTGTTGAAATTTAATTGCTAAATAGTGGTTGGTGATTCTTTACAGTAGGAATTGTAATAATTTTCTTGCAAATAAGTTATTTACTGCTATTGATATTGAATAATTTGTCTTTTATTCAGATATATTTCAAAAAGCATGAATATATGATTATTCATAAATTGTATACTTTACCAGTAAGTTTTCAGAGGAAATAAAGACTTTTAAATCCTTTTCAGTCATGGTGTCATATTTTGTAATACTTGCATCTTTTATATATGCCAAGAATTTGAAGATTGCCTTTAACCTGATTTATGTTTTAATATTAGTCTAGTATGTAAATACTTAATTGTCAAGCTGTATATTTGGTTTTGTTTTTAGGCATCTGCCAACTGTGCTAAGTTTGTGAGAAAGGCAATGAAATAATATAGGGGCATGAGCTACTTTGCAAACTGTTCTAGATGCCAACATTAGTGCCAATATCAAACAAAGGTGGATGATACCTTTCTCTGTTTGGAATCAGTGCTGTAGAGGCTGTGCGGCATGGGCTGTGAATTTACAGTACATTGATTGCCTACAGACTGTTTTCACATCTCACTTACATGATGAGAATCTGAAAGGTTTTTCATATCTGCTTTGTAAATGAGAACCTGAAATGTTTTTCTTTAAGGGGTTTGAGTCCCCAGCAACTCATTTGCAAGAGACAAGAGACTGCTGATGTTCTTTTTATGCAGAAATTATACACTAAACTATGATTTGCTATTGAGTCAAATAATTAAAGCAGACTCACACTTTTTGTCAATTTCAAGTAGTTTCTAAAGTTCCTCAGTAAGGAGACATTAAAAAGATAACAGGACTCTCAAAACTGGCAGCTTATCTGTGAGATTATTAATTAATCAATTTTAAGAAAGATAAGATTAATTGAATTTTTAAATAAATAGCTGTATTATCCTTCAAGCACCTTGAAACTCATACAATATTCACACTTTAAAAAAAATGGTTCCAAATGTTTGAATTTTCTTTAATGATGGCTGTTTAAAAATACTGGTTAAGTGGTTTAACACTTAGTATCCCAAGTCACATTTTGAAGGCTACTTTTCTTTCCATTGATGCACAATTTAGCTTTGGGGCTGCAATGAGATACCCTTGTGGTATAAGTTGCCATGTCTGCTCTTTCTGGTGATGATGACTCCTAGGACAATATGACAGGTAATCATTAGAACCTGGATCCTGGTAGACTGTAGGGTCTTTTTGGTCTATCGTTGAAGGGGGATTTGTGCTTGTAACTCCTATTAATAGGACTTGCATGTGTAAATCTTCCTCCTGTCAATGAGACAGTTGACTCCTAAAAGAAACATTCTTTAGAGGTGGACACTGTAACTGATCTAGAAGCCTCAGTGAATTGTCCTATTCAGGATTTTTATGTGTGGGGAAAAAAATAGAATGAGTGTACCAACTTAGCCGAGCATTTTCTCCAGAACTTGAAAAGGTGAAATACTAGCACTTAATTTTTCCATTTCCATTTCTAAAATATGTTAGAAACTACTGCTCTATGTGTACTATTAACATAGCATTTTTTCTCTTATTTTTAAAAGTAAAATAAGTTTGCCCAAGGTTGTGTTGAAATCACATTTTAATATGTCAATACCATCCTGAAAGTTCTGGAAATTAACATCTTAAAGCTATATAATAAAATCCAGTCTCATAACAATCAAGGAAATGCAGACAAACCCAGGAGATATGTTTTGTTTATCAAGTTGGCAGAATCCCAAATACTGATAATAGCCAGGGTGGTAAGGATGTAGGGGAAAAGACACTCATACATTGTGAGTAAGAAAGTACATAAGTAGGTTACAGCATATTCAAAGGACAATTTGGCAGAACCTGTCAAAACTTTTTTTTGCAGATTATTAAAATGGCATTATTTTTAATATTTACAAATTTTTTCAGTGCCACTTTTAGCTTCAGGCAGTACATATGAAGGAGTATTACATGGGAATATTGCATGATGCTGAGGTTTGGGATATGAATCCCATCACCCAGATAACATAGTACCCAGTAAGTAGTTTTTTTTTTATTATTATTATACTTTAAGTTTTAGGGTACGTGTGCACAACGTGCAGGTTAGTTACGTATGTATATATGTGCCATGTTGGTGTGCTGCACCCCAGTAAGTAGTTTTACAATGTGTGTCCCCCTCCCTCCCTCCCTCCCTCCCTCCTCTAGTAGGCTGCATTGTGTTATTACCATGTTTATGTCTACATGTGCTCAGTGTTTAGCTCCCACTTACAAGTGAGAACATGCTGTATTTGGGTTTTCTGTTCCTGTATTTGTTTAGGATTATGGCCTCCATCTCCATCCACATTGCTGCAAAGGCCATGATCTCGTCTTCTTTTTTTTTTTTTTTTTTTTTTTTTAATGGCTGCATAGCATTTCAAGGTGTGTAAGTACCACATTTTCTTTATCCAGTCTGCCATTGATGGGCACCTGGATTAATTCCAGGTCTTTGCTATTGTGAATAGCACATTGATGAATATATGAGTGCATGTGTCTTTTTGGTAGAATGATTTATTTGGCATCAGAAATGCAAATCAAAACCTATCAAAACTTTAAATACAGATAGCCTTTGGCCAAACACTTTCATTTCTAAAAACCCAGCTTATAGAATGTTTTGTACATGTGCACAAAATACAAGGTTCCACACTATAGCTTTATGGTTTTATTTAATTTTTGAAATAACCTATATGTTCATTAAATGGAGACTGGCTTGAATTGTTAATATAGGCATTTAATAGTATAGAATACTATGCAGCTGCGAAAAGTGAGGTGCATCTGTATGAAATATATCTCCAACATGTTTAAAAACCAAGTCACAGAATGGTAAGTATATATGTGTAAAAATCAAAACCCTGTGTTTATTACATATATATGCCTATCATAGAAAATTTTTGGGAAGTTACATACTAAAATGGTAACTGGTTATGTTGGGAAGAGATTAGTATTCGTAGGAGGAGAATGAAAAGACTTCTAATTCTACATAATTGTTTTAGTTTTCCAGTTTTTTATAACTAGCAAGTATTCACGTATTGTTGTATTTAAAATTTGAATCTGTTTAGTAATCCAACGCCAAGTTCTTAGGTGGCATGTGGGACCTCCAAAAATAGTGACTTCAGACTTTGGGTTACATTGATGTTTTATAAAGTGCAGTTCAGATATGAAAGGTAATAATCAACGGGTGACTAGTTACATAAACTATGATTCATCTCTTACAATGGAGTACTATGCAGTTGTAAGATGGAATTAGGAAACTACTGCTTATGTGATCACCAGAATACACTTTTAAGTGACAGAAGAATATACACAAATGTGCATGTATATCTTCATTTTGTGTGAGAAAGGTAGGGGCATTCCAAAACACATATTTAAATAGTCATCTATTGTGAAAGGGAGGAGGCAGGGTGGAGGAATGGAAGCTAGACCTCTTTGTACCTTGTTTTATAGTTTTGGCTTTGAAACCAAAAGCAATCCGTAAAATGTGAAGCCATTAATAACCATGTATTGAGTTGTTGGCATAACTGTATGTAGAATTAGGTGACTTTAAAGCATTGGTATAGTTTGGATCTATGTCCCCACCCGAATCTCATGTTGAATTGTAATTCCTAATGTTGGAGATGGGGCCTGGTGGGAAGTGATTGGATCATAAGGGCATATTTCTCATGAATAGTTTAGTACAGTCCTCTTGGCACTCACCTCATGATAGAGAGTGAATTCTCACGAGACCTGGTCATTTAAAAGTTCTCTTTTGCTTCTGCTTTCACCATGATTGTAAGTTTCATGAGGCCTTCCCAGAAGCCAAGTAGATTCCAGCATCATGCTTCCTGTACAGCCTGCAGAACTGTGAAACAATAAAACCCGTTTTCTTTATAAATTGCCCAGTCTCAGGCATTTCTTTATAGCAATGCAAAAGTGGACTAATACAAGCATAGTATTTAAGTATATATTGTAAGATATGGAGATGGGTAGAGAACACAAAGAAATCTTAAACTTTATTGAGTGGACTTGATGATAGTGCTAATATTTATTGTGATAGATAATGTTGATGGGATTATTAACATTTAGAACAAGAAAATAATATACAAACAAAGATAAGTAAAAACCCTGTGCTCTTTAGTTTGAATCAGATCAGTGTATGCGTATGCTCAAACTCATCAAATTGTACAGATTAAATATGTGCAGTGTTTGGATTTCAATTATACCCCCCCCCAAAAAAAAATCAATATACACTCAAGATGCAGTTACTTCATTCTAATATATTTTCTAGCTAGAAAATTGGCAAAGGCTACTGGTGTTATGTCAAAAGAACATAAGAACCAATGTGAAGGAACTCCCATTGGTCACAGATAAGGCCATTTGAACATCAAGAGTGAATAATGATACTCCAAAAAGCAAACGAACCTCATTGACCAGCCATGAAGATTGCTAAGGCACTCTTTGTTCTAGAAACTAATAAATAAAGAGAAGGAAGCAATTATCATATATGTCCTGTAAAGACTGTATTTCAGGATATCCAAATAGTTGTTAAAGGAAAGTTCTTGTAGAAGAATCACAATTAATAAATGCATGAGGAATGATAGAATTAGAAAAATCACTGTTTTGTAAACTCAATATAGTATAATAATATACCTAGGCAATGATTATCAATGACTGCTAAAACCTGTAGTTGAAAGGCATCACTCGAACCTACTGATCAATCTTAAAATTATTATAAGTAGAAAGGCAGACATTATAAGTTTCCTTGTGTGTTGAAATAGAAAGTATACAGCATTGCCTAGGAAGAATTCTTGCCAAAATAAAAAAATAAAATGAACCTAAATCTAATCAAGCCTTTAGCTTTAACTACCAGCTTACAGGCATGAGGGGGACAGGAAAGCATGCTAAGTGACATCATGAAGATACAACGTGTAAAATTCTACAGGACAAATGACCCAATTTTATCAACAATTAACTGGCACAGGAAAAAAAATGGAGGAAGCATTATTACAGACTAAAGGAGATTTTAGAGATATCAACTGCAACATGCTGACCTTGTTTTGAACAAATGACATCTTTTTTTTTTTTTTTTTTTTTTAAGATGGAGTCCTGCTCTGTTGCCCAGGCTGGAGTGCAGTAATGTGATCTGGGCTCATTGCAACCTCCGCTTCCCGGGTTCAAGTGATTCTCCTGCCTCAGCCTCCCAAGTAGCTGGGATTACAGACGCAGGCCACCATGCCCAGCTAATTTTTTTCAGCTAATTTTTTTGTATTTTTAGTAGAAACGGGGTTTTATCATGTTGGTCAGGCTGGTCTGGAACTCCTGACCTCAAATGATCCGCCCACCTCAGCCTCCCAAAGTGCTGGGATTACAGGCATTAGCCACAGCACCCAGACTGACATCTTTTTTTTTTTTTAAAGCAAAATCCAGACCGTTTTGAGACAATCAGAGGGAATTGAACATTTACTGGATGATAGTTGATATAAGGAATTCATATTAATAGTGTTGAATGAGAAAATTTTAATTTTTAAAAGATATCTCAGATTTTAAAAATAGATGAAATAAGTAGAACAAAATATTAATGATTAAATACATGATATATGGGGAGTTGTTTCTATTATGTATTTTCTATTGTGTTTAAAATTTTTCATAGTAAATTTTTTAAATGACAGATAAAGGTTAATAATAATATATAGGTTAATAATAATAACCTACCTGTACATTGTTTCTTCCTTTACAACATAACTACCCTCCACTATTTCTGAAAAGGAGGTCCTATAGGATTCAGTTCAGTCCTATATACTTTGTTTTATAATGTTTTGAAACCAGGGACTCTAAAAATCACCTGTTTAAATTTATTACCTTTGATTGATGTCTTCCCAGGCCAGAGGAAGAAAGAGAAAGAGGTAGTGTGGCTGAGCAACACTGGCACAGGGCAAGGTCAGGAAGAATAAACATGTTTACAGAGTCAGCCCCTCTCCCTCTCTCTTCCCCTTAGTTAAAAATTTAAAAATGAAAATGGCATTATTGAGTACCATGGAGTGGAGGGAATTTATAATCTTACGACTTAGATTGCCTACTTTATTATCACCAATCTATGATAAAATTGTTAATGCTTTTTAACCTCTAAAATGTTTCTATCTAGGCAGTCTTTAGACGTTGCAGCATGGAGTCTGCTACTAATTTCCACACATGAAACCTTTTTGATGCCTCACATTTGGACTTGTGACACTATTCTATGAGAATCTGTTGAATATTTTTTTCAGAAACAGCCGAAAATATATATTGTATAATATATGCTCCAATTATCCAGTAAAAAATTCAATCTTTGCCCTATATTAAAAATATAATTTATTGTGAAATGATATATGTATACATTGTGAAATGATTACCACAATCAAGATAATTAGTATATTCATTTATTCAGTTTCCTTTATGTTTGTATGTTTGTGGTGAGAACACTTAAGTTCTACTTTCTTAGCAAATTTCAAATATACAGTACAGTATTATTAACTATAGTCACCACGCTGTACATTAGATCATTTCAAAATATATACATGTATCAAAATGCTTAAACCATAAATATGTGTAATTTTATTTGTCAGTTATATCTCAGTAAAACTGGAAGGATATAAATATAGTTTCACTGTTACTAGCTGTTGCCTTCAACAATTGTCAGTAATGGCACAGTAGATCTATTGTGTTTTTTTTTTAATTTTTTTAATATACTTTAAGTTCTGGGATACATGTGCAGAACGTGCAGGTTTGTTACATAGGTATACACGTGCCATGGTGGTTTGCTGCACCCATCAACCCGTCATCTACATTAGGTATTTCTCCTAATGCTCCCCCTCCCCTAGCCCCCCACCCCCCGACAGGCCCCGCTGTGTGATGTTCCCCTCCCTGTGTCCATGTGTTCTCATTGTTCAACTCCCACTTATGAGTGAGAACATGTGGTGTTTGGTTTTCTGTTCTTGTGTTAGTTTGCTGAGAATGATGGTTTCCAGCTTCATCCATGTCCCTGCAAAGGACATAAACTCATCCTTTTTTACGGCTGCATAGTATTCTATGATGTATACATGCCACATTTTCTTTATCCAGTCTATTATTCATGGGCATTTGGGTTGGTTCCAAGTGTTTGCTATTGTGAACAGTGCCACAATAAACATACATGTGCCTGTGTTTTTATGGTAGAATGATTTATAATCCTTTGGGTACAATTTTGTTTGTCAGTTATATCTTAGTAAAGCTGGAAGAAATAAATATAGTTTCACTGTTAGTAGCTGTTGCCTTCAACAATTGTCAGTGATGGGGCAGTAGATCTATTGTGTTTTTAAATTTATTTTTATTTTTCTTAGAGACAGGGTCTCACTGTGTCCCTGAGGCTGGAGTTCAATGGCGCAATCATAGCTCACTGCAGCCTTGACATCTTAGCCCCAAGCAATCCTCCCACCTCAGCCTCCTGAGTAGCTGAGAAAACAGGCACACGCCATCACACCTGGCTAATTTTCTTTTCCTACTCTTCTTAAGGGCTGAGTGGAGATCATGCCAGTTATTTTTGTCTAACTTGTGCTACCAATGGAACAAGTGAATAAGCCAACTGAAATCTAGGATTTTTAAAAATCAAAGTAGTTGATCCAGTAGAGTCAAAAGATCTATTCATCTTGCTTACACACATGGTAAATTACAATTCATCACTTTTCCTCAATTTCCGCATGCATTTGGGCACACAATCTTACTGATTTTTTATCTCAGAATATCTTCCTGATCACAGCCACCTCCTCTTTATTCCCACGACCCACTGTTATCATTCTCTTTCAGACTATTCTAATGAGTCATCCTGACACCAGGCTCTTCTGTCTACTCCAATACCTATTGAGGTAGAAATCACCTCATTGGTTCCTTCTTCTGCTTACGCATTATGAGAAGGAGGTCATTTAGCATAGGAACACACCACAGATATGTAAGAATGAAGCCGTTAAGTAGGTATCCCCAGCCTGCACCATATGTGGCTGTGACAAGATAGAGCTTGGGACCCTGAGCATAGCTCAGAGGATAGGAAAAAAATTACAGGTAACACTTGTAGTGCCTACTATGTACTAGGCTCTCTTCTGTTAATCTCATAATAACTTGTAAGTAATTATCCTCCATTTTATAGATGAGGACATTGATGAGGAAACTGAAGTGCCGAGAGATAGAATGACATCCAAGGTCATAGTTGGAAAGGCTTGGATTGCTCCTCTGAATTGGTACACATCAAAACATGTTTATGAACTAGTAAATAGTAAGATTCTGTTCTTTCTCATCATAATGAACTACATCTGCCTGTCCTACCAGTGGCAGAGTTTCACCTAAAAATTAAAAACACATAAGAGCCCTGATCATGTCAGTCCTTTAAAACTGCTGCCTATAAAATACAATCTGACCTCTTCAGTATACATGTGAGTTCACCTCCCCAAAATACAAAATATTCCTCTCTTGCTTCATCTCCTGTCATTCTACCTCCCTTCTCACCTCTCACTCTATTCTTCAATCACAATGAACTTCCCACTATCCTCAGACTCTGGCCCATTGCACATATCATTTATTTTTCTAAAATGCCCTAACTCAGCGGTCCTCAACCATTTTGGCACCAAGGACCAGTTTTGTGGAAGAGAATTTTTCCACAGACGGGAAGCAGTACAGGGATGGTTTCAGGATGAAACTGTTTCACCTCTGATCGTTAGGAATCAGATTCTCATAAGGAGCGCACAACCTAGATCCCACGCATGCCAATTCACAATAGGGTTTGTGCTCCTATAAGAATCTAATGCAGCTGCTGATCTGACAGGTGGCAGAGCTCAGGCACTAATGCTTGCTTGCCTGCCACTCACCTCCTGTTGTGCTGCCCAGTTTCTAACAGGCCGCAGACTGGTACAGGTCTGTGACCCAGTGGTTGGGGACCCCTGCCCTAACCTCTAACCTCTCTCTGCTACTACCACACCCCTTTTCTTACAACAAATTTATATTCTGTCTTTAAAATCCAGATGTAGTGTTACTTCGACTGCTAATACTTTGGCAAAATTACTTTTCCCTCTGTGGAACCCACAGTACTGTTCATAAAGTACTTACTTCGTTGGATTCTAAGTTTTCTGATTTTGTTTCTGTCTTCTAGACAGTGAACAACTTGAGTGCAGGGACCCTGTCATTCATCCTTGTGTCCTCAGCACATGACAATGCCTGACTCATTGCCATGCATCACCTGCATAACCCTGCTCCTCTGGCCACAGTAGACTCGTCCTAGGGTGGGGACAGGCCCCTGACCCACTTTGAAATTGAGATCCATAATGAGTTTTAAATTTGCTGGGTGGCTGATACGTACCATGAAACCTCTTTAGCTATAGGCAGCCATATTTTCCACTAGGTGGACAGTAGAGCAGAGAAAATCTGTTTGTAAAGAAAGAAAAAACAGAGATGAGAGACACAGAACTGCCAGGTGAACCTAGAATTGGTTTCTGAGAGCTTTCTAATTCTAATGATACTGGAGGTCCAGTATCATTCCTGCCCTGAGGGTTTGTGATACACTCCTGTATCCTTATAATCAAATCTCCTGCTTTGATGTTCAGAAAACACCACTGGATTTCTGACACTTGCACACAAAATGTTTAAACGAAATACACACTTCTGGGAGATGTCATTTATTAGAACCTCTGAAAATTCCTCTACCTGCTTGAGTGCAGGCACATGATCACCTGCACCAAGTGTAGCAAGCGCATGAGCAAGTGCCCCATCTGCCGGCAGTATGTGGTGCAAGTCATTCACATGTTCAAATCCTGAAAACAAGGATCTCCCAACAGGGAACTTGCCCCTAAAATTGATCCTTAACATTTCAAAGCACAGAAGGGACTAGAAAATTACTCTTAAAAGGCTAAAACTGTTTTTAAAAACTATTTTCACAACTAACTGGGGACAGAAAGGTTCACCCTAAATTGTAGAAACATCGGTCCATACTATACACCTGTCTGCCTGTGGACACACTGGATTTCTTGGGTTCTACCAGGCTTTATTACATGTCCCCTATCGCTCACTGTCGAAGTCAGGCTGTTTACAACGTATGGTCATCAGCTACTGCTCTTTGGAGGACACTTATCCTGTTTTCTTGTTTTCCTTTCATCATTTTTTTCTAACTTAAACTACTCAGATGTTTAAAACGTATGTTCTTTTTGGATGAAATCACTGTCCACAAGTGGCCAACATGAAACATGCTGATCAATGGTCTCTCTTATTATTCATGCATGTCTATATGTGTATGTCTGTGAATGCATTTGTGTACTATGCAAATTTACATTTATACTGATTAGGAAGTGTCATAAAAGGTTCAGGTCCAAAGCTCCATACAGAAGGGACAGTAAAACACCAGCACCATTTATTGAGGAAGGTATCCTTTTCCCTATGTATATTCTTGTCACCTTTGTCAAAAAATCAGTTGGCTGTAAATATGTGGTTTTATTTCTGGGTTTCCTGTTCTTTTCCATTAGTCTATGTGTCTTTTTATATCAATGACATGATGTTTTGGTTTCTATAGCTTGATACAGTATATTTTGAAGTTAGGTAGTATGATGCCTCCAGCTTTGTTCTTTTGTTCAGGATTGCTTTGCCTATTGAGGGTCTTTTGTGTTTCCATATGGATTTGAGGATTGTTATTTCTATTTCTGTAAAGAATGTCACCTCTGATCATCAGGCGTCAGTTAGATTTGCATTTTGATAAGTATTGCACTCAATCTGCTTTGGGCAGTCTTCTTACTTTAATGATGTTAATTCTTCTGATCTGTGAGCCTGGGATGTCTTTTCATTAGTTTGCATCCTCTTCACTTTGTGTCATTAGAATTTTTTAGTTTTCCTTGGAGAGGGCTTTCAAATCCTTAGTTAAGTTTATTCCCAGGTACCTTTTTGTAGCTATTTCAAATGGGATTGCTTTTTTTCAAAATTTTGGTAGGTACATAGTAGGTGTATATATTTATGGGGAATATGAGGTGTTTTGATACGGGCATGCAATGCATAATAATTGCATAATAGAGAATGGGGTATCCTTCTCCTCAGGCATTTATCCTTTGTGTTACAAACAATCCAATTATACTCCTTGAGTTATTTTTAAATGTACAATTAAATTATTATTGACTATAGCTCTCTCGCATGGCCCCACCTTGGGCACAGGATAGATTTATGGCTGCAACTGCATGTGCTTTCTGCTCATGCTGGGGAGAGCAGAGAGGTAAACCAAGATTTCATTTTCAAGATGGAAAGTCAGTCAGACTCAGCTGTGGTTTTGCCTAGTACTCCACAGGCCTTTGTGAATCCATCATCTCCCCGTACAACTAGTTCATGAAAACAACCTATGAGTGCAACACTTAAAGAAAGATTAAGGAAAACAAGATCTTCATTTAATTCCTGTTACAATGTGATAAAACGTCTTAAAGTAGAGAATGAAGAAAACAATCAGAACTTTTCAGAGAAACCAGCGTATTCCACAGAGGAAAACTGTTTGGAATTTCAAGAAAATTTTAAACACATAGACAAGTGAATTTGAAGAAATCACATATTTGAAAAATACCTTCAAGAATATCAATGTGAGTGAATCTCAGTCACTTGATTCTGTGTCATTCAGTGCTCTCCAAAATGAGTTTGTGAATTAGAATCTTCCTAAACAAGAATTAAACGAAGAAAAAGCAAAATTGGTGAAGCAGGTTCAGGAGAAAGAAGACTTTCTTTTGGAGGCGAAATCTTGTCCAAATGTATATAGATCAAAGAATGTTGATCGTCTCAGTTACAGTTGTTAATAAAGAAGTAGAGAAGCTGTAGCCAGCCGTTGCTTTATGAGTTGTAGTCAGCTATGTCTGCAGAGAACAAGAAAGTAAACCTACTCAATTGATAGACCACTATGGATTAGATAATAAATTGCTACACTGTAACAGAAGTGAAGAAGAATTTATAGGTGTTTAATTCCTAATCATTTCTCCAGAATATCTTTGAGAATGACAACTTAATTAAAAGATACTTGTACATTTTAAATGGAAGATAGAAACCATTAGGGCTTAGAGGAAGGTATCCTGATGAACATCAATTTAGGACACTCTACTATATTAATATAAATTAAGTTGTAGAATGAAAATGTAGTATTTGGATAGATTTGCCGAAGAAAATTTGACATTTAATGTAATATGAAAAAAATTCAAATCATGTTGAAAAAATCATTTGGGCAATTCTCTAAACCAGTTTTAATACATTGCTTTGTGTTTTTTGTGGCAAAATGATTTATTTTAAATGCCCAAAATTGTCCAATCTGGTGAATGTCTAAATTTCAAGTGGTCTAAAAATGCCCGCCTCTCTCCTAAGTTTATAAACCTTTTTTCCATCCATTTACTACTACATATTTCCATCTGATGACCTAGCAGGTAATTAAACTCATATGTCCAAATTTTTTTAAAAAATAAAAATAAATTATTATTGACTCTAGTCACCCTGTTGTGCTATCAAATACTAGGTCTTATTCATTCTATTTTTTGTCCCCACCTCCTTCCCACACCCCCATTACTCTTCCCAGCCTCTGGTAACCATCTTTCTACTCTCTATGTCCATGAGTTCAATTGTTTACATTTTTAGATTTCATAAATAAGTGAGAACATATGACATTTGTCTTTCTGTGCCTGGCTAATTTCAGTTAACATAATGACCTTCAGTTCCATCCATGTTGCTGCAAATGACAGGATTTCATTATTTTTATGGCTGAATAATATTCCATTGTGTACCACATTTTCTTTATCCATTTATCTGCTGATGGACACTTAGGTTGATTCCATATCATGGCTATTGTGAATAATGCTAAAATAAACATGGGAGTACAGATATCTCTTCAATATACTGATTACCATGTTTTTGGATATATACCCAGCAATGGGATTGCTGGATCATATGGTAGCTCTATTTTTATTGTTTTGAGGAACCTCCAAATTGTTCTCCATCGTGGTTGTACTAATTTACATTCCCACCAACAGTATACGAGTGTTTCCTTTACTCCACCTCCTTGCCATCATTTGTTTGTTTGTTTGTGTGTTTTGTTTTATTATACTTTAAGTTCTGGGATACATGTGCAGAACATGCAGGTTTGTTACATAGGTATACATGTGTCATGGTGGTTTGCTGCACCCATCAACCCGTCATCTACATTAGGTATTTTTCTTAATGCTATCCCTCCCTTAGCTTCCCCATGACAGGCCCCAGTGTGTGATGTTCCCCTCCCTGTGTCCATGCGTTCTCATTGTTCAACTGCCACTTATGAGTGAGAACATGCGATGTTGGGTTTTCTGTTCCTGTGTCAGTTTGCTGAGAGTGATGGTTTCCAGCTTCATCCATGTCCCTGCAAAGAACATGAACTCATCCTTTTTTATGGCTGCATAGTATTCCATAGTATTCCATAGTATTCCATGGTATATATGTGCCATATTTTCTTTATCCAGTCTATCATTGATGGGCATTTGAGTTGGTTGCAAGTCTTTGCTATTGTGAATAGTGCTGCAATAAACATACATGTGCATGTGTCTTTATAGTAGAATGATTTATATTCCTTTGGGTATATACCCAGTAATGGGATGGCTGGATCAATTGGTATTTCTGGTTCTAGATCCTTGAGGAATTGCCACACTGTCTTCCACAATGGTTGAACTAATTTACACTCCCACCAACAGTATAAAAGTGTTCCTATTTCTCCACATCCTCTCCAGCATCTATTGTTTCCTGACTTTTTAATGACCGCCATTCTAACTGGTGTGAGATGGTATCTCATTGTGGTTTTGATTTGCATTTCTCTAATGACCAGTGATGATGAGCTTTTTTTCATATGTTTGTTGGCCACATAAATGTCTTCTTTTGAGAAGTGTCTGTTCATATCCTTCGCCCACTTTCTGATGGGGTTGTTTTTTTCTTGTAAATTGGTTTAAGTTCCTTATAGATTCCAGATATAAGCCCTTTGTCAGATGGATGGATTGCAAAATTTTTCTCCCTTTCTCTAGGTTGTCTATTCACCCTGATGATAGTTTCTTTTGCTGTGCAGAAGCTCTTTAGTTTAATTAGATCCCATTGTCAATTTTGGCTTTTGTTTCCATTGCTTTTGGTGTTTTAGTCATGAAATATTTGTTCATGCCTATGTCCTGAATGGTATTGCCTAGGTTTTCTTTTAGGATTTTTATGGTTTTAGGTCTTACATTTAAGTCTTTAATCCATCTTGAGTTAATTTTTGTATAAGATGTAAGGAAGGGGTCCAGTTTCAGTTTTTTGTGTATGGCTAGTCAGGGGCTTATAGATAAAACTCCCATCTCCCTGGGACAGAGCACTTGGGGGAAGCGGCAACTGTGCGCACAGCTTCAGCAGACTTAAATATTCCTGCCCGCTGGCTCTGAAGAGAGCAGTGAATCTCCCAGCACAGCGCTGGAGCTCTGCTAAGGGACAGACTGCCTCCTCAAGTGGGTCCCTGACCCCTGTGCCTCCTGACTGGGAGACACCTCCTGGCAGCGGTCAACAGATATACAGGAGAGCTCCAGCTGGCATCTGGTGGGTGCCTTTCTGGGACGAAGCTTCCAGAGGAAGGAACAGATAGCAATCTTTGCTGTTCTGCAGGTTCTGCTGGTGATATTGAGCATTTGTTATTGCCTGTCTTTGGTATTGCTTTTTCAGTTAGTTTCTTATTGTTGTGTAGAAATGCTGTTGGTTTTTGTATGTTTATTCTGTATCTGAAATTTTACTCAGTTTCTTTCTCTATCCTAAGAGCTTTTTGTGGAACCTTCAGGTTTTGCTATATATACGATTATGTCATCCACAGAGAGGGACAGTGTGACTTCCTTTTTTTCCTATTTGGATACCTTTCATTTCTTTCTATTTCCTGATTGCTCTGGCCAGGACTTCTAGTAGTATGTTGAATAGGACTGGTGAAAGTGGGTATCCTTGTCTTGCTCCCGTTTTTAGAGGAAAGGCTTTCAGGTTTTCCCCATTCAGTATGTTGTTAGCTGTGGTTTTGTCATAAATGGCCTTTATGCTGTTGAGGTATGATCCTTCAGTGTGTAGCTTGTTGTGAGTTTTTACCATGGAGGGATGCTGAATTTTGTCAAATGCTTTTTGTGCATCGGAGTATATAATCACATTGTTTTGTTCTTCATTCTGTTGATTATTACATCAACATTTATTGGTTTCCATATCTTGAAACATCCTTGCATCCTGGGGATAAATCCCACTTGATCATAGCGTATTATCTATTTGATGTGCTGTTAGATTCAGTTTGTTAGTATTTTGTGGAGAATGTTGTGTCCATCTTCATCGGGAATATTGGCCTATAATTTCTTTTTTGTTACATTATTTTCTGGTTTTGGTATAGGGTATTTCTGGTCTTGTAGAATGAGTTAGGAAGAATTCCCACCTTTTAAGTTTTTTGGAATAGTTCAAGAATAAATGGTGTGAGTTCTTCTTTGTAATTTTGGTAGAATTCAGCAGTAAAGCCAGTCCTGGGCTTTTCTTTATTGCGAGACTTTTAATTACTTATTCAATCTCATTATTCATTATTGTTCTATTCAGGTTTGCTATTTATTCTGCATTCAATCTTGGTAGGTTGTAAGTATCCAGGAATTTGTTCATTTCCTCGAGGTTTTCCAGTTTATTAACATATAGTTAGTTGTTCATAATAGTCTCTAATGAGCTTTTGTATTTCTGTGGTATCAGTTATAATGTCTCATTTTTAATTTCTGATTTTATTTGTTTGGGTCCTCTCTCCTTTTTTTAGTTAGTCTAGCTAGCAGTTTAGCAATTTTGTTTATCTTTCAAAAAACCAACTTTTTGTCTTGTTGGTCCCATATATATATATATATATATATATATACACACACACATATATATATATATATACACATATGTATATATATACACACACATACATACATACACATATATATACACACACACACAGTATATATGTATTTTTTGTAATACATATACATTTGTATATATGTAAAATATATATGTATTTTTTTTCTTCTGAATTTTGCCTAGTTCTCCTCTGTTCTTTGTTTTGTTTTTCCATCTGCTAGTTTTAGGTTTAATTTATTATTGCTTTTCTAGTTCCTTGACACACATTGCTAAGTTGTTTATTTGAAATCTTTCTACTTTTTTGATATGGTGTTTATTGCTATAAACTTCCTTCTTAGCATTGCTTTTGCTGTATTCCATAGGTTTTGATATGCTTGTATATTGTTTCTTCTTTCCCTCCCTCCCTCCCTCCCTTCTTTCCTTCCTTCCTTCCTTCCTACCTTCCTTCCTTCCTTCCTTCCTCCAGAGGTGCTAGGACTACAGGCATGTGTCACCATACCTGTCTATTTTTTATATTTTTTGTAGAGACAAGGTCTCACTATGTTGCCTAGTATGGTCTCAAACTCCTGGCCTCAAGTGAGATTCCTGTCTCAGCCTCCCAAAGTGCTGGGATTGCAGGCATGAGCCACTGCACCTAGCCTCCATTTTCATTTATTTCAAGACATTTTTGATTTCCTTCTCTATTTCTTCCTTGACACAATGGTTATTCAAGAACATGTTGTTTAATTTCCATGTATTTGTAGTGTTTCCTCTTGTTATTGATTTCTACTTTTATGTAATCGTGGCCTGAGGAGATACATAATATTTTTTTTTGAGGGAGAGAGAAAGAGAAGGGAGTCTTGCTTTGTTGCTCAGGCTGGAGAGCAGTGGTGTGAGTGTGGTTCACTGCAGCCTCAACCTGCTGGGCTCAAGCAATCTTCCTACCTCAGCCTCCTAAGTAGCTGGGACTACAGGTGCATGCTGCCACAACTGATTTATTTATTAATTTTTGTGTAGCAACAGGGTCTTGCTTTGTTGCCCAGGCTCTTCTCAAACTCCTGGCTTCAAGCAATCCTCAAGCAATCACACCTCCGTCTCCCAAAGTGCTGGAATTATAGGCATAAGCCACCGCACCTGACCAGGATATGATTTTAATTTTTAAAAATGTGTTGAGGCTTGTTTTGTGTCCTAATGTATGGTCTATCTTGGAGAATGTTCCATGTGTTAATGAGAAGAACGTGTATCTTGCAGTTATTGAATGAAATGTTCCTTAAATATTTGTTAGGTCCATTTTAGTCTAAAGTACAATTGTTTCCTTGTTAATTTTGTCTATAGATGACCTGTCCAATCCTGAGTGTGTGGTGTTGAAGTCCCCAACTATTATTGTATTTGCATCAATCTCTCCCTTTATATCTAAAAATGTTTGCTATATATATCTGGGTTATCTGAGTTTTGGTGCAAACATATTTAGAATTCTTATGTTCTTTTCATGAATTGATCCCTTTATCATTATATAGTGACCTTCTTTATCTCTATTTACTATTTTTGACTTGAAGTTTCTTTTATATGATAGAAGTATAGCTATTCCTGCTTACCTTTGTTTCTGTTTGCATGGAATATCTTTTTCCATCCCTTTACTTTCAGTGTATGCATGTCTTTACAGGGAACTTAGTTTCTTGTAGGTAGCATATAACTGGGTCATACTTTTAAAAATCCATTTTAACATGTCTATATCTTTTAGGGGAATTTAATTTGTTTACATTCATGGTTATTATTGATAGGTGAGGACTTATTTCTGTCATTTTGCTAATTATTTTCTGATTGTTTTGTACAACCTATAAGAAACATGAAAAAGCAAGGAACTGTGACAGCTCCAAAGAACTTAATAATTTTCTAGCAATAGATTCCAATGAAAAATCCATAAAATTCCTGAAAAGAATGTAAAATAATGATATTACAGAAGCTCAATAATATGCAAAATAACACAAATAATGCAAAGAAATCAGAAAAAAAAGATTTATAATCTCAATGAGAAATTCATCAAAGGATATCAACTGTCCTTATGTTGATATCTGCATGTCTCATGTAACAGTCACCTCTTTTATTTTATGGATTGGATTTTGTAGGTAAATACTGTTTCTTATGGATGTATCTATAGTGTTGGTTGGGTAAGGCACTTTTGCTTTGATTCTGGGTGCATGCTTTTGTGTAGTCTCTGTGTGATTTCTTTGGCTGTAATCAGCATAAGTGGTGTCTGAGTCCTTCCTTCCTTCCCTCCTTCCTTCCTTCCTTCCTTCCTTCCTTCCTTCCTTCCTTCCTTCCTTCGTTTCTTCCTTCCTTCCATCCATTTATCATTATGGCTTTGTGGTTTTCTGTAATGGTAATATTTGAGTTGTTTCTCTTTCTCATTTGTGTATCTCCTTTATACTTTTGTGTGTGTTTTTGTGATAATAGGTATTGTCCTTTTGCTTCCAGATGTAGGACTCCCTTAAGTATTTCTTGGATGGCTGGTCTAGTGTTGATGAATTCCCTCAGTTTTTGCCTGTGGAGGAAAGAGTTTATATCTCCATTTATGAAGACGAACTTTGCTTGTTATATTACCCTTGACTGGCCTCTTTTTTTTTTCTTTTCAGCACTTTTGAGTACCTCATCCCATCCTCTCCTTTCCTATAAGGTTTCTGTTGAGAAATCCATTCTTACACTGATGGAGATTCACTCATATGTGACTTGACACTTTTCTCTTACTGTTTTTAGAATTCTCTCTGTCTTTGACTTTTGACAGTTTGGCTATAATATGCCTTGGAAAAGACCATTCTAGGTTGAATCTCTTTGGGGATCTTTGAGCTTCCTGTGACTAGATGTCTGTATCTCTTGCAAGACTTCAAAGTTTTCAGCTATTATTTCATTAAATAGATTTTTGTGCCTTTGCCCATGTCTTCTTCTGGAACACCCACAATTTCTTTTTTTTTTCTTTATTATTATTATTATTATTATTATACTTTAAGTTTTAGGGTACATGTGCACAATGTGCAGGTTAGTTACATATGTATACATGTGCCATGCTGGTGCGCTGCACCCACTAACTCGTCATCTAGCATTAGGTATATCTCCCAATGCTATCCCTCCCCCCTCCCCCCACCCCACAACAGTCCCCAGAGTGTGATGTTCCCCTTCCTGTGTCCATGTGTTCTCATTGTTCAATTCCCACCTATGAGTGAGAATATGCGGTGTTTGGTTTTTGTTGTTGCGATAGTTTACTGAGAATGATGATTTCCAATTTCATCCATGTCCCTACAAAGGACATGAACTCATCATTTTTTATGGCTGCATAGTATTTCAATATTTGGTTGCTTTATGTTGTTCCATATGCCACATAGGCTTTCTTTATTCTTTTTTAAAATTATTTTTCCTCTTTTTTGCCTGATTGGGTTATTTCAAAAGACCTGCCTTCAAGTTTAAAAATTCCTTCTTTTGCTTGATCTAGTCTATTGTTGAAACTCAGTTATATGTTTTATTTCATTTCACCCATTGAATTCCTCAGCTCCAAGACTTCTGTTTGATTCTTTTTTATGATAGTTATCTGTGTTGAATTTCTCATTTAGATTATAAATCTTTTTTTTCTGATTTCTTTGTATTGTTTATCTGTGTTCTTTTGCATCTCACTGAGCTTCTCTAATATCATTTTGCATTTTTTCAGGCATTTTATGGATTTCTTTTTCAGTGGAATCTATTGCGGGAGAATTATGTTCTTTGGAGGTGTCATAGTTCCTTGTTTTTTCATGTTTCTTGTGTTCTTATGTTGATATTTGCATGTCTGATGTAGCAGTCACTTATTTTATGGATAGGATTTTGTAGGTAAAGACTGTTTCTTATAAATTTATCTATAGTTCTGGTTGGATTGGGTGATTTTCCATTGATTCTGGGTGCACGCTTTTCTGTAGTCTCTGTATGATTTATTTGACTGCAATCAGCATAAATGGTGTCTGTGAGTTCTTCAGTGGCTTAGGCTGAAGTTGTTAGTGGAGGATGTGGTAGGGCCTTACTGGAGACAGGGATGTCAGATGGGCTGATCCTTGGGCCCTAGTGGTGGCAGCAGTGGGCCAAACATGCCAGTCATTGGGCCCCCATGAAAGTGTGTGTGAGATCTGGTGGTAGTGGGTCAAGGCAGGTTGATCCTTGGGCCTCCAGGTATCTTGTTCATGTTCCAGCAGTGGAGTGGTAACAGTAAGTCAAGTGTGTCTTTGGGTCCCTGGATGGTGTGTAGCAATTGACAATGGTGGCAGTAGCTGTGGCAGGCCAGCTCTTGGCCCTTCATGTGGTATGCACAGACATCAGCAGTGGCAGCTGCAAACTGGGTGGGCCAATCCCCAGGTTACCAGGTGGTTTATGCAAGTAGGTGCTGGCAGTGGTGGTGGTAGCAGGACAGGTGGGCACATCCTCAGACCTCCAGGAAGAGTTTCTGGATACCACTGGCAGCAGGTGAGGCAATCCAATCCCCAGAACCCCCAAAGACATATATGGGCACTAGAGGAGGTGGTGCCAGGGAGAGCTAGCCTGTCCTCAGGCTCCTGATGGTGCACACGGATGCAGGCTGTGGCAGGTGTGGCTGGTTGATCTCCAGGCTCTCAGCTGGTGTGCATAGGCACCAGCAGGCTGGAATGGCTTGTCCTCAGGTTTCTGAAACATGTGGGTGGACACTGATGGCATTGAGCTAGTGGGTTGATCCCCAGGCCCCTTGTCCACATGCGTGGGCACTCATGGGTGTGATGCTGGGCTGTTAGCTGTAACTCTTAGCAAATCATTTCAATCTTTCTAGTTATCAGTTTCCTTGCCTGTTAAACAAGAATAATGATAGTACCTACTTCATAGGATGTTTGTAAGAGTCAATATGTCAAAATCCATGTGAAGCACTCAGCAAAGCACCTGACATGTAGAATAGAACTCAAGAAAAGATAGCATTACTGTTTGCATGATTAAGGACAGAGCCAGGATTAGGAGCCAGGTTTTCTAATTACCAGGCCACTCTTCTCTCCACCATGACTGTAACAGCAGATGTGCTGGAGAATTTTTAGTGAACTTGAACCGAGATGTTTAGTATAATCAGACTAGAGTCCTTCTCATTACTTGGTGTTAGTGGTTTTAGATACTTAAACCTGCAAGTTGAAAAGTGACATCTATAAGAGTACATTCAAAGAGGCAATGAAGTCTAAATATTCAGGTTTAATCCCAAGAGAAATGGCCCATCTCTTATCCCCAAGTGACACTTTATCAAACAAACTTTCCAAATACCTGAAATTTGGTCATGAGACACAGGAAATTTAGGAGGTGTGTGAAATTCAAGCTTTTATTGTGAGAAAAGCATCTGTTATGGATTCCATCACTATATTTATTAACAGGCTTTTTGCCCATATTCTAATAGTGATTAGTGCTATACAGGCTGAAATGGAAATACTATAAATCTCTGTGGCAAATGGGACTTGTCTTGAAAAAAAAAAAGATCCAAGCAGTTGCAGTGGCTACCAGCATGGGAGGTCTAATCAAAGGAAGCTTGTGTCAGAGCTACTTGACTGGTAATTCTCTTTGTGGTTTAAAAAAATTACTTGGATGTATAACAAAAATGTGCTGTGTATATGAATAGAGTTTTGTAAAAAGAGTCATTAACTTGCTTCTCTCTTCATGTTGCGGTCCAGATCCAAATAACATTTTCCAGGTATTCTCTAGAAGGGCCTCAACCTGTGCATGGAAGGTCCTCTGAAAATTTTCTCAGTTCCATTACAGTGATAGGCACTCTTTCCTTATTTCTCCTTCATCT
This sequence comes from Homo sapiens, assembly GCF_000001405.40. NCBI lineage: Eukaryota > Metazoa > Chordata > Mammalia > Primates > Hominidae > Homo > Homo sapiens. The sequence continues at coordinate 85,839,711 of NC_000023.11, read as the reverse complement.
GAATGATTAATGTTGATGTTACGTACACAAATGATAATGCTTTTATAGCAGTAACAATAATACCTTTAAAAAGCATTGAAAGAATTCAGATTTATGTATATGTATGGTATTTGGGAAAGTGCCTGGAATATAGTATGCACTATAAGTTATTGTTAAATAAATAAAATAGGCAATTAATGTCATGAAAAAAATCCACAGTGTATGGTTAAACAAAAAAGCAAGTTATGAAAGTAGCATGTATGTGGGATCCCACGTTGTGTAAAAGAGAGCTAGAGATATCTACGTGCATATATGTATGTGTGTGTACACAGAAGGGTAACAATAGTTAGCTTTGAATTGAGGGAATTTGTGAACAGTCTTTTTTCTTTCTACTTTTGAATTTTCTACATTTTTTGAAATATTCCTTTACCACCATTTATAATATAACTTCTTCCCAGATGTAAAACTGATGTTTGGTGTGTTCTTTCAGATATTTTTCTCCACTTATGCATGTGTATACAAACACACACACACACACACACACACACACACACACTGAGTATAAGGGTATAGGGTCTTTTTAAATGTTTTCTAAAAACATAAGTTGGCTCACATCATAGTTCTGTAATTGGCTTATTTCAACAACTATATCTTAGACATCATAAAATATAGCACATAAAAATGTTCGTCCCTCTTATTTATTGCTGCGTACCATTCCATGGTATGAAATCTATTTATCCAACAATTATTAATGAATATTTGGTTGTTTTCAGTTTTATTGTTCTTTTAAGTAATGATTCAACAAACATCTCATACTTATATCTCTGTTCACATGCATATCTCTGGTAGATAGAGTCTTAGTGGTTGAATTACTGGTTTAAAGGGTATGTACACTTTACATTTTGATAGACTGCCAAATGGTACTTTAAAAAAGCTGATTTCCACTCACTGATACTAGATATTATTACTTTTTAAATGTCTGCCAATCTAATGAGCTAAAAAATATGGTATCATATTGTTATACTATGCATTTCCCTCCTTATACATCGAAACATATGTTCAATGCCAATTTTCAGTTACCTCTTCTATGATTTCTCAGTTTATGCCCTTGCCACTATTATAACTTGCAAAAATTCTTTTTATATTTTCATATTAATACTTCATTACACATATTGCAAATCTTTTTTTCATTCTAGATTTTAACTTTTATGGTGTGATTCATTACCTAGAAATTTTAAATTTTGATATAGACAATTCACTTAATATTTTCTTTTATGGCTCTGGACTTTGCATCTTGTTTAGAAGAGTCTTTCTCAATTCATTAGTAGGAAAATATGTCCCACATGTTGCTAAAACACCTGTGATGGTTAATATTGAGTGTCAACTTGATTAGATTGAAGGATGCAGAGTATTATTTCTGGGTTTGTCTGTGAGAGTGTTGCCAAAGGAGAATAACATTTGAGTCAGTGGACTGGGAGAGGCAGACCCACCCTCAATCTGGGTGGGCACCATCTAATCAGCTGCCAGCATGGCTAGAATAAAGCAGGCAGAAGAAAGTGGAATGAGGAGACTTGCTGAGTCTTCTGGCCTTCATCTTTCTCCTGTGCTGGATGCTTCCTGCCCTCGAACATCAGACTCCAAGTTCTTCAGCTTTTGGGCTCTTGGACTTACACCAGTGATTTGTGGCTCTCAGGCCTTTGGCCACAGACCAAAGGCTGCACTATCGGCTTCCCTACTTTTGAGGTTTTGGGACTCCGACTGACTTCCTTGCTCCTCAACTTGCAGATGGCCTATTGTGGAACTGCACCTTGTGATCGTGTGAATCAATTTTCCTAATAAACTCCCCTTCATATACATATGCATATATGCTAATAGTTCTGTTGCTTTATAGAACCCTAATACAATACCTTTAAAAAAAAAAAAAAGAAAACTTTTAGCTCTTTAACTGACCTGAAATTTATTTGGGGGATTTATGTGAGATAGAAATCTAACATAAAATTTCATATATGAATATCCAATTTTCCTCATGCCATTTTTTGAGATCATCTTTTTCACACTAATCTGAAATATTACCATTATCAATTATTAAATTCTTATACATGAAATCTGTTTCTGGACTATATTCAATGTTATTGCTATTTTGTCAATTCCTATACTAAGATGATGTTATTTTAATTACTGTAACTTTCGAACACGTATTGATACCTGGTAGAGTCAGCCTTTCTGCCTCATTTTTTTTTTTGTCTTAGTTATGCTTGGCCCTTTGCTCTTTCATATACATTTCGGAATCATTTTGTCAAGTTCCACACACATACACACGCAAATCCTTGTTGCAAGTTTGATTGGAATTGCATTCAATATTACTTCACTTTCCCATCCATGAATGGGAGGGTATATCACTCATTTTATTTAATTTTTTACTATGTTTTCTAAATAATATTATACCTTTTGGCAGACACTGATAGTGTCCACCAAATATCCATGTTCAGATCCGCATTTCCCACTCTACTTTGAAGATAAGTTCAGGTAGCTGGGCAGTTAAGAGCCAGTTTGCCTCTTGCATTCCTTTTTCTCCTTTCTATAACTAACTAGTAGTCCAGATGGCATTGCCACAGTTTGGAAGCTTCCAGGAATCTTGAGTCAGCTCTTAAAGGGAAGCTGTGCCAGAGAGCCACCTGACTCACATTAACTGTAACTGGAGCAAGAAATAAATTGGTGTTGTGTTACAACATGGCTATTTCAGGGATTATGTGTTACCACAGCATAGCGAACATTACCTGACTAATTAAAAAGTCTTGACCATCTTTTATGTATTCCAAGGCATCATATACTGTTTCTTAAACTTTTCTTTTATAATAATTTGCTGTTGATGTATAGGAAAAAAATTAACGTTATATGTTGATCTTGTAGCTAATAACCTTGCTAAACTCTCTTACTAATAATATATCTATAATTCTTTTTAGTTTTCTATGTTGATAATTATATAATCTGTGATCAATGACAGTTTTATTTTTCCTTTTCAATCCTATACATTTTAACTCTTTATCTTGTCTTACTGAACTGCCAAGGACCTCCAATACAATGCTAAACAGAAGTGGTGATACTAGACATACTTCTAATTTTCCTGGCTGTGAAAAAGGTAAGGTTAAAACAGTTCACCGTTAGTGTATGTTTATTGTAGGTTTTATTAAGTTAAGGGAGCTGACTTCTATTTCTAGTTTGCTAAGGAGCTTTTATCATGAATGGGTCTAGAATTTTGACCAAAGCCTTTTCCGCATCTATTTATTGACTGCCTACTATGGGCTAAGCACTGATCATGTTTTTCACTCCTTTCATCTATTAATGTAATAAACCATATTAATAGTTTTTAAATGTTAAATCATCCTTAAATTTCTCCTGGTGACATAGATGCTCCCACCTCTGGGTTCATTGTAAGCCTGTGTGTGTTGCCAGTGCATAGCATAGCTGCTGGCATAATATAGGCAAAATGTTTTACTCATGTTCCTTATTATTTTACTTAATAAATGATATATTTTATTACTGTATTTGTAATATTTCCAGTAGCAGAATACTATAAAACACATATCTTAAATAAATTTGAGTTAGAATAAGGCAGACATGCTCAACCAATCCCAAGAATCATATTGTATATTGTTCCACAAGAAGAGCTAAGAAAAAAATATTTAGTGATTAGAAAAATTATATCACTATCTCAGGTGGTTTTCTTAATTTCTTCATTATACGGTTTTAAGTGGGATTTTAGATTTCATTAATATAAACTCATAGGGAGCAATAAATAGTGGGAAGAAGAGAGATTTGAAGTCAGACAGACTTAGGCTTGAATCCTGTCTCTTTAACTTTCTTAACTATATATCTATCTTTGATCACATTCACCTCCCTGAGTTTATTTCCTTATTTGTAAAACAGGGATAATAATACTTGCTTCATAATGTTGCTATATTTGCATTAAGTAATCAAAAAATAATATAAAATATCTAGCATATTGTGGACCTTAAATAAATGTTAGTTCAAAAATGAGTATGAATAAATGAATATACATTTTTTCCTCAGAAAAATTTAATATGTCGAGAATTCTAAAAATAAAAAATCTATGAATGAGGTGTGCCCAGCTTTACACATCTCTGAATAAATTGGGGTTCTTTGTTTTGACTGTTTATCGGTGGTTGATAATTGTTCCCATTTAGAAATATATTATTAATGTCACAATGCAACAATTTGTGAAATTTATGTTATTAGTCTATATATTCTTACCTTTGGAACTACTGTTAATCCCAAATAGGTATCACGGCTCTATTTTTAAACATTTATATAACAAAACTATCAGTAAATATTATTCAGGGTTTAATTACGTTACTCTACTTTTTTCCTCCAAATAAATAGTTATTCTAATCCACTATATGTTCAGACATTCTCTCTCTCTCTCTCTCTCTCTCTCTTCCCTCCCCCTCTTCTTCTCTCTTGTTCATTTTTGAAGTAATAGAATTATCATTTTGGGGGAGAAACTTGATGTTCTCAAATGTGTTTGGAATAATAATGTTCTAATAAATAAATTTGAGTTTCCCAAACTTTTACATGAGAGTAAAGCACTAGAACCAAGGTCTCTATAGAGAAGAAGAAGCAAAAAGGGGAGAGTGTAGAGAAAGGATGAAAAAAGAAAAGGAGGAGAAGAGGGAGGAGGAGGAGCAAGGTTTCAATTAAGTAACTCAAGTGTAATGTGTGCCCCTCTCAGTTTCCTGTCTGCTGCCAAATCTAGGGAGTTGCTAAACTTCAGTGGTCTACCCCTGAAAATTTTTATTATTAGAGCCATCATTTTCAGTGAGTGGAATGAGGTTAGAAGCTATGTGGTCTCTATATTACTTGGAAAATATATCATTTGGCACTCCTCAATGACATTAGACTGTACATTTCTAGATTGATCTGCACAGTTCTTGTCAATTGGTAGGGATTCAATCTATGTTGAGTTAAACCAACTGAGATAAACTGCATTAAACCCTTTAATTTTACATAACACACCCACCACAGAAAAAATTTAATGGTAGTCCTTATCCCCAAATAATTTTCAAAACAAAGCAATAACAAAAACAGTCACTGAAGGGTAACTTATTGAAGGTATGAGAAGTTTTCATTGAAAATGCTCCCAAGTGACAGGCTTACAGTTCATAAATAAAGATGACAATGCAATGGCCCAGTATTTTAAAATCTTAAACACTTTTTTAGTGAAGGCCTGTGAGGTCATGTGAGCTAATATGACAGACACTGAATATTTACTACTCAAAAGCCATTCAGAATCCACTTCTCCCTTGCCTTCATCTACTATGGACGCTGTCTCACATGCAGATAAGAGTGATTATGTGACATGAAAGTAGCCAATACTGAGTATTCTTTGCCCCCAGTTGCAATTTCCTTTGGTGATATGAAAAATGTTTCTAGGTTCATTGTAATATATTAGCACAAAGTTCTTGTCTTGTTTGTTCCTGGAAAAAGTCTTTACAGTCCGTAAGTGCTGTTTTCCAAATTGTTCCCTGTAAGCAAATCAAAGAAAGCCAATCAAAATGACAATGTACATACTTTAATGTTAAATACAAAAAATCAGAATAAAAAATTATTAGTATATATCTCCTGATTTTGTTCACATACACATGAGCAAAGAAAAAATACTTGATGGAAATGAGGCTTATAGGAAACATATTAAAGTAGTAAACTCAAGGTAGGATTTGAAGTGATTTTTATTTTGTTAATTAGAAAATTTTTAATTGAAAAATAATTATATATATTTACGGAGTACAATGTGATGTTTTGATATATGCACACATTATGCAATGTTGAAATCAAGCTGATTCCTATATTTGTCACCTCATCTTAACTTTTTTTTTTGTGGTGTGTATTAGTCCATTCTCATGTTGCTGCAAAGATACTATGCAAGACCGGGTAATTATAAAGGAAAGAGGTTTAATTGACTCACAGTTTAGCATGGCTGGGGAGGCCTCAGGAAACTCACAGTTGTGGTGAAAGGGGAAGCAAACACGTCCTTCTTCACAGGGCTGCAGGAAGGAGAATGAAATGAGTGCCCAGTGAACAGGGAATCCCCTTATAAAACCATCGGATCTCGTGAGAACTAAGTCATTATCAGGAGAACAGGATGAGGGAAACCGCCCCCATGATTCAATTATCTCTGTGGGGACACAGTCAAACCATATCATGGTGCCAGCATTTAAAATCTATTCTCTTAGCAATTTTGAAATATTCATTATGTTATTAATAACGGTTGTCGCCATTCTGTGCATTAGATCTCAAGAACTTAGTCCTCCTATCTAACTGAAACTTTGTACCCTCTCACCAACATGTCTCCATTCCCCTCTCACCCACCTCCTGAGGCCCTGGCAACCACCATTCTACTCTTTTACTTCTATGAGTTTGACTTCTTTAGATTCCACATATAAGTGGAATCATGCAATATATGTCTTTCTGTGCCTGGCTCATTTCACTTAGCATAATGTCCTCCAGGTTCATACATGTTGTTGAAAATGACAAAATTTCCTCTGTTTTAAGGCCAAATAGTATTCCATTGTACATATATACCACATTATCTTTATCCACTCATCCATTGACAGATACATTTTGCTAATACTTTTTACATTTAACATATATCAAAAATAAGTCTTATTAATTTTATCATTGTAAAAACATACATTTTAATCTTTCCTATAATGAGTTAATGCTTTTAATTTAGATTTTATGTGTATTTTAATGTGAAGGGTTATGTGTTTAAGTCTCTTGGAACTATTGTGTATTAATATACAATAGGACACCATGTGTGAAAGTTTTTTGAAATCCCTATATGATTATTCATTGGGTAAGTAACAGGCCTACACCAGAACCAGTGTTTCAAAAGTCATATTTTCCCAAGATAATTTTAAGTGCCATGGCTAACCTACAAATCCAGAAATCAGCCCACTCTACAAACAAGGAATTAGAAGGGTGACAATTATACATAATGTTAGATCTCTTCATCTCTGTTCTTCTTCCCTATGCCCTCTTCTCAATCTACACACTCTCCCGGGGTAATTGCATCTTCTCCCATGGCTTCAGGTATCCTCTCTTTGCTCAGGACTCATATTTTACTGTCTATGGAACATCTCCACTTAAATGTCCCTGGGGAACACTCACACTTAACTCATCCAAAATAGAAAGCAACATCTCACAGCTTCCTACTCTCAGATTTTCTCTTCCTTCAGTTACTCCTTATTTTTTAATAAATGACACCCACCTGAAGCCAACCTATTGACCAGAACCAGAATCCTAGGAATCATCCTGTCATTCTTTGTATCTTTCCCTACCCTGTATCAATTTTTGGTAACAAATCCTTGTGATTTCTACTTCTGAAATTTTTCTTGAATATGTCTCCCTATTTCCATCCCAACTCTCTGGTCCAAGACATTATCATCACTCAGCTTGACCCCTAGAATAGCTTGCTAACTGGTCTGCTTTGCTTGCCTCCACTTTTGGTTCCCTATAATCCTTTTAACACAGTACAATCAGAACAATCTTTCTTAAAAAGATATGTAAATATAATCACATCATTTCTCTACTAAAAATATTTTAATGTCTTTTCAATCACTACTCCACCTAGGGTACCCCACTACCGTACCCTAGGTACCCTACCCCACTGCAGCCTATGCTCCAGTTATTTAGAATTATTTGCAGTTCATTGAAGATGCCATGCTCTGTCTTGCCTCTGTGTGTTTGCACATGCTATTCTTACTTTCTTGAATGCCCTTCTCTGCCTGGATATCTCTTACATAGACACTCACAAGTTAGCCAGGCACGGTGACTCATGCCTGTAATCCTAATGCTTTGAGAGGCTAAGGCAGGAGGATTGTGTGAGGCCAGTAGTTTGAGTTCAGCCTGAGCAACACAGTGAGGCCCTATCTCTACAAAAAATTAAAATTAAAAAATTAGCTGAGCATGATGGAATGTGCCTGTAGTCCTAGCTACTCAGGAGGCTGAGGTGGGGAGATTGCTATAGCCCAGGAGTTTGAGGTTATAGTGAGCTATGATTGCACCACTGCACTCCAGCCTGGGCAACAGAGTAAACCTTGTCTCAAAAATGAACAAGCAAACAAACAAAACCAAAACAACAACAACAACAACAACAAAAACAAAACCTCTCAACCATCACCTCTCCCAAAAGCCTTCCTTGTTACCCCCAGTCCAGGTTAAGTGCCAAATTAGGGTACATTCTCCATACCTTCATTACATTGCTTAACATTGGCACTGACTAGTTTTACAGGTTACTCTAATAGACTGGTGAGCTATTTGAGAGCAGAAACTGTGTCTCGGTCATCTCAGAGTTTCAGAGTTTTGTTCTTTTGAGTCTTTGGTTATGCATGTTTTACAATAATATATCTGCTCTTCTCAGCAAAGCTTCAGTTTCAGGTTTTTTCAATATCTTGCATTCTACAATTTTCCTTCCATGGCAACACAAAATCAGCTAAAAACTACCATTCTCTGAAAAATGTTGCTCAGAACTCAGAATACAGAAGTTTGTCTCCTTTCTTGGAATGAGAAAGAGAAAATGTCTACAAGCTATGAGAACAAACCCAAATTCATATGTCAATAAATGACTTTGTGATAGAATAGAGATGCCACTTAAGGAAAATAAACTGCTACTATGAGAAAAGCCTTGAGAGGTTCTCAGTTTTGACTTCTTTATTATCCTAAAGCAGGTCAAAATTCTCTATTATTTTCTCTAAAGCACAAAACACATTTGGTAGTAATTAAATTGTGCATTCAGAATTCAGTTCAAAATTAAGTAATTATAATAAAATAAAAATTATTTTGTTAAATTAAAATGGTTTGAATAGAAATGAAGTTTATTTATGCTATACGGGGCCTGGATTTGAAACATCTAGCATAACGGTTTTTGATTAAGAAATCTTAGAATTATAGGACTAATAAAAATATTCTTTTTTCAGATAAGGAATCGTTTCAGGATTGGTGTGGTGGCAAAAAAAATATTACATGCATTTACAATTTGGAAAATTACACGATTCTAACTCATACATTTTGTCAGCTAGGAAATTTCTACTTATTCTGCTTTCTGTTTCTGCTGTATTGTTAAGACTGAAAGGCTTTAAGAAGAAGACAGCTGCTTAAAATTGAACATCAAAAGTGCTTCCAAATTGCACTTGGAGCTTTCAGCATGGACCCAAGTTAATGGGTCAAGGGCAGGATGTTACAAATGCTGCTCTCATTCTGCTTTAACATGCTCAGAGGTAGATACAAGATACCTGTTAAAATGGGAGTTTTGTTTTCTGGACCATCTCAATCTGAGAGCAGGAAAGGGGTCAGGAGAAATATCGAACAATTGAATAAATGAGATCAATAGGAAAAGCACAACAAGCAAAAGAAACTTCTTAGAATGGCAAGTGTGTGTGTGTTTAAAAAACAGGCTTAACTTTTATTAATTAGATTTTATCATTTACTAAGACTAATTAATAATTAGCTAATAGCCAACACCCACATAGCACATACTCTGGAACAGGCATTGTTTTAGATGCTTTATGTACATTAGTTCAGCCAGGAATGCAGACACTATTAATCCTCATTTTTATAGATGAGGAAACTGAGTCACAGAGAGGTTAAATGAATTGCCCAATATCACATATTCAGTGGCAAAGCCAAGGTGTAAACCCAAGCAATCTGATTCCAAAGCTAGGGCAATTAAAACACGTAGGGTTTTGGTTATTTGGATCTTGTAAAAGCAATAAATAAATCTGAATGCATAGTAGCGACATTCCCTGACCCCTTTCCCCTACTAACTTTGCATTGTCTCTTTCATTTGATGGTAGTTTAGGGGGTTAAACTAAAAAAGAGAGAGCAGTATCCAAATGTTTGATTCTGATGCAAATCTCTCACTTATTTAAAGTACAACATACTGGACAATTGTAGTAGCTCAATTTCTGTAGAATTTTTTACCCAACAACTTTAGAGTAGAAATGCCGTGATAGGCCGTCTATAACCTCACCATGGCAGAGTTTTCTTATTTGACCTCCATTAAGAGAAAGTAACATATTTCATATTTAGAATCTTCCGGTCTAATAATGTAGTCTGCTGAGAAATAGTTTTATAGGCATAGTTTTCACTAGCAGAGAGAAGTGCAGAGTTTACTACACCATCAGATAAATGAATGCCTGGTCTAATATTTCAACAAAATTAAATGAATCTCATCTTAAGCAGGCCACCTTGCCCAGGAAAACTGGGCCCTGACAGGAAAGCTGGATCAATCAGGCCCAAGTTGTTTGCTAAGGAGACTGGATTATATCCAAGATGTGAAAGACAGATTATATTCTTCCTCACCTAATGCAAGAGATATGGCCCTGTTCAATTCTTAAAAGACACTAGGCAGTGAGCAAAAAATAAAACTTGAGCTAAGTGGCACTGCTCAAGCTTAATTGGTGGTGTCAAAACAATTGTATAAAGATCATGTTTTTCAAATGGCTCTAAATTTTAATCAGATATAATGTGACAATAAAATGTAGCCATTGCTGTCAGTGTATCCTTGAAAGTGTATTGTCTCAGTATGCAACTTAAATTATTTATTCTGCCTGATTTAATTATATAGCCTGATTGACAACACTAAGTGCAAACAGTCCATTCTAATGCCTTTTGACTGCAATACCTGCGTGCAGGTTCATAAGCGCTGCCAGAACAGTGATAAATGGCTAAATAATCTTCTTCTGACATGTATAGCAGCACAGTGTGAAGTGTTGTTTAGCAGAGAAAATAGGGAGTGTTAATGATAAGCCAAGAATATGTGCTGGAAAAAAATGCTAACGACAGGTGCAAACAATTTTCTGTGTGGAAAATCAAATATATTGTAATAATACGTGATGGAACAGCAGATGTTTCCCAGAACAAGTACGACTTCCATCACTAATATTTATTTTTTTGAGTCACTTTTATTGACCCACAAAACATTGCTTTGTTTGGAGTTTAATCAAAACAGAAGCAATCAAAGTATAACACAAAATGACATTTTATTAAAATATATTTTACTTCTGCACATGATTTGCTAGCAGAGTAAATGTTAATGTCATTATATTCTTGCTTGATAAGGCTGTGAACTTTTCTTTTATGACCAGGTGCTGAAAAAGGTCATATTTACAAACTAACATTTTTCCAACTCTAAAATACATATTTTAAGTTTTTCAAAAAATATTCATTTTATGCATATTTCAAATGAATTGGCATTCTTTTTATGTTTTATAATTTTTTTCCTTCTAACTTTTAGGTTCAGAAATACATGTGCAGGTTTGTTATATAGGCAAATTGCATGTCACGGGGGTTTGGTTTACAGATTATGTCACCACCCTGGTAATAAGCACAGTACCTGATAGGTAGATATTTGATCCTCACCCTTCTTTCGCACTTCACCCTCAAGTAGGCCCCAGTGACTGTTGTTCCATTCTTTGTGTCTATGTGTACTCAGTGTTTAGGCTTTAAGTGAAAACATGTAGTATTTGATTTTCTGTTCCTGTGTTAGTTTGCTTAGAATAATGGCCTTCTCCTGCATCCATGTTGTTGCCAAGGGCATGATTTCGTCCTTTCTATGGCTGCATAATATTCCAGGATATATATGTACTGCATTTTCTTTATCCAGTCTACCACTGATGGGCATTTAGGTTGATTCCATGTCTTCGGTATTGTGATTAGTGCTGTAAAGAAAGTATGTGTGCATATGTCTTTACGACAGAGTGATTTATGTTCCTTTGATTATATACCCAGTAATGGGATTGCTGGGTTAAATGGTAGTTTTGTTATTAGGTATTTGAGGAATTGCCACGCTGTTTTCCACAACTGCTGAACTAACTTATACTCCCACCAGCAGTGTATAAAAGTCTTCCTTTTTCTCCACAGCCTCGCCAGCCCCTGTTATTTTTTGACTTTTAAATAATAGACATTCTGATGGATGTGAAATGGTATTACATTGTGGTTTTGATTTGCATTTCTCTAATGATCAGTGATATTGTTTTTGATATACTTGTTGTCCAATGTATGTCTTCTTTTGAAAAGTGTCTGTCCATGTCCTTTGTGCATTTTTAATGGGGTTGTCTTTTTTAATTTTTTATATTTTCATTGGTTATTGGGGAACAGATGGTGTTTGGTTACATGAGTAAGTTCTTTAGTGGTGATTTGTGAGATTTTTGTGCACCCGTCACCCGAGCAGTATATACGCTGGACTCAATTTATAGTCTTCTATTCCTTAACCCCTTCCCATCCTTTCCCCCTGAGTCCCCGAAGTCCACTGTGTCATTGTTATACCTTTGCATCCTCATAGCTTAGCTCTCACTTATGAGTTAGAACATGCGATGTTTGGTTTTCCATTCCTGAGTTACTTCACTTAGAATACTAGTCTCCAATCTCACCCAGGTTGCTGTGAATGCCATTAATTTATTCCTTTTTATGGCTGAGCGGTATTCCATCATATATATCGCAGTTTCTGTATACACTCGTTAATTGATGGGCATTTGTATTGGTTCCACATTTTTGCAATTGTGAATTGTGCTGCTATGGACACGTGTGCAAGTATCTTTTTTGTGTAATGACTTATTTTTCTCTGGGTAGATACCCGGTAGTAGGATTGCTGGATCAAATGGTAGTTCTACTTTTAGTTCTTTAAAGAATCTCCACACTGTTTTCCATAGTGGCTGTACTAGTTTACACTCCCACCAACAGTGTAGAAGTGTTCCCTAATCACTGTGTCCATGCCCACATCTATTATTTTTTGATTTTTTTGACTATGGCCATTCTTATAGGAGTAAGGTGGTATTGCATGGTGGTTTTGATTTGCATTTCCCTGGTCATTAGTGATGTTGAGCATTTTTTCATATGCTTGTTGGCCATTTGTGTATTTTCTTTTGAGAATTGTCTATTCATATCCTTAGCCCACTGTTTGATAGGATTGTTTGTTTTTTTTCTTGCTAATTTATTTGAGTTAGTTGTAGGTTGTGGATATTAGTTTTTTTGTCAGATGTATAGATTGTGAAGATTTTCCCTCACTCTGTGGGCTGTCTGTTTACTCTGCTGACTGTTGCTTTTGCCACGCGAAAGCTTTTTAGTTTAATCAAGTCCCAGCTATTTATCTTTGTTTTTATTGCATTTGCTTTTGGGTTCTTGGTCATGAAATCCTTGCCTAAGCCAATGTCTAGAGGGTTTTTCTGATGTTATCTTCTAGGGTTTTTATAGGTCCTGGTCTTAGATTTAAGTCCTTGATCCATCTTGAGTTGATTTTTGTATAAGGTGAGAGATGAGGATCCAGTTTTTTTCTCCTAAATGTGGCTAGCCAATTTTTCCCAGCACCATTTGTTGAATAGAGTGTCTTTTCCCCACTTTATGTTTTTGTTTGCTTTGTCAAAAATCAGTTGGCTGTAAGTATATGGGTTTATGTCTAGGTTCTTTATTCTGTTCCATTGGTCTATGTGCCTATTTTTATATCAGTACCATGCTGTTTTTGTGACTATGGCCTTATAGTATAGTTTGAAATCAGGTGATGTGATACCTCCAGATTTGTTCTTTTTACTTAGTCTTGCTTTGGCTATGTGGGCTCTTATTTGGTTCCATATGATTTTTAGGATTGGTTTTTCTAGTTCTGTGAAGAATGATGGTGATATTTTGATGACAATTGCATTGAATTTGTAGATTGCTTTTGGCAGTATGATCATTTTCACAATATTGATTCTACTGATCCATGAGCACGGAATGTGTTTCCATTTGTTTGTGTCATTGGTGATTTCTTTTAGCAGTGTTTTGTAGTTTTCCTTGTAGAGGTCTTTCATCTCCTTGGCTAAGTATATTTCTAAGTTTTGTTTTGTTTTGTTTTGTTTTGTTTTTTTTTTGCAGCTATTGTAAAAGAGGTTGAGTTCTCAATTTGATTCTCCGCTTGGTCACTGTTGGTGTATAGCAGAGCTACTGATTTGTGTACATTAATTTTGTATCTGGAAACTTCGCCAAATTATTTTATCAGTTCTAGGAGCTTTTTGGAAGAGTCTTTAGGGTTTTCTAGGTATACAATCATATCATCAGCAAACAGCAAAAGTTTGACTTCTTCTTTACCAATTTGGATGCCCTTTATTTCTTTCTCTTGTCTGATTGCTCTGGCTAGGATTTCTGGTACTATGTTAAAGAGAAGTGGTGAGAGTGGGCATCTTTGTGTTGTTGCAGTTCTCAGAGGGAATGCTTCAACTCTTCCCCATTCAATATTATGTTGGCTGTGGGTTTGTCATAGATGATTTTATTACATTGAGTTATGTCCCTTGTATTCTGATTTTGCTGAGAGTTTTAATCATAAAGGGATGTTGGATTCTGCTGAATGTTTTTTCTGCATCTATTGAGATGATCATGTGATTTTTGTTTTAAATTCTGTTTATGTGGTGTATCACATTTATTGACTTGCGTATGTTAAACCATCCCTGCATCCCTGATATGAAACCCACTTGATCATGGTGGATTATCTTTTTGATATGTTGTTGGATTCAATTGGCTAGTATTTTGTTAAGGATTTTTACATCTATGTTCATCAGGGATATTGGTCTGTAGTTCTCCTTTTTGACTATGTCTTTTCTTGGTTTTGGTATTAAGGTAACACTGGCTTCATAGAATAATTTAGGGAGGATTCTCTCTTTCTCTATCTTGTGGAATAGTGTCAGTAGGATTGGAACCAATTTTCTTTGAATGTCTGGTAGAATTCAGCTGTGAATCCAGCTGGTCCTAGAATTTTTTTTTTTTGGTAATTTTTTTATTACTATTTCAATCTTGCTGCTTATTATTGGTCTGTTCAGGGTATCTAATTCTTTCTGATTTAAGCTGGGAAGGTTGTAAATCTTTCCACGAATTTATTCAGCTCCTCTAGGTTTTCCAGTTTATGTGCATAAAGGTGTTCATAGTAGCCTTGAATGTTCTTTTGTAGCTCAGTGGTGTCAGTTGTATTATTTCCTGTTTCATTTCTTAATGAGGTTATTTGGATTTTCTCTCTTCTTTTCTTGGTTAATCTTGCTAATAATGTTCTATCAACTTTATTTATCCTTTCCAAGAACCAGCTTTTTGTTTCATTTATTTTTTGCATTGTTGTTTTTTGTTTGTTTCAATTTCATTTAGTTCTGCTCTGATCTTGGTTATTTCCTTTCTTCTGCCAGGGTTGGGTTTGGTTTGTTCTTGTTTCTCTAGTTCCTTGAGGTGTGACCTTATATAGTTTGTGCTCTTTCAGACTGTTTGATGTAGTCATTTAGGGCTATGAACTTTCCTGTTAGCACTGCTTTTGCTATATTCCAGAGGTTTTGATAGGTTGTGTCACTATTGCCATTCAGTTCAAATAATTTTTTTAATTTTCATCTTCATTTCATTGTTGACCCAATAATCATTCAGGAGCAGGTTATTTATTTTCCATGTACTTGTGTGGTTTTGAAGGTTCCTTTTGGAGTTGATTTCCAGTTTTATTCCACTGTGGTCTGAGAGAGTGCCTGATATAATTTCAATTTTCTTAAATTTATTGAGGCTTGTTTTGTGGCCTATCTTATGGTCTATCTTGGAGAATGTTTTATGCACTGATGGATAGAATGTATATTCTGCAGTTGTTGGGTACAATGTTCTGTAAATATCTGTTATGTTCATTTGTTCTAGGGTATAGTTTAAGTCCATTGATTCTTTGCTGACTTTCTGTCTTGATTACCTGTCTAGTGTTGTCAGTGGGGTATCGAAGTTCCCCAGTATTATTGTGTTTCTGTCTATCTCATTTCTTAGGTCTAGTAGTAATTTTTTTAATAAATTTGACAGCTCCAGTGTTAGGTGCATATACATTTAGGATTGTGATATTTTGCTGTTGGATGAGGTCTTTTATCATTATGTAATGTCCCTCTTTGTTTTTTTTTAATTGCTGTTGCTTTAAAGTTTGTTTCACCTGATATAAGAATAGCTACTCCTCCTCAATTTTGGTGTCCATTTGCATGCAATGTCTTTTTCCACCCCTTTACCTTAAGTTTGTGTGAGTCTTTATGTGTTAGCTGAGTCTCTTGAAGGAAGCAGATAGTTGGTTCATGAATTCTTATTCATTCTGCAATTCTGTATGTTTTAAGTGAAGCATTTAGGACATTTACATTCAATGTTAGTATTGAGATGTGAGGTACTATTTCATTCATCCTGCTATTTGTTGCCTGTATACCTTGTTTTTTTGTGTGTGTGGTTTTTTAATTTGTATTTTTGTTTTATAAGTCCTGTGAGATTTATGCTTGAAAGAGGTTCCATTTTAATGTGTTTCCAAGATTTGTTTCAAGATTTAGAGCTCCTTTTAGCAGGTCTTTTAGTGCTTGCTTGGTAGTGGCAAATTCTCTCTGTATTTGTTTGTCTGATAAAGACTGTATCTTTCCTTCATTTATAAAACATAGTTTCACTGGATACAAAATTCTTGGCTGATAATTTTTTTTTAAGGAGGCTGAAGATAGGGCCCCAATCCCTTCTAGATTTTAATGTTTCTGCTGAGAAATCTGCTGCTAATCTGATAGGTTTTTCTTATAGGTTACCTGGTGCTTTTGTCTCACATCTCTTAAGATTCTTTCCTTTATCTTAACTTTAGATAACCTGATAACAATGTGCCTATGTGATGATCTTTTTGTGATGAATTTCCCAGGTGTTCTTTGAGCTTCTTGTATTTGGATGTGTAGGTCTCTAGCAATGCCAGGGAAGTTTTCCTCGATTATTTCCCCAAATATGTTTTCCAAACTTTTAGATTTCTCTTCTTCCTCAGGAACACCAATTATTCTTAGGTGTGGTGGTTTAATATAATCCCAGCCTTTTTGGAGGCTTTGTTCATATTTTCTTATTCTTTTTTATTTGTCTTTGTTGGATTGGATTAATTCAAACACCTTGTCTTCAAGCTCTGAATTTCTTTATTCTGTTTGTTCAATTCTATTACTGAGGCTTTTCAGAGCATTTTGCATTTCTATAAGTATGTCCTTTGTTTCCTGAAGTTTTTATTGTTTTTTAAATTTATGCTATTTATTTCACTTAAGATTTCCCCCCTCATTTCTTGTATTATTATTTTTTATTTCCTTAAATTGGGCTTCACTTTTCTCTGGTGCCTCCTTGATTATCTTCATAACTGACATTCTGAATTCTCTTTCAGGTAAATCAGGGATTTCTTCTTGGTTTGGATCCATTGCTTGTGAGCTAGTGTGACATTTTGGGGGTGTTAAATAACATCGTTTTGTCATATTACCAGAGTTGGTTTTCTGGTTCCTTCTCATTTGGGGAAACTCTGTCAGAGGAAAACTATAAGGCTCAAGGCTGTTGTTCAGATTCTTTTGTCCGATGGGGTGTTCCCTTGATATAGTACTCTTCTCCTTTTCCTAGGGATATGGTTTCATGAGAGATGAGCTGTAGTAATTGTTATCTCTATTCAGGATCTAGCCACCCAGCAGGTCTACCAGGCCCTCGGCTGGTACGGGTGGTTGTCTGCACAGAGTCCTGTGATGTGAACTGTCTATGGGTCTCCCAGCTGTAGATACCAGCACCTGCTACAGTGGAGGTGGCAGGGAGGTGAAATTGACTCTGTGAGGGTCCTTAGTTTTTGGTTGCTTAATGCACTATTTTTGTGCTTCTTGGCCTCCTGCTGGGAGGTGGCACTTTCAGGAGACCATCAGCTGTGGTACTATGGGGAGGATTAGATGGTGGACAGGGCCCTAAAACTCCCAAGAGTATATGCCTTTTGTCTTCATCTACCAGAGTGGGTAGGGAAGGACCATCAGGTTGGGGCAGGGATAGGCATGTCTGAGCTCAGACTCTCCTTGGGCAGGACTTGGTGTGGCTGCTGTGGGGGATGGGGGTGTGGTTCTGAGGTCAATGGAGTTATATTTCTAGGAGGATTATGGCTGCCTCTGCTGTGTCATTCAGCTTGTCAGAGAAATGGGGGGAAACTGACAGTCACAGGTCTCACCCAGCTCCCACAAGAACCCAAAGGCTGGTCTCACCATGCTTCCCCCCAGCAGCACCGAGTCTGTTTCCAGGCAGTGGGCAAGCAGGGCTGAGAACTTGTCCCAGGCTACCTGCCTCCCAGCTGCAAAAGAAAGTAGGGCTTTGTGCTTCCCTGCCAGTGGAGACTGCACACCGGATTCATGCCTTCCCCCAAGTTCTGGCCAGGAGACTTCTCGTATGGTTGGAATTGTTACAAAGTTCAGCTGGAGGTTTCCTTCTCCTTGTAGCCTTTTCCCAGTTCCACTGGCAGCCCTCTCTAGGTAACTCTGTGAGACAAGTCAGAAATGGCTTCCCTGGGAACCCAGAGATCCCACAGGGCTTTTCCTGCTGGTTTCTCTACCCCTTGTATTTCACTTGGCTATCTAAGTTGACTTAGCTCCAGGTAAGGTCAGAATCTTCTCCTGTGATCTAGACCTTCAGGTTTCCCAGCGAGGGTGTATGTTCAGGGGCAGATAATCCCCCTTTCTTATTTCCATAGTTTGGGCACTCACAGTATTTGGGTTATCTCTCAGGTCCTGCAGGAGCAATCCACTTTCTTCAGAGAGTCTGTGGGTTCTCTTGGCTTTCCTGAATTATTCCTGCAGTAGTCCTGAAGCAACAGTTCATGATGTGAGACTCCATAAGCTGCTCTTTCCATCTGAGTAGGAGCTGTAATCTAGTCCTGCCTCCTGTCTGTCATGATCTTCAGGACTCTATTGTCTTGTATATTAAAGTTCCTTATAGATTATTGATATTAGATCTTTGTCAGATGTATAGTTTGCAAATATATTCTCCCTTTCTGTAAGTTGTCTGTTTACTCTGCTGATAGTTTCTTTTGCTGTGAAGAAGCTTTTTAATGTAATTAGCTTTCACTTGTCAATTTTTGTTTCTGTTGTGATTGCTTTCTTTGGGGTTTTCATCATGAAATCTTTGAGAGCTCCTATGTCCAGAATAGTGTTTCCTAGGTTATCTTCCAAGGGTTTTATAGATTTAGGTTTTACATTTAAGTCTTTAATTCATTTTGAGTTGATTTTTGTATATAGTATAAGGAAGGGGTCCAGTTTCACTTTTCTGCATATGGCTAACACCGGTTATCCCAACACCGTTGATTGAATACAGAATCTTTTAAGCATTGCTTGCTTTTGTTAATTTTGTCAAAGGAAAGATGACTGTAGGTGTATGGAATTATTTCTGGCCTCTCTATTCTATTCCATTGGTCTATGTGCCTGTTTTTGTACCAGTACCATACTATGTTGTTTCGGTTACTGAAGCCTTGTAGTATAGTTTGAAGTTGAGTAATGCAATGCCTTCAGATTTGTTCTTTTTACCTAGGATTATTCCCTTGGCTATTCTGACTGTCTTTTGATTCTATATGAATTTTAACATAGTTTTTTTCTAATTCTGTGAATAATGTCATTGGTAGTAAAGTGGTTACATTTTCTAGGGTGTATACCATGGAGTTCGTTGTCTCGTGCCAGGAAAACTTAAGACACAGAAATGCACGAGGAGTTTAGGAGCAGAGGTTTAATAAGCAGAAGAGAAGAGAATGATAAACAGCTCTTTCTAGAGAGAGGGGGTCTCCAAGTGGAAAGGACCGGCAGACAGTGGATGCACTGGATTTTATAGTCAGGTTTGAGGAGGTGGTGTCTGATTTATATAGGATTCACAGATTGATTTGATCAGGTATGACATTTACATAGCATGTGGGGAAGGCTGGCTGCTCCAGCCTAATACTATTATGCAAATGAACTGTCCCATTGACTGGCACCACCTTATCTGCTCCTTACTGTACACATGACTGATAAAGAGAAGGGAAGATGGAACCACCATTTTGAACATGATTACCACAGCTGCCAGCATCTATGTCTGCAGCTCAATTTTATAGGCCGCTCTTTGTTAGAAAGGAGAATGATTTGGGGCTGCTTTTCATTAAGAGGAAAACCTTATGAGGACATTCGTACCCTCAGTATCTGCCTAAGTAATTTCTTCTTAACTCCTGTATCATTGCCCCCTGTGGAGTGCTAACCCTTACTGCTGTGAGAGGTATTGTATGACAACTCTTTCTGCCTACTTCCTGCTGAAAAGAGACATTATGCGGGGAACAGCAGCTATGGCTCCTCCTGTGGTCAATCTAAGGGTCCTAAGGAGAAAGGCATGGTCATTTGTGGTTCTGTCTGCAGCACCATTTGGAGTTTGATTGCTGTCAGCCATTCCAATGAGTTGTAACACTAGTGTGCCTCCACCAGATGTTGCTGAAACATTAATATAAAAGTAGCATTTCTTTCAGGACAAGTGGCATTGGATTTGTGTGGCTAAAGTAACTTTAGCATTAACCTTGGCTAAATCTTTCCTACAATTATTAATCCCTTCATGACTTCCATAGACCATTGCAAACATGCTTAAACTTTCCGACTTGTCCTAAACAACCTTCTTTTTAAACAACCAACTATTCTGTTTGGGGCAAGTATCTGCCATACAAGATTCTTTCTTATATAAACTCTGTTTCCTTTATAACCTTCTTTGCATAGCCAGGGTGTGACATATTACCAAACCCAATAAAAAGTCCTAGCAGGCTAAGTGATAGAAAAACTTTCACGCTTCCTTTATGTTGGTAACTATTATCCCTGCTATTAAGATGATAATTAAGCAAAATACTACAGCAATGGAAACTCTCTGTTTGATATTCCAGTTAGAAGATGCAACAGTATATGGTCTCACTGCAAATAGAGTGAGTATAGCCATTCCCACGAGTGTGACATCATTACCTGGCAGAACTTGCAAGATAATTGCTCAGAATTAGCATATTGATCCAGATATTTGCATTACCCATCCCTTTTTTGTTTCTCCCAAGCTGCAGGAGATCACCACTTAATTCACAGGAATAAGAAAGTTAGTCTAAAATGTAGGCAAAAAGCTTAAAAACAATTAATGAGACTAGGATTTAATGACAAATGTATGATAATCTTTGGAGCATAATTTCTCTCTCAAGTCCTCATTTTTGGTAAAAGAACAATTATGATAGGACCGTGTTGTTCATAGAATAAACTTCAGTCTTGTACTTGGTCTGGTTATTTGCATAATGTGCAGCAGAAATAATTATCTCTAAATGGGTTTTTTGGGTTAGCTTTGATGGAACTCTGTTCCACAAGGAATCTCAGATAAAACCTTTTAAAGTGGAGCTCAGCCATGGGTTTGTATCCTCAAATACCTGTGAGTTGCATGAGCCTTTTCTCTTAAGATCTCAAGATAAACTTGGAGCTCCTGGACCTGTTAGAAAGTGACATTCTTTACTGACCACAGGTCAGAAACTCTGTACAGGGACTGTGTAGACAAGGTATGGTGCCAGTCTTCCCCAAGGGGATTTTATTGGTTCTACATGTCAAGATTGATTCCTTAAAGGGAAACACACACTTCCAGTCAAAGCCTTGGTAAAATATCCAGTTTCTCTTTCCAACTGTGTCCTGTTGCAAAAGAAAAATATATTCTTATTGCACTGATGCAAAAATTATATTGCCATAAGTTAAGAATACTCACAGATAGTTTCCAAATTCTAGAGGAACTAGGCAGAGCGAAACAAACATACTCCAAATTTTGTTCACATAAGCATAGTTTACTTAATTATTGAAGGCTTTAAATAGTTCAAAATAAGTTTCCTTGACTCTGAAAAACAAAATAAGGATCAGCAATATTCCAATGAAAAGTCAAAAGAGGTTGCTTTAACTTTCTGAGTGCAGTCTATTCAGTTAACTCTTGTTTTGCTCTACATTCGTGAACATTTCAGCTCTTCATGAGTCGTGTATGTTTTCTCTATTCCAATGTTACAATCTTCAAAGCTATTAGAAACCTGCATTTGAGAACACCTTTAAAGTCTTACAGCTTGATTATAAACCATCTTTTGAGAAGGAACAAAGAGAGACAACAATCATATGTGAATGACAAAATTCACAGTATAGTTACAGTTAAAAATATGACAGACAAAGAAGTTTAATTATCTCTGAGTTTACAATAACTTTACCCTTAATTATGATTGATAGTGTATACTTAGACATTAGAATTTTAGAAGTCCCATACAATTTTGGAACATATATTAGTATTGTTCACTAAAATATAACTTAAGTTTGGACATCATTTTGACAATCCCATGTAAATAACATGTCAAATAATCCTGTTCACCTCTTTTCTGGATGTTTCAGGGGCCCTCTGAACAATCTAGAAAGCCAGACATGAGGAAAGACAATTTTGAAGTTTGATTTTTGGGAGCCTGTTAAATGTTAGAGGTTTAAAACACTTGATGTTATGAAATAGAATTCCAGATTTCCATAAATTATTTATTTTGCCAAAATGATGACTTGAGAGAAAAAAAACCTTTTATTAGGCTTTACTATTATGTAAAAATCCTGCTTAAAGCCACATTTTATCCTTGCCTTAGTTTATTAATGTTAACCCCAACTTTTAATGAAACCTCATAGAAAATTCCATCTAATCTTAACCAATTTGACCATGAGGTGAAATGTTTACAAACCTATTATAACCCCTTTTGCTAAAGGGCAGATTAGCATCTTAAGACAACCTTGCTGTGTTTTTATTTCAATACTCAATTTATGAAAAGACCATATAATACCCGTTTGAGTTTAATGTTTAAAAACGGGATTTTGTGAGATTAATTTTTATAATATTTCTGTAACTTGCTTAAGCCTCTAGCTTTATCTTATTAAATCTAAGATAATCCCTCATCCCTTGGAAAAATTTACATTTCCATGCTTTCTTATAATCTTTTACTAAAAAAACCACATTTTCCTGTTTTCATATGCCTTGCATGTAAACCTGTTTAGTGGTCTCAAATACATGTTGCACTATTAACTCTTAGCCACTTTTACTTTTGATTAAAAACCTGGTTAGTAAGCTATTTCAATTATGTACCAGGTGTGGAGTCTAGAACCCAAACAGAAGTGCAGGTAAGGTCTGACTCTTTCCAACGTCTAACCCCACATGTCCCAGGCCTTACCTATTTGTAAAATAGGCAGTATACAACCTTGGAACATTTAGCAAACCTAGTATCTAAGTTGTATGATTTAGACCACCTATTTGCAGTTTGACAACACTTGAATTTTACAAATAATGCTTAAGACTATTTTTATTTCTTAAAGATTAAAGTAATGGGAACTAAAATATATTTGATTTAAGCACTTAGTTTTTCTTTAAGCCAATCAATTAGAGCTCTTTTTATAGACATTACACACAACGCATATATAGCAACACAAATAGAAGATTCAGCACTTGTAAGATGTTTCATTTGCCAGTTTCTTAATTGGATTACTGGCTTCAGGGTGTAGCCCTTGGAGGAACAGGGCCAGAATATCATACATTTTTAGGGCCTAATAAGCAGGCATAGCTGAAAGCAAAAGACAGATCCCCAAAATTAAGGGTGCTATTCTATACTGGATCTTGGATCCCCAAAAGGAGGGAGATACCATGAGAGAAGACAGTGCAGTGCTTCTACCATGCATTTCATTGGAAGGCAACCCAAAGCCAGTTTGGCTTATTTTGTAATCAGCCCATCCCCTGTGGGAGTCTCATCTCTTAGTGTGGGGTAGGGATGTTTCCATATCTTCTGGTGACCAAGAGCATGCTTCTCTGATTTAAATGTGCAAAGAGTTAAGTATTCCTCCATAACTACTATTAGCCATCGCTTAAGGTATATTTCCTACCTAGTTATCAAAACTGTTAGATAACACAATGCAAAACAGAACAGAGCCTTTAAATTTGAGAATGAATTATCTGCTTCTAATTCCTGGGGTTTCATGAGGAAAATAGGGTTTTGTTTCCCAAGGAGTCCCAGGCTACCAGAAGTTATCTTAGGACCTCTCTTGTGTGCATTATGAGTGGCAAGACAAAAAATGGAGAAAAATAATTCAATTGACTGAAAATTTAAAAAAAAACACTTTTTCCAGAAAAGCAAGATCCAAGAAGAGAAAAACATAAAGGCCTTTTAAATATACCTACAACTTGAATATACACTTTTAATTAAGCTGAGCACTCTTTAAGAAAATCCTTTTAAATCCCTTGTTACTCTACTTTAGCCATGCTGAGAGTTAAGATTTTTGGCTTTTGAGCTTCACAAAAGGTAACCTAACCGGTGAAACCAACAAGCCATAATTAGGTTATGACTTAACCACGAATGTATGAGGTATTTTCAAAGGGGTGATAAGCAGCTTTTGAAACCATTATTGCAAAATTGTGACTGAGAAAGTGAAAGAGATTCGACCCAACCAATTCCATTTTGTTTTCAGCCCCCAAGCTTGCCCATCCCTGGACATAGGCCAAACCAACATTGGGAGGAGCCTGGTTTACAGTTTATAGTCCAAAACAAAGGTGATAACAACGCCTTCCTAAGACAGCTTCCCTTTTGCCTGGGGAACAGACCAAGAAACTCTCCACAAGATTAGAAACCGTGGCTTAGGAATAACGTAGGTGGAGGCTGCAAGATTTTGACTCTCCCTTAACTACTCTCAAGATCAGTGCTTAAGGTATTTTGTAAACCCTGCCTTTGATGGATTAGCTGGCCCCTCCCCTATTGATAAACTGGCTTATCTGATTTTATGGTCCTCACCCAAGGAACTGACTTAGCACAAGAAGACAGCCACCATTGTAAAATGGCAGAGACTAAAATAAAGTATTGCCACGTGGTTACAGGTCATTTTGCCAAGAACATGTAACAAGATGGAGACCTGTTGACGTGTTTGTTATTGACTATTTTGTTGGGCTGGCTTGAACAGCAGGTTTATGGAGTCCTACGCCTGTATCCTAACCTAAGGTATCCTTTCTTTTGACAGAACCATACAGAAAGACACACAAAGTACACCAGATTGGCTACAGCTTAAGAACAACCTTGCAAATACTTTTTCATCAATTAAAACTTAAGAATATAAACAATGATCCTTATTATTTCTTTTACCAGTTTTCACAGGGAGAGAGAAACAAAAAGGCCAACTGGTAAGAAATTTTTACCCTTTTGCCAGCATGTCAGGCTTCTGGGTTCCCTTCCCCATAGCTCAACTCTAAGCCAAGCATTTTAAGGTTTGCAAATTTAACTTTTCCAAGGTTGGAAGAGCATTATGAAAGGAGATAAAGCCATTTTAAACCATGAAAGAAGGAAAAATACCATAGAAAAGTCTGGGGGTTTCAATTAGGGTCATCAAGACTGCCTCTCTTCCTATTGGGAATGTGTTTCTCCTATTTCTTTGCCTTCCCTATTTTTTCTTTTCCCTTTTGGCCTACTATAGGAGAGATATTGCTCATCTCCAAAATTCTCTCCTGATTGCAGAGCTGCCGGTTTTTCAGCTGCAGTTAGGGTTTGGCTTAGGAGCATCCTAACGTCCCTTCATGAGAGATCAAAAACCTGAGTTAAATTTTGGAAAGCTTCTATATACTTATCAGCATCATTAGAAAATTGGCCTAAATCTCCCTTTATTTGAACAAGGTCCTTTAATGAGAAGGGAACTCAATGGGGCCCCAAATAAGGGGGATCCTCAGATGGTGCCCCTGGAAGTTGTTTCTCTAATTTGGGTGAATCATTCTTTATAGGTCTGCCTGATATGGCTGCTAAAAGAGCTGGGTTGATTGTGCAATGCTTACAAAGGTCTAGTAAGAAGGCCTTGCCCTTGTGCAAAAGAAAATGAGCCACTTTTTCTTCAAAATCTCAGGGTCAAAGGAGCTCCTGTGCTTCAGAATGCACTCCAGGAGTGCAAGCTGAAGATGGTCTGTTACCCATCTTGAAAGAGATGTGAGAAAAAGGAGTCCTTTTAGTCTCCTTCCTTTTGGTGTGACCCAGGGTGTTGAGGAAGAGAGCAGGGGCATCCTCCCTGCTGTTTCCCCTCCACGGTTCCTGGGTACTGGCACCTTGTTAAATGTGCTGCCCATGGCTGCAGGCATGAACTCCAGCCATGGAACCAAAGGAACTAAGTGATTAAGATTAGTCATGCTCACCCATGTGGCTCTGGTCATCTGTCTGTGATCTCTGTTTGACTTCTTAGACTTGTGTGACCTGCCTGACTCCCTGAAAAATGGATCTCAGGAGAGACTATGTGACAGTTGCATTTCCCTCCTTACTGGAGGAAGTGTGCTGGTTTCAGCTCTATATCCTGCTTTTATGGCCCATGCTAAAGCATTTGCCCTTAGAGAATGGTCCTGGTTAACTTCTGAACTTTAAATGCCCTTATTTATTAATTACCATTTAAATTGGAGGCAGAATAGATGCTTTAAAAATGTAGGGGCTGAATGGCCATTTTCCTGCTGATGGGACAGTATCAAGAGTAAAATTTGGTTCCAGAGAACATTTTACTCCCAATTGTTGAAGGTAAAGTTTTCCTGTTCACAGAAGCAGCATAAAACCTGGTCTCTGGTAAAGGGGCAAAAAAAAAGGGAGAATTGGGAAGCTAGAGTGTTTCAGGAAAGGACCAAAAATGTGCCTCATGGAGAGGATCTCTATTCCACTAGGTGGGTCTGTTGACCTTGAAATGCCATGTGCTCTCCAGACCAAGGGCAGAGAGTGATGCTCACTGTGGTGGGTGGGGACCCTCTGTTCCTAGAAAATCACAAAGGTGCCCTCCCTTGAGCTATATCCCCAGTTACTATGACATTC
Organism: Homo sapiens; assembly: GCF_000001405.40. Classification (NCBI taxonomy): domain Eukaryota; kingdom Metazoa; phylum Chordata; class Mammalia; order Primates; family Hominidae; genus Homo; species Homo sapiens. Next base: position 85,813,067 of record NC_000023.11, on the reverse strand, counting down.
CCTGATCTTGCCAAACAAGATTACTTCCCTGAACTCTAAAACTTCCTGCACATTGCATACACAGAGAGGATAAGAGATATGGCAGTTGCAAACAGGAAAGGAGGTAATTACAATAGGAAAGTTGGAGATCCTATTGCCAAAATCCCATCAGGCAGTTGGAGGCAGGGGTCAGTCCAGAAGCCTTTGGATAACACTGGGGATAGCCTCAGCCAGAAATCCTCAGTTACCTCAGGACTTCTTCCAGCTCCACATGACAGCTAATTCCTCTATGAAAGGAAGCTGGTTCAAACATGGCCAAGATGCCCAGCAACCCATGGGTGCTGGGGAATTCTCCATGTTCTCCCCATTAAGCCTGTCCCCCAAATCTTGTAAGGCTGGCAGCCACACTAATCATTTTTAAATGACTGAAAGGGGACTAGTATTTGGTTTGATTTGGTTCTAAAATGGAGGCCAAGAATCTCAAAATGAAAAGACAGAGTTGAAGTCTACTCCTCTACTCACTGTTACGATGAATGTTGTACCTTGATATCCTGGACGAGCCCCCAGTATGAAGTGGATATGTTGTCTGGGGTATATACCCTGGGTTTGTTGTCTCACACCAGGAAAATTTAGGACACAGAGACACATTAGGAGTTTAGGAGCAGAGGTTTAATAGGCATAAGAGAAGAGAAAGAGAAGCAGCTCTCTCTATAGAGAGAGGTCTCCAAGCAGAAAGGACCAGTGGGCAGTGGATGTGCTGGATCTTATAGTTAGGTTTGAGGAGGTAGTGTCTGATTTACATAGGACTCACAGATTGGTTTGATCAGTTATGACATTTACATAGTGCATGGGGAAGGCTGGCTGCCCCACCCTACTCTTATTATGCAAATGAACTCTCCCATTGACCACTGCTATCTATTCTGCTCCTTACTGTACACGTGGCTGATAAAGAGAAGGGAAGCTGGGGCCACCATTTTGAACATGATTAGCACAGCTGCTGGCATCTATGGCTACAGCTCGATTTTACAGGCTGCTCTTTGTTAGAAAAGAAAATGATTTGGGGCTGCTTTACATTAAAAGGAAAACATTACTGAGGACATTTGTGCCCTCACTATCTATCTGCCTAAGTAATTTTTTCTTAAGTCTTTTATCAGTAGTTTGATACAAGTAGCATTGAATCTGTAGATTGCTTTTGGCAGTATGGCCATTTTAAGAATATTGATTCTTTTACCAATGAGCAGGGAATGGTTTTCCATTTGTGTCAACTCTGATTTCTTGTAGCAGTGTTTTCTAATTCTCATTATAGAGATTTTTCATTTTCCTGTTTAACTGTATTCCTAGGTATTTTATCCTTTTTATGTCTTTTGTGAATGGAATTGTGTTCTTGATTTGGCTTTCCCAGCTTGGATATTGTTGCTATATAGACGTGCTACTGATTTCTGTACATTAACTTTCTATCCTGAAACTTTGCTAAACTTGTTTATTAGATCAAGGAGCTTTTGGGAAGATATTATGGGGTTTTCTAAGTATATAATCATATAATCTGCAGAGATATTTTGACTTCCTGTATTCCAATTTGGATGTGTTTTATTTCTTTCTCTTGCCTGATTTCTCTGGCTAGGGCTTCCAGTACTATGTTGAATAGGACTGGTGAGAGAGGGCAATCTTGTCTTTTGCTAGTTTTCAAGAGGAATTCCTCCAGCTTTTGCCTATTCAGTATGATGATTGTTGTGGGTTTGTCATAGATGGCTCTCATTAATTTGAAGTATGATGAACTGAAATTCACATGAGAATGAATGCTATTGAATCACATTTATTTTTCTATTATTGTAAACATGCAAAATAGCGAATCCCACAGACAAATCATCTTATTTCTAAAACTTTGTGTCTATAAGAATGGAGGGAGAGTAAGAGAAATGAAATGAAGCACATGGGTGTGTAAATGTATAACTGCAAAGAGCTAGGATTGGTGAAGAAGGGACACTCGTTCTGTAATCAGCGTGTTTGTTACCACTAAGAGGGTTTTTTAATGGATGAATGGGAGAAGCCTTCCCAGGTTCTGGGATTAGGGAGGAGTCATGCCTTTTTAATAAGGAAGCAATACAAGAAGAAAGAAATTACAATTTTGTTTCTTCTCTTCCAGAGTTAAGGTATTGTAAGCAGAGTATCATAGTGTGAACTAAGGCACTCAGAATAGATGAGGATGTGCCAGAATTCAGAAGGATATCCTCAGGTTCTGAAATGACTGCTGGAAACAAAAACAACTAGAGCTTTAAGAAAAGTTAGAGAGTTTGGAACACTAGAAACAGTATAGAACATTGGGGAGCTGAAACAAATGTGTTCCCTAACTTTTCAGTTATTAAAGTTGAGATAATGAGCGTTCAAAAGAGTAGGGTTTGGATTAAAATGTGGAATTTTAATCTTGCATAAATTATATATGGACATTACTTGTTATAACTTATTTTTGTTAAAATTATATTTTTTTATAAATTTGTATTAAGAGCTAAGAAAGGGATATTCAATATGCGTTTTTAAATAGAAGCTATTTCCAGAACTGCTAAAAGGGATGTGTGTGTGTGTGCATGTGTGCGTGTGTGTGTGTGTGTCCAGGAGCATAGGTCTGGTAGTGTGAGTGAAGCAGATAGAAATGTTAGTCAAAGGTAAGTTATGTTATGACAATTTCAGTTTCATGAAAGATGAACAAACTCAGACTATTTAAAGAAGACAGAAATCTTGTTTTGTGGAGTTGGAAGGTTCAGAGCTTCAAGCAGAATTGATGCCAGACCCTCAAGGAATGGCTTTCTCTTTCTCTTCTTTATTCTGATTTCCTCTGTGTGTGCTTCATCCTCTGGAAAAATCTCTTCCCACAGTAGTAGCAGGTACAGGCTTACATTACATCTCTCAAATTGCAAAGATAGGAAGAAATTTATTAAGGTCCAACAAGAGTCCTAGAATCTTCCCTCATTGAGAAACTTAGGTCACTTGCTCATTCCTGGACTAAACATTTTGTCCAAGAAGATTGGACACTCCTATTTGAAAAGTCTAAGTCATCTTACTACTCCTATGGTCACAGAGAGCAGTCAGCCCAACAATAATTTTCGGTTACCAGAGGGGGAATGGGGTGGGAGAGGAGCACGTTGAGCAGACAAAACTATAGCTAACACAAAAGACTACCAGCAACATTTCCAAACTGATGATATGAGGCCACACATGAATGTAACAAACCCCAAAATAAATAACTTCAATCATAATTGTCTGGATATTTGGTGTAAAAGTATAGCTGGGATGTTTGCCCATTTTTAAAGAAAATAGCCTTCTTTCTTATATTAAGCTTTCTTCATTGTAGTCTTTGGACAAACTGTATCAGAATTATTTCAGGATGCTTGTTTAATAATGTAATTTCCTGGGGTCTACCCTAAACCTCTTGAAGCAGAATCTGGATTGTTGGCTAGGAATCTACACCACCTTAGGTAATTATTAAGTGCACTAAAGTTCCAGAATAATGTCCATTTTTTATTTAGACACATTGAATTTTTTTTTTTTTTTTTTTTTTGAGACAGGGTCTCACTTTGTGACCCAGGCTGGAGTGCAGTGGTGTGATCTTGGCTCATTGCCTCCACCTCACAAACTCAAATGATCCTCCTGCCTCAGCCCCCCAAGTAGGTGGAAATACAGGCTGGCTAATTTTTGTATTTTTGTAGAGATGGGGTTTCACCATATTTCCCAGGCTGGTCTCGGACTCCTGATCTCAGGCAATTCTCCTGCTTTGGTCTCTCATAGTGCTAGGATTATAGGCATGTGCCACCATGCCTGGCCTAGACATCTTGAATTTTAATACCAGGAGAAGCCATTATGTTTGGGTTTGTAATTGGGTTGTAATCCAGTCAATATCATTGTTGTTGCTCAACAGATACTTGATTTATTGAATAATCATATCCTACTAGTTTAGACTAATTAGTTGGAAGCCCCAAGACTTATTGAAAATTCAAAGCTATAAGTCATTTTAAAAAAGAAATAGGAGATGGCTGACTACATACAGCCAGGTGGAAAAGCTGCCACCAAGAGACCAAGATGACTGGTACACTCCTAACATATATTCAGAGAGAAGGCATGGAGAATAAATAGAAGGAAGACATAGCAGCTGGTCTGAAGGGGGAGGAAGCTGGGAACTCTGCATGGGGCTACCCCACACCAGGACTTGTTTCTGGCCCCCAGTGACCCCTGGGAATGGGTGAGTTGAACTGGCAAGGAGCAATCCAATCTTGCCATGGGCCTCTGGAATTTCAGCAGTAGGAGACCCCTCAACCACCATGAACACTTGAGTTGGCAGGGAGAGGTGCTTAGAGAAGTGGTAGGGGCAGCATGCCAGTTGAGGTGGAGCCCAGAGGGTTTTGTGTGGGAGCATCTGTAGTGGTGTAAGGCCAGGAAAGCCCATCTCCCTAGGCTCTATTTGCTCCTTTAGCTTTAGGGGAATTGTTACGCCTGAACTCTTCAGGGCCATCTTGTGAGGTCGGTCCCACCTGAGTACCCCTTGATCTGCTGGCCTCTCCCTGGGCCCTAGCCTGGCTGGGCCTGCTTGCAGGGAAGCCTTGGGTGCCCTCGGGGCCTGTATCATAGCTTCTGTGCTGGTGGACTGTTTTTGACTAGTGAAGAGCTCCAGCAGGGTGGCCCCCACAGCCATATGCCAGCCTGCCCACTCATTTCCCATACTACAGCTTCCTCTGAGCTCACAGGAATTCCCCACATCACTTTGCTGCTGCGTGTGTCCACAGGCAGGTTTTGCCTTCCTTGCCTCACCAGCATGCATGTGTGTGGTCACCTTCCCTTGCCACTGCGGTGGTGGATTCACTCCACTTCCCCCTACCCCGGCTGGACCATTATTGCAGTCACAGCTTTGGCAGGCACAGAGCCAGCCAGCCCTGCCCCCTCCAGTGCCACTCCCTTGAATCAACACTGCCATGGCAGTGAAACTGGGCACAGGGAACAGCAGACACTCCCCCACCCTGAGAAACCACCCCTGCCTGTGGCACAGAGAGTGCACACAGAACTGTGCCCACCAGTGCCTCACCCCTGTGCTAACACCACCACCAGGGTGACTGTGTGCACACGTGACAGCAGCCCCTCCCCATCACCCCCAAGCCATGCTGCCTCTGCCACCATGGTGAATTCTGGGAAAGAAGCAGTCACACTGGCACCCAATAGCACCTTCCTGCAGCTGAAGAGTATACCCCCCGCTGGGCTGCCGCTCCCACTGCTGCTGGCACATGTGAATAGAGGATGGATTTTGCTGCCACCTCACTATGAAATGGTTTGACTGACAACACCCATCAGAGTGTAGTGACTAATGGTTCAGGAGCAACTTGGCCACTCCAACACAGTGGTTTCCTAAACTTGAGAGACAGAGAACAAAGTTGAGGACCAATACAAGTCTCTCAGTATTAAAGAATACAGTCCAGGAGTTGGAAGTGGAGCATTGCCTCCCCACCTCCCCACCCCATTCAAAGTTGTCCAGAAATGAAGCCAGTTGGCCGAATCCACCTTATACCACAATAAAACCCTCAAGGTCACTAAACGGGATAAAAGAAAAAAATCTGAAGCTCAACAACTTCAAAGATTGAAGAAACTGCAGCCCACAAAGATGATAAAACCGACACAAGAACTCTGACAACTCAAAAAGCCAGGATACCTTCTTTCCTCCAAACAACCACACCACCTCTCCAGCAAGGGTTCTGAATCGGGCTGAGATGGCTGAAATGACAGAAATAGAATTCATGATATAGATAGGAATGATGATAACTGAGATGCAGAAATATGTTGAAACATAATCCAAGAAAGCTAATAATCACAATAAAATGATACAGGAGATGACAGGCAAGATAACCAGTATAAAAAAGAATGTAACCAACCTCATAGAGCTGAGAAACATGCTACCAGAAGTTCACAATGCAATCACAAGTATTAATAGGAGAATAGACCAAGCTAAGTAAAGAATCTCAGAGACTGAAGACTGGCTTTCTGACATAAGACAGTCAGACATGAATAGAGAAAAAATAATGAAAATGAACAAACAGAACCTCCAAGAAATATGATATTATGTACATCTAGGACTCATTGTTATTCCTGATAGAGATAGGGAGAATGGAACCAACTTAAGAAGCATTTAAGAATATCATCCATGAGAACTTCCCCAACCTAGCTAGAAAGGCCAACATTCAAATTCAGGAAATGCAGAGAACCCAAGTAAGATACTTCACAAAAAGATCATCCTTAAGACACAAAGCCAACAGATTCTCCAAAGTCAAAATGATAGAAAAAATGTTAAAGGCAGCTAGAGAGAAAGGTCAGGTCACTTACAAAGGAAGCACCTCAGACTAATAGTGGACCTTTCAGAAGAAACCTTACAAGCCAGAATAGATTGGGGCCTATTTTCAACATTTTTAAAGAAAAGAAATTCCAACCCAGAATCTCATATCAGGCCCAACTAAGCTTCATAAGTGAAGGAGAAATAAGATTCTTTTCAGACAAGCAAATTCTGAGGGAATCCATTACCACCAGACCTGACTTACAAGAACTCCTGAAGGAAGCACTAAATATGGAAAGAAAAGATCATTACCAGCCACTACAAAACACACTAAAATACACAGATCAGTGACACTATAAAGCAACCACACAAACAAGTCTGCATAATCCCCAGCTAACATCATGATGACAGGATCAAATACACACATGTCAATACTAACCTTGAATGTAAATGGGCTAAATGCCCCCAATTAAAAGGCACAGAATGGCAATCTTGATAAAGAACCAAGACCCATTGTTATGCTGTCTTTAAGAGACCCATCTCATGCGCAATGACACCCATAGACTCAAAATAAAGGGATAGAGAAAAACTACAAAGCAAATAGAAAACAGAAAAAAGCAGGGGTTGCAATCCTAATTTCAGGCAAACAGACTTCAAGCCAACAAAGATCAAAAAGGACAAAGGAGATCATTGTATAATGGTAAATAATTCAATTTGACAAGACCTAACTATCCTAAATATATATGTGCCAACACAGGAGCATTCAGATTCATAAAGTAAGTCTTTAGAGATCTTCAAAGAGACTTAGGTTCCATACAGTAATAGTGGGAGACTTCAATATTCCACTGACAGTATTAGATAGATCATCCAGGCAGAAAATTAACAAAGATATTCAATACCTCAACCCAGCACTGTATCAAATGGACCTGATAGACATCTACAGAACTCTCTATCCAAAAGCAACAGAATATACATTCTTCTCTCCACCATATGGCACATACTCTAAAATTGACCACATAATCAGACACAAAACACTCCTCAGCAAAGCAAAGGAACTGAAATCATAACAATCTCTCTTTCAGAACACAGTTCTAAATTACCTTTGGGTAAATAATGAAATTAAGGCAGAAATCAAGAAATTCTTTGAAACTAATGAGAAAAAGATATAATGTATCAGAATCTCTGGGACATAGCCAAGGCAGTGTTAAGAGGGAAACTTATAGCACTAAATGCCCACATAAAAAAGTTAGAAAGATCTCAATTTAACAAACTAACATCACAACCAAAAAAAAAAAAAAAAAAAAAAAAAAAACCCTAGAGAACCAAGAGCAAACCAACCTCAAAGCTAGCAGAAGAAAGGAAATAACCAAAATGAGAGCTGAACTATAGGAGGTTGAGGTACAGAAAACCAAAAGTTCAGTAAATATAGGAGTTGGTTTTTAGAAAAAATTAATAAAGTAGACCACTGCTAGACTAATACAGAAGAAGAGAGAGAAGATCCAAATAAACACAATTAGTAATGACAAAGAGGATATTACCAATGACCCCACAGAAATACAAATAACGATCAGAATATATTATGAACACCTCTATGCACATAAACTAGAAAATCTAGGAGAAATGAATAAATTCCTGGACATACACACCCTCCCAAGACTGAATCATGAATAAATTGAATCCCTAAATACACCAATAATGAGCCCCAAAATTGAATCAGTAATAAATAGCTGACCAACCAAAAAAAGCCCAGGACCAGACAGATTCACAGCTGAATTCTAGCAGACTTACAAAGAAGAACTGATACCATTTCTACTGAAACTATTACAAAAAATTGAGGAGGAAGGACTCCTCCCTAATACATTTTATGAGTCCAGCACCATGCTGAGTTAAAAAAAAAAACTGGCAGAGACACAACAGGAAAAGAAAAGTTCAGGCCAATATTCTTGAACATTGATGCAAAAATCCTCAACAAAATACTGGCAAACTGAATCTAGCCACACATCAAAAACCTTATCCACCATGATCAATAAGGTATTATCCCTGGGATGCAAGCTTGTTTCAACATACAAAAATCAATAAATGTGATTCATCACATAAACATAGCTAAAGACATGATTATCTCAATAGAGACAAAAAAGGCTTTCAATAAAATTCAACACTCCTTCATGTTAAAAAATCTCAATAAGTAGGTATTGAGGGAACATACCTCAAAATAATAAGAGCTACCTGTGACAAACTCACAGCTAACATCATACTGAATGGACAAAAGCTGGAAGCATTCTCCCTGAAAACTGGCACAGGACAAGGATGCCTTCTTTCACCACTCCCATTTAACACAGTATTGGAATATCTGGCCAGAGCAAGCAGGTAAGAGAAAGAAATAAAGGGCATCCAAATAGGATGAAAGGAAGTGAAACTATCCCTGTTTGCAGGTTACATGATCCTATACCTAGAAAACCACATAGTCTTTGTCTAAAAGCCCCTTAAGCTAATAAAGAATTTCAGCAGTCTCAGAATATGACATCAACATTCATTAGTAGTTTGACAGGAATAACATTGAATCTCTAACCATCTGATCTTCAACAAAGCTGACAAAAACAAGCAATAGGAAAAAAAAAGCCCTCCCTATTAAATAAATGGTTCTGGGATAACTGGCTAGCCATAGGCAGAAAATTGAAACTGGATCTTTTCCTTACATATATACAAATCAACTCAAGATGGATTAAAGAGTTAAATGTAAAACCTCAAACTATAAAAACCCAGAAGACAACCTTGGCAATACCATTCTGGACATAGGAATGGGCAAATATTTCATAACGAACAAACTGAAAACAATCACAATGAAAGCAAATATTGACAAATGAAATCTAATTAAACTAAGGAGAATGGGAGAAAATTTTTGCAAACTATGCATCTGACAAAGGTCTAATATTCAGCATCTCTAAGGAACTTAAACAAATTTACAAGAAAAACAAAACAACCCCATGGAAAAGCGGGCAAACGACATGAACAGCACTTTTCAAAAGAAGACATACATGCATCCAACAAGCATGTGAAAAAATGCTCAACATCATGATCATCAGAGAAATGCAAATCAAAACCGTGATGAGATACCATCTCATACCAGTCAGAAAGGCTATTATAAAAAGCAAAAACAACAACAACAACAACAACAAAAAACAGATGTTGGGGAGGTTGTGGAGGAAAGGGAACACTTATACATTGTTGGTGGGAGTGTAAATTATTTCAACCATTGTGGAAGGCATTGTGGTAATTCCTCAAAAAGCCAAAAACAACACTACCTGTTTGACCTGACAATCTCATTACTGGGTAAGTACCCCAAAGGAATATTAATCATTCTGTCATAAAGACACATGCATTTGTATGTTCATTTCAGCACTATTCACAATAGTAAAGGTATGGAATCAACCAAAATGCCCATCAATGGTATACTGGATAAAGAAAACGTGGCATATAAACACCATAGAATACTATGCAACCATTAAAAACAATGAGATCATGTTCTTTGAAAGAACATGGATGCAGCTGGAGGCCATTATTCTTAGCAAACTAACACAGGAACAAAAACTAAATACCATATGTTCTCATTTATAGGTGAGAGCTTAAAGATGAGAACACATGGATACATAGAGGAAAACAAAAAACACTGGGGCCCACCAGAAGGTTGAGGATGGGAGGAAGGAGAGGATCAGAAAAAAAGAACTAATGGGTACTAGACATAATTCTTGGGTGATGAAATAATCTGTACAACTAACTCCCATGGGATGAGTTTACCTATATAATTAACCTGCACATGTACCCCTGAACTTAAAAGATTTAAAAAAAGAATTTATCTGTGGTGATGGAGTGTAGCTTGTTCTATGTTGATTTCTATTTGTTGTTAACATCCGACTAAAAGCATCATCCAAAACAAATTGTAGCAAGTTATTGATTCTAAATAAATGATTCACCTTAAAAAAAAGTTGGGACTTCTGGCTATGGTATAGTGAAGAGAACAGCAAAAATCCTCTGCTCCCAAATAACTATAAAATGAGATAATAATGTTTTTGAAAAAGCCCACTACTGTTTTAGGGCTGTGGCAATGAACAATGGCAAAGAAAAAAAATGAGAAACATTTATTCACGAGTAATTGAATTTTAGGGAAGAACAATGAGAGTCTGTGGCATTCTTTTCTGAGGCTGCTCTTATTCCACCACCGTATTAGTAGGTGAGGGAATTCTACCACAGCAGAGTGGCGGTGAAAATCAACAGCTTCCCTGAAATGGGGGGCTAACTTGATTTGGAGCAGTGGATGGAAACTCTACGTCCAGTGACATTGTCAGTAAAAGTAGCAAACTTGGTAGAAAATGAGCAGGGAAAGCCAGCAGCAATGGTAGTCTAGGGTGCAACCCTGGTTGGGGTCAATGGCAGACCAGCCAATTATCTAAAATGACCAACCAATTATCTAAAATTTAACAGGAAGTTCTGGGTATGAAAGAACAATAGAGGGGCTATTCTTGGCACTTAGAAGGCTGCATGGATGTACAGGGAGATCTAAAACGGCCTGGCGGACATTAAAAGCTGGGAGTATTTGAGAATTGCCTGAAAACCACACACAAATTCATCAGAAATCGGTGGATGTTTTCTGTTGTTTGGATATTTTTGTTCCCCAAATACGCTGAAATTTGTTTCCAAATGTTGGAGGTGAGGACTAATGGGAGGTGTTTGGGTCATGGGGGCAGATCCCTCATGAATAGATTTATTCCCACCTTGGAGGGGGCTAAGAAGATTGAGTTCTCAATATTACTTCCCATGAGAGCTGGTTCTTAAAAATAGCCTAGTATCTCCTCCTCCTCTCTCTTGCTTCCTCTCTCACCATGTGATCTCTGCACATGCCAACTTCACATCAGCTTCCGCCATGAGTGGAAACGGTATGAGGCTTTCACCAGATACCTGATCTTCCAGCCAGCAGAATTATGAGCCAAATAAATATTTTTTATTTATAAATTACCCAGCCACAGATATTTCTTTCTAGCAACACTAACATTAAGTCAGTGCTTTCCTGACTCAAGTTATTGGAGTAAAACCTCTTACCATCATTTGCTGACCAATCATTTACTGACCATTAAATTGTGTAAACACAAGGGTGACCCCTAGGAAGCCAGGTTAAAAATAAAAAAATTAAAGATTGCAAAAGGCCTTGTCTCTCTGCCACTGAGCTCATGGTCCTGCCTTCCCTACTAGTCTTCTCTGCTCTGAGGAGCTCCAAGAGTCTCTGTCACAGCCTCAGTTGTCCTATGACCTGCAGGTACTGGGAGATTCAGAGGGAGGATATTTGGACACCCCAGAAGCTGAGTAGTCACGGCTGACTAAAGATATTAAATGCCAGTTCTCCTCAGAAAGAAGATCAAAGTTACAGGTGAATGGTCACGATCTGAATGGAAAGTTGAAGGAAGAAGGTCAGAACTTGATGAGTCCATAGGAAGAAGATGGGACACAAAAAAGTAATGCAGTAAGAGTAAGGCAGAAATTTACCGCCAAGAAACAGAGTCTCATGTATAGGATAGGTGATGGTGCTTCTCTGCTCCCCTCACCCCTGCAACATCATGCTGACTTCCAAATTCTCAGGGAGACCCTCTGCCCTTGTGACACTGGGACAATGCTGTTGGTGGCAATCTGAGAACTTCCCAGGGAAAGAACACTGAATGGCCAGCTTGTGCTGGTGCACCTGCAACTCCCTTTAGGCCTGAACTGAGATGGCTGATGCCATACTGATTATGCACCTGTTGTGGGCCACTATTTTGCCCAGTGAACCTTAGCCCTTTGTTGCCAAACTACCTGATTTCCCACAAACATACCCAAGAACCTCTTCTGACTTTGGCAACCACAAGAGACCAGTGGTTCCTGGGGAACTGCAGGGTCCCTGGAAATCTAGCCCTGGTGCAGATCAACCCTGGGAGAAGGGGAAGCACAGCTTGCCAAGGCCCCTGTTGAGACAAAGAAAATGTAGGTACAGTGCCAATTGCTAAAGGGGGTGGCACTAGTGGCCAGGCATAGACATTGAGAGGTTGTCATCTCTAACTCCCCCATCTACCATTGTGGATACAGCAGAGGCTTTCCCCGCTGGGGACTGTTGTGAATGCACTTGGAGAGAGCCTTTCCAGCATTTTTGTAGTAGCTGCACCCCTGTGAAAAGTGAGCTCATGACTCTCAGTCTTGCATTAAAAGTGGGGCCCATTTCCTGCTCCTTACATAGAGTGGCAATGTCTTGACAATGAAGGGAAGACACAAGCCATAGAGCTCTCTGCTCTAAACTGGAAGAAAAGGTTTTGCTCTAAGTCCATTTTGGTGGTTGCTGCCAGAGGGACATTTCTGCAGGCTTCATTGCACCAGGAGCCAAAGGACAATGTCTTTATGAACTGAAGCTTATCAATGCTGAGACAGAGGCATGATAGGGAAGCTGACCATATTCCTGCCTGCAGAGGACAAGGAGCTGGTGCAGCCTCCCTCCCCACACCAGAGACCTCAGTGCACCCCAACATTATTGTCCCCACCACCCCATCATCAACAATTTGTTGACTCCCCTCATTTCTGTGCTACCTGAGAGCAATCTAGCTCTTACCCTTAAGTGCTACCTACTGGACTGGAGACTGAACTGTACCTGCAAAAAAAGAACAAAAACCTGCCATTAGAAAGGCAAGGTGCTAGTGGTGCATGAAATAACCTTACTGAGACCTGCACACTCCCAGTCCTGCAGAAGATAGTGTGTTAGTTCATATACTCAACACAATGCAACAACAAGCAACATTTGAGAAAGCCACCACACAAGAGCTTTCCATAACCAAGGAACCAACACAGAGCCTTGGCCCTCTGAAAGCACCAAGAAAGGAAGCTGAACAATCATACACCACATACACCACAGTTAAACCCTCAAGGGAAACAGGAATAGAAAATTTTAAAGTCACATCCAAATGATAGAAAATTCAAATATGGCCAGGCGCAGTGGCTCACACCTGTAATCCCAGCACTTTGGGAGGCCGAGGTGGGCGGATCAAGAGGTCAAGAGATTGAGAACATCCTGGCCAACATGGTGAAACCCTGTCTCTACTAAAAATACAAAAATTAGCTGGACGTGGTGGTGCACACCTGTAGTCCCAGCTTCTTGGGAGGCTGAGGCAGGAGAATTGCTTGAACACGGGAGGTGGAGGTTGCAGTGAGCCGAGATCGCCCCACTGTACTCCAGCCTGGTGACAGAGCAAGACTCCATCTCAAACAAACAAACAAACAAACAAAATTCAAATATTAGAAGTGACAACTCCTTCATATGAAAAGGAATCAGGGCAAAAACTCTGGCATTACAAAAAGAGTGTTTTGATACCTCCAAAGGATCACACTAGGTTTCTAGCAATGGATCCTAACCAAAGTGAAAACTCTGAAGTGACAGATAAAGAATCAAAATATTGATGGCAAGGACATTCAATGAGATCCCAGAGAAAGTTGAAAACCAATGCAAAGAAACCAGAAAAACAATTCAGTATATAAAATACAAGATAGCTATATTAAAAAAAGAAAAAAACTTCTGGAAATGTAAACTTCGCTAAAGGAATTTCAAAATTATTTCTTCTTCTTGGTCTAGTCTAGTGGTAAAGCTTCTAACTTTTCTAAGAAGACAAAATTTAAGAGCTTGAAGACTAGTCTTTTGAATTAACCCAGTCAGACAAAAATAAAGATTTTTTTAAAAATGAACAAAACCTTTGAGAAATAGGGATTATGATTTATAGGCATTCCTGAAATAAGAGAAGAAAAAAGTAATCAATCTGGAACACATATGTGGGGGAATCATTCAGGAAAATTTTCCTAACCTTGCTAGAGAGACCAAAGAAATCTGCATCCACATAAAAGAAATTCAGAGAACACCTACGAGGCACTATACAAGATTAATATCACCAAGGCATATACTCATGAGACTATCCAAGGTCAACACTAAAGAAAAAAATCTTAAAGCCAGCTAAATAAATGGGCCAAATTACCTATAAGGGAAACCCTATTGGACTAACAGCAGATATATCAGCAGAAATCTTACAAGCCAGAAAAGACTGGGAGCCTATTTTTAGTCTTCCAAAGCAAAACATAAGCCAGCTAAGAATTTTACATTCTACCAAACTAAGCTTGATAAACAAAGGAGAAATAGTCTTTCCAGATAAGCAAATGCTAAGAGAATTTGTCACCACTATACCAGTCCTATAAGAAATAATCAAAGAAGTTCTAAAGATGGAAACAAAAGGATGACACTTGCTACCATAAGAGTACACATAAATATGAAGTGTATAGGTCCTATAAAGCAAGCACAATTGAGAATACAAAGCAACCTTGAACAAGTTAACCTTGAACATAAACTGCCTAATGCTCCAGTTAAAGTATAGGTTGGCAAACTGGATGAAAAAACAAGACCATCTACTGCCTACGAGAAACCCACCTAATGTGTAAAGACACCCAGAAGCTCAAAGTAAAAGAACACGAAAAGATATCTCATCAAATAAAAAACAAAAGGGAACACAGGTTACTATTCTTATATCAGATAAAGCAGATTTTAAATCAAAAACAGTAAAAAAAAAAAGAAAGGCATTATATAATGATAAAATGTTTAATTCCAAAAGGTGGCTTAACTATCATATATATATATATATGCATATAACACCAGAGCATTCATATTTATAAAACAAATATTACTAGAACTAAGAAAGTAGATAGCAGCCATAAAGTAATAGTAGGGAACTTCAGTACTCTGCTGACAGCATGGACAGATCATTAAGGGAGAAAATTAACAAACTTTGGACGTAAGTGGAGCTCTTGACTGAATGGAGCTAATAGACATACACGGAACATACCACTCAACAAAGGCAGAATATACATTTTTCTCATCTGCTTATGTAACATTCTTTAAAATTGACCATATAATTTGCCATAAAGCAAGTCCCAATAAATTCAAAAAAATCAAAATCATATCAAATGTCT
The DNA here is from genome assembly GCF_000001405.40 of Homo sapiens. NCBI lineage: Eukaryota > Metazoa > Chordata > Mammalia > Primates > Hominidae > Homo > Homo sapiens. The sequence goes on along the minus strand of NC_000023.11, from coordinate 85,797,772 downwards.
TCTTAGACCACAGTGGAATAAAATTAGAGATCAATAGCAAGAGGAACTCTCAAAACCACACAAAGATACGGATACCTCCCAATGTGGGATCCAGCCACATACTGCGGGTGCGTTTGACCTGACAACAGATCTATACCTCTCTGAAATGGAGCTCCCAGAGGGAGGGGCAGGGCCAGGTTGCCATCTTTGCGGTTCCACAGTCTTCACTGGTGATACCTCCAGGTGCTGGAAAATTCGAGGCAACTAGGGGCTGAAATGGGCCCCTAGCATACCACAGCAGCCTTATGGAAAAGTGACCAGACTGTTATGTGGGTGCACATTCCCAAATCTCCTCACTGAGAAGGTCCTCCAGGCCTGGGTCTCCAGCCACCTTCTACCAGAGATATTGAGCCACTAACAACAGAGCAACCCCCTGGACAGAGCTTCCAGGGGCAACTGAAAGCCTCTCTGTTACTGCCTCTGCAGTGGAAGGAACTGCCCTTGCTACCATCAGACTAATGAAGAAGCAAAGACCCTAAATGCTTTATCCACACCTCCAGAAAGCTGAAGTTGACCCAAGGAGAGAAGGCCAATCCATCTCCCACAGGTCCCACACAGTTCACACTGCTTGTCACCAGATAGAGAACCCCTGGCTTGGGCCCAAACCACAGGTCACCTATCCTGGGTTGATTGCACTGAGCAATTGCTGACCTGCATCTGTCTTGGGCGGAGCCCACAGGAGACAAGCAAAATGTCCTTGGCCACAACCAATATTAAGGTCCCTTTCTCTGCACCACCAAGCTGGAGAAGGAATAACAACACTGAGATCTCCCCAGAGCTGCAGTAGGCAGCTCCAGAGTGCCAAGCCACAATCTACAGCCAGTACTTAAGAGGGAGAGAAACCCACACACTTTCAGAGCATTGAGAGAAAACATAGCTGTAACTTTGAGGAAACAAAGGGGAGCCACACAACCAAGCAAGAATCTACCAACTAACCAATAAGCTTAAGTGCTACCTACTGAATCATACCCCAAAGCTTTAACAATAAAAATACCTCACTAACATTCTCCCCTCTGAAACTAGAGACAAAAAGTAAGTTTCAAATAGAGACCCAGCACTAAGCCTTGCCCCAGTGAAAACATCTAGAAAATAAATCTATTGACTGTACTCAATCTACACTGCAGTTAAAGGAATACCCACATGCAGAGATGAGAAAGAACTATAGTAACTTAAATGGCCACAGTGTCATATGTCCTTTGAACAACAGCACCAGTTCTCCAATGAGAGTTCTTAACCAGGCCGAACTGGCTGGAATGGCAGAAATAGAATTAAGAATATGAATAGGAATGAAGATAATCAAGATTCAGGAGGATGACAAAACCAAATCCAAGGAAAACAAGAATCACAGTAAAACAATACAGGAGTTGAGGATGAAATAGCCAGTATAAAAAAGAATTTAGCAAATCTGGCAGAATTGAATAGCTGTGTACAAGAATTTCACAATGCAATCACAAGTATTAACAACAGAATAGACCAAGCTTAGGAAAGAATCTCAGAACCTGAGGGCTAGTTCTCTGAAATAAGACAGTCAGGCAAAAATAAAGAAAAAATAAATAAAAAGGAATAAACAAAACCTCCAAGATGTATAGGATTATGTAAAGAGGCCAAATACATGAATCATTGGCATCCCTGAAAGAGAGGGGAGAAAGCGAACAACTTAGAAGACATATTTCAGCATATTGTCCATGAAAACTTCCCCAACCTTGCTTGAGAGGCCAACAGTCAAATTCAGGTCATACAGACATCTTTTGCAAGATTCTACACAAGGTCATTTCCAACACACATAATTGCCAGATTTTCCAAGTTTGAAATGAAAGAAAGAATGTTAAAGGCAGCTAGAGAGAAAGGACAGGTCATC